>NW_011332701.1:4535264-4835264 GCF_000001405.40 Homo sapiens
GAATTCCAAGGACCCTTCTAACTCCCACACTCTGGGCCAAGCCCCAGTCAGCCTAGAGGACCAGGGCTACATCTTCCTTGGACAGAGACCCAGCATAGGGGCAACAGGAGGTAGGGGTGGGGGTAGGCAAGGTTCCTGTAGGGAGGTGGAGCTGCCATCAGAGATGGTGTCTGCAGGCAGTGGGTGTATCGTGGCTATGCTACTACTTCCTGGGTGACCCCATGACATTTCTTTCCCCACTCTGACCTCAGTTTCCCTATCTGTTCCATGGAGATAAGATGCCTGCCTACATATTTGGGGACTGGGATGTGTGTGGGGGCCAGTTGCAGTGTTTCTTGGTGTGGTCCTGGGGCAGCCTGCACCACCCCATAGAGTTTGCTGGGCCCCACCCTAGGCTCACAGGACCAGAATCTCTGGGAATGAAGCCTGGGAATTTGCATTTCCACAGGCATCCGGCAGATTCTGACATGATTGAAAAAGCACTAATAGTATATGGCAAGCTCTTTATAAAAGGTAAATTCATAGCTGCCTTTTACTAAACATAAATCTCACCTTCCCTTCCTCAGTTAAGGACACACACCCCAGTTGAAAATCACTGTGCCTTTCCAGATGCAGAATCTGACCTTTCCAATAGGATTCTGTTAACTGTTACTTTCTGTAGTTTGTATTCCAAAACAAGGGGAATATCTTTCCATTTTTTCAATATAAATGTTTAGGTCAAATATGCTTTTTCAAACTGGACACACACTCACACAGTTTAGGATTTCAGCTATGGCTTCCTCTCAAATTATTAGCCCGTTTCTGCCAGGGAGCAGTTTTTCCCAGACAAGACCCTGGACAGAGGCTGGTGGGGCCCCCTCCTCATCAGAATCACTAGATCATGACTGACCCCTAGAGGTGGCTTTTCTGCTTAACAGTCAGCCCATGGGCTGGGATGGGATCCCCAAAGCTGTGGCAAAATCTTCCACCCATCCTGGGCCCCCCTGCCGTCTGTGGGGAAAGGCCTGTCCCTTGTCTTCTGGGCCCAGCCGGCCTCACACTCATTCAGCGGACTGGAAAGTCGAAGCATGTGCTGTGCTTGGCTGGGCTCTGCTGTGCCCCTTTTTGGGGTGAGGCAGAGTGTATTCCAGCCCCCAGCATCCCTGCCGTTTATTCCCACCCCTCATCCCCACCCCCATACACACTCACAAGTACAAACACAAGCACAGTCACGGGCACACACCACCCTGGACAGCACCATTTCCAGCCTCAGCGGGGCAGTCTCCTTACAGGGAAGTTAATGAGGCACTAAAGAAGGCTCAGGGGACAGGGAGAACCTCTGTCAAAAAGAGGTTCCTAGACCTGGTTCTGCCTCTGACTTGCTGGGGGTCCTTGAGAAAGCTGCTTCCCCTTTTTGGCCTGTTTCCTTAGCTGAGAAATGGGGGGTCGGCCAAATGGTCTAAGGTTCTGGGAACCCCTAAGTCAGAGCCCATAGCTGGTGGTCAAGATGAGGGAGAGGCCCTCAGGGTCAGCCGAATGCCAGAGAGGCAGGACAGGCCCAAAGGTGAGTAACCTGAGCACATCAGGTGGGTTCAGAACAGGTGCATGAGCCCCACAGCCTGCACAGCAGCTCTGAACTTGGGAGCCCACTTGCACCAGCCCAGTGGGACTTCAGAGATGTGGGGTCCAGCCTCTCCTACTATTGCAGGGCTAGGGGCTGGGAGCTGCAGATTCTGACCCCACAGCTGCCTTAGACATGCCAGATGGGCTGGGGAAAGACACACCCCTCTCTATGAAATGAGCACTCAGTCCAAATAGGTAAACTAAAGAAGGGCTGTGGGATGCACCCAGCTGTAGCCTGGGGCTACAGACTGGCTTCCAGGGTACTCAAGCAGCTGGCCTCTTGGGTAGCAGCCCCGGGTATGAGAGGCAGGACTCAGAATCTAGGCCAAGCCTCCACAGGAATCCCCTCTGGAGAGCCCGGGCACTCTGCAGGAAGGGCAGGAGGCAGCAGGTGCACCAGGAGCATGTTCCACAAGGTGCCCAATATTGCATCTGCTCAGATAGGCAGCGAGTTGGAATGTGGATGCAGTAGGCAGGGTGGCAGCTGCTCCCTACGGCCAGGAGTCCAGCCCAGCACCCACCTGAGTCCACCTCAGTCCTGCTCAACTGGGTCATCCGTGCTCTGGGCCCTCTGGTCCCACCCACAGAGGGAGGGCTTTGGAGCGACCAGGTGAGCTGGCCATTGTGGGAGGATGTAAAAACTCCTGAGCCTGGCGAGCCAGGCAGCCCCTTGCCAGCATCCCCACACCCACCTCTCCAGCCCCCCGCATTCCCTGATCCTCCCATCCACTCCCCTGACCCAGCAGTTTCCTCTGCTCACTCTTTTCCTGCTCCCAGGCTCGCCTGGTCATGTGTCCTTCACTCTCCTCTGAGTCTCCCTCTTTCCAAGCTGCCTCCACTCTACTTGACACACTCTCCCTTAAGACACCAGAGTACACAAGCGCAAGTCCCTGCACCTCACCTTTACTCCCAGACATGGGAGGGAGATGACATGAAGACCCAAACGCCACTTAGCAGGAGATCTGGGGTATGCAGAGGGGCAGATCGGAGGCTGTGGAAGCTCCAGGGGCTCCCTGCAGGAGGCCGCATGTAAGCTGGCTATTGAATGTGGCTCTGAGCTGAGACCTCTCCTTGAAGCTCCAGACCAGGAGCCAGCTGCTAGCTGGACCCCTCCATTTGGTGCCTCAGAGAAACCTTGCACTCCATAGATCTGACTCTGAACCCCGAATATCCCATCTCAGCCCTGTCTCTTCATAGGGAAAGCACCACCTCTGACCCAGTTCTGCACCAAACCCACACTTGAGTGATGGGGCTCCTGCCCTGCACTGTGAGCACTCTGGATAAGCCAGAGCTGAGGGGGAAAGAGCTCTGAATGCCAAGCCAAAACATGAGTTTCAACTCCACCTCCAGCTCTGAGAGCTGTGGGTAGGGAAGGGCCCAAGTCCAGTTTGCTGTAGAAAGACCAGTCTGCCACTGTATGGCACATGGATGGCACGGGCAGAGTGTGGGTGGAGAGAATAGAAGGTGGGCAGGGCGGGGGAGGCAGGGACATGGCTGTAGCCGTGGAGATGGGAGGACAGACAGGACTTGGTGGCCACTTATATGAACCAAGGGAGGGGTCAGGAAGAGACACCCAGTTTTGTATCAGATGTGTAGAGCGTGGGATGCTGTTCATTGATTGAGGGAGGAGGAGGAGGAAGAGGTATGGCATGGGAGGAGGTAGCTGAGCTCTGTCATGAATGTCATTTGAAGTCCCCAGGGAGAGCCAGGCCGGCCAGCCCCTTCACTGCTTCAGCCAGCTCTCAGGGTGTCTGTGCTCCCTGGCCCTCTCAGCTCCTGCTTCATAGCTGTCAGCTGCAGTGGGGGACAGCTGCACAAGGACCAAGCAGGTCTGTGTGTTTACGCAGGGTTCTGCCGCATGGCCCTGCCGAGCAGAAGCTGATGGACGACCTTCTGAACAAAACCCGTTACCACAACCTGATCCGCCCAGCCGCCAGCTCCTCACAGCTCATCTCCATCGAGATGGAGCTCTCCCTGGCCCAGTGCATCAGTGTGGTAGGTGCAGAGGGCACCTGTGGCTCAGGCTCAGGCGAAGAGGCAGCTCATGCCCAAGCCCAAAGCAATCAATGTCCAGAGGAATGAAATGACTAGAGTTGACTTAGACTCACCAATACATGGCGGGGAGGCTGGAGGAGGGTCCATGAGGTTTATAGGTGTCCAATATTTAATGAGGTCATGGTTTTGTTAACAAAGAAGAAATGAGGGTGGGAGCAGGATCACCACTGGCTAGGCAGCCAATGGGCCTGCAGAGACTCTGCTCAGCTGAGTCTCCAGCACGACCATCAGCTTCTCCTCCTCATCCTCCCAGCCCCACCCTACTCTCTCCCCCAGCTTGCTCAACAGGTGACCTTACAGGCTCCCTACTCTTTGCGAGGAATAAGAACCAGACTGCGAGAACCGATGGGTACAGAGGCCCAGGTGTAGGGGCAGGACCACAGGCAGTGCAGCGTCTACTGAGCGAGGCGGGTGAGGGTCTGGAGAGTGGGCATGGCTGCTGCAGGCATGGAAAGGAGGCGCAGATGGCGGCACTCCCAGGGCCCATCGTCAGGGTCTCCATATGTGGACGTGTGCAGAGGTGGGGGTGCTGAGCGAGGAGGTGCATGGAGTTTCTCATCTTCTCTCTACTGCCTCTGAGTTGGAGATGTCAGAGGGAGCCATGGCCCACTGTAAAGTAACACAATGTCCCCACCCACAGGGTTAGAACCTCTCCTCTGGAAGCAGCTCTGAGGGGAACAGTCACATGTAGAGAGTGCAGGGCGCTGTGTCCAGCCGGGGGAAGGAGGTCACCAAGCAGGTTGACCCTCCCCTGGCCAGGTGGCTGCCTTCTGACACACCAGCCTCTCTCTCTAGCATGGTGGCCCCCACACACCCAGCCTGTGAAACCTACAGCCCTCAAGAAGGTTTTGGCCGAA
This sequence comes from Homo sapiens, assembly GCF_000001405.40. Lineage (NCBI taxonomy): Eukaryota > Metazoa > Chordata > Mammalia > Primates > Hominidae > Homo > Homo sapiens. The sequence goes on from NW_011332701.1 coordinate 4,539,779, forward strand.
TTAATGAGTAGCTCCCTCTCCCAGGAGGAAGCACAGGTGAAGGATGCGGAGGGCAGTAGAGTTGTGTGTGCTCCGCCCCCTTTCTCCACAGTCGGACGGGAAAGAAGGGGGCTTTCAACCAGGCTCACCCAGGCTGGGGTCTGAGTGTCACTGTCCAGCTATTGGCTTCTTGCTTAACGGGTGAGCCCAGCAGCTCCCGTGCAGCTGCCGCCCTAGTTAGGGTGAACCGGCAGGCGAGTTGCATTTCTGAAAGCCCGGGAAGACAGTAAATATTAGGCTGTGGGCTGCTGGGCCAGGAAGGGGTGTTTATTTTTCAGGGTTTGTTTATCTATTGACTTGATGAGGGAGGGTTATACGTACAACCAGTTAAAAGATGGAAATTTTGAGAGAGTAGGCAGGGATTTAGTGCTGGGTAAGGCAAGAAGGCTTGTCAAAGCAGCTCTTCTGGGGAGGCCAGAATCCTGTACCAATGTCCTCAGCACGTTCTTCAGCTGCTGGGGGAGTGCCAGACAGGATGAAAGCGTAGGAGAACTTTCTGGATGATAGAAATACCCTATATCTTCAAAGGAGGTGGGTTACATGGGTAATGCATTTGTTGAAACTGATCAAAATGGAAACCAGATCTGTGCATTTCACTGAATATAAATTATACCTCAAATTAAATACATTTCTTAAAAGACAGATGGGCCGGATGCAATGGCTCACGTCTGTAATCCCAGCACTTTGGGAGGCTGAGGCAGGTAGCTCACCTGAGTCAGGAGCTCGAGACCAGCCTGGAAAATGTGGTGAAATCCTGTCTCTATTTAAAAAATAAAAATTAGCCAGGCATGGTGGCACACGCCTGTAATCCCAGCTACTCGGGAAGCTGAGGCAGGAGAATTGCTTGAACCCAGGAGGCAGAGGTTACAGTGAGCAGAGATCATGCCACTGCACTAGAGCCTGGGCAACAGACCAAGACTCCATCTCAAAAAAAAAAAAAAAAAAAAGAGAGAGAGACAGATGAAGGTTTTCAACTTTCACTAAAGGCAGAGGAGCTTGTTACAGATTCGCCTCCCCATAGGAACAGTTAGAAAAACTGGACAAAAATGTGCCCCACCACCAAAAACAATTGTTGGAAGGTAATTGGAGACCTCAGCCAGCACTTGAGTGACCAGGCCTGGGAGGTGATCCTGACAGTCTGTAGTGCTTTTCCCACATTTGGTGATCGGTCAACAGTAGAGGGCTAAGAGGCTAAGAAACTGAATATGAAGTGGTAGTTAAGGGGCTGGAGAGCCTAGCTGAATGTTGGCACTCTCACAGGGCTGAAATGACCTAATGAGAATTTGGGTCCCAGGAAGGAGATGGGACATTGGTGGGGACCCTGGAAGGGCCACCCCTAGGAGTCCAAATGAATAAAATATAGACCAGCCATCACAAAACCTAAAACCTGCTTTGAACTAGCTTAGTCACAAACTAGATGAAGGCGATCTGCCCTTACTCCAATTGTGTGCCATAAAGTCAAAGTCAATACTCTCTGGAGGCAGATAAAACTTTACTAGGAATGCCATAAGACAACATCAGACTAAATGAGAAAGACCAAGAAAAAAACTAATAGAAACATACATGTAAGGAAGAAACTTTTTTTTTTTTTTGAGACAGAGTCTCACTCTGTCACCCAGGCTTGAGTGCAGTGGCACAATCTCAGCTCACTGCAACCTCTGCCTCCCAGGTTCAAGTGATTCTCCTGCCTCAGCCTCCCAAGTAGTTGGGATTACAGGCATGTGCCACCATGCCCGGCTAATTTTTGTATTGGCCAGGCTGGCCTTGAACTCCTGACCTCAGGTCATCCATTCACCTCAGCCTCTCAAATTGCTGGGATTACAGGCATGAGCCACCGTGCCTGGCCAGTATTTTGCCAAAATTTAAAATAAATAAATTTTCTTTTTTTTTTTTTCAGGTTTGTGCTCAGACTCTATTCTAAACAGTCACATGGCAGCTTACTCTTCTCCAGGCCTTGCTGCCGGCTTTTACATGTTTATTATATTTGTGTTCTTGTCATCTGCTTGGTAGATGGCAGCTTCCAGGTGCTCCTAAGGGGCCAGGAAAGAGAGTGAGAAGGCACCGAGTTTGCCAGGTCGTCCCCCTCAGGGCCCCACCCTCATCAACTCCCTCAGCTGGGTCTCCTGCAACTATTGGTGGGCCATCTCAGCCACCGCTTCGCCCTGAGCTTCCTGCTGCTGCAGCTGGGCAGTGCCTCCTTCCCAGAGGCCAGCTGCTGATAGGCGGCCACGTACTGCTGCAGGTGACCCCGGTAGTGGTCTTGCTGCTGCTGCAGACTCTGAGCCTCTTGGCTCTTCAGCTCCACCTGCAGGATAGGCGTCAGGGTAGGTAGTCGCTGGCTTCCAGATTCTGGGCCCATAAACAGGGTGGCAAGGGCACTGCGGGGCTCTGTCGCCTGCTCAGGCCCCTGGCCCTGGCCCCTTCCTCCAGGCCTAAGTGACTGCCTCCCTTGCCTAGAGGCCCATGCCTCCCTCCCCAGCCTCAAATCTCACACCCTTCTTCCCACCATTTAAACTGTAGGCCGCAGACTGGTGGAAAAGCAGAGGGAGCCAACCACCATCTGCTAAGTTGTGGTGAGGTCGTTCTGTATGATCTCCAGGGTTTGCACACACCTCTGCCTGCTCCCCCCAAGAGCTCCGCCTTCTGCCCCAGCTTCCCCAGCCTCTCCTCCAGCTCCTGCAGCCTCACCTCCTGTTCCTGCATCTTCTCCTCCTGGTGCCACAGCCTCACTTCCTGCTCCCGCATCTTCTCCTCCTGCCTCTGCATCTTCTCCTCCTGTTCCTGCATCTTCTCCTCCTCCCGTATCTTCTCCTCCTGCCTCCACATCTTGTCCTCCTGCTCCCGTATCTTCTCTTCCTGCTCATGCATCTTCTCCTCCTGCCTCCACATCTTCTCCTCCTGCTCCCTTATCTTCAGCTCCTGCTCACACATCTTCTCTTCCTGCTCCTGTATCTTCTCCTCCTGCCTCCACATCTTCTCCTCTTGTTGCTGGTTCAGGAGGTTCCACAACTCGTTCTCTTCCACCTGGGCTTGGAGCTTTGCTGACACACTCTGTAGCTCCTTACCCAGGTGGTCAGCCTCCACCTGCAGCTGCTGCTGGAATAGTGAAAGTGTTGGTTCAAACCTCAGAAGGAAACAGACTCATGAGCTAGCCATATAAATGTAATCTATAAAATAATGGTTTTCATCTATGATCCTTTGAAAAATATTTTTTTAAGCCCAAACTCTGAGATTCTGATTCCCCAGGCAGGGCCCCAATTTGTATATTTTTAGCACACTCCAGAGGATTCTATGGTGGGACCAGAACAAGGACCCAAATTTTCCAGCTCTTGGCTGGAGCCTCCCCACACCCTACATGATCCCTAGACCATGGCCCCAGCCGGATGGGGCTCCCACAACCCCCGGGGCTGCAGCTGCTCGCCTGTGGCAGCAGGAGCTGGGCCCTTTCCAGCTTCCTTTTAAGGTCCTTTACGTTGAGCTGGATCTCAGACTTTTCAGATTCTACAAGTCGAAGTTTTTCTTGTAGTTCGGCATTTTTCTCCTTCAACTCCTCATCGGTTATGCTGTGGCCAGAGGCAGTAGAGAAAGGAATGAACGAAGAATAGAAAGGACCGCTTTGGTGATCAACCCTCTACTTTCACCCCACAACCACAGAACGGTGGCATTGGAAAGGACCCCAGGAATTAAAAGTCACAGGTGGCAGGCCAGAGAGAAGACATGAGTTGCCTGAGGCTTCCCCATGAGTCAGTGGCACCGCCGGCACTAGAGCTTCCCTGTGCACACATGAAAACCTGTAGAAGCCTCTCACCATGCTCACCTGTACCCCCCACCTCCCAGCACACCACCCACTCTAAGGGCCCCCAGACCTCCCATTCCACCTTCCCCCATCCTACGTGTTCCTGTACAGTTCCAGACTCGGAGCGTCCCTCTCCTTTGTTAATTTCTCGATGTACTGCAAATAGAGAAAGGTTAAGTCAGGATAGAGCAGGCAGAGGAGTAGCTGGACGACCAGAACAACAGCTACACTGATACTCCACAGTAACACTCCCTCACTCTCAATCACACCTGACATGTTCTCAAGGCATTTCCAAGCCCATGGTCTCATTTGTTTTTTCTTTGTTTTCTCTTTCTTTCTTTCTTCTTTCTTTCTTTCCTTCCTTCCTTCCTTCCTTCCTTCCTTTCTTCCTTCCTTCTTTCTTTCTTCCCTTTATTTCCTTTCTCCCTTGCTTCCCGTGCTTCCCTTGCTTTCTTGCTTTCTTGCTTTCTTGCTTTTTCTTTCTTGCAGAGTTTGGCTCTTGTTGCCCTGGCTGGAGTGCAATGGTGCAATCTCGGCTCACCACAACCTCCACCTCCTGGATTCAAGCAATTCTCCTGCCTCAGAGTCCTGAGTAGCTGGGATTATAGGCATGTGCCACCACACCCAGCTAATTTTGTCTTTTTAGTAGAGACGGGGTTTCTCCATGTTGATCAGTCTAGTCTTGAACTGACTGATCCTGACTTATCCTTAGCCTAAAAAGAAAAATTTAAAATTACTCATTAAAAAAATGAATGATTTCCAGCAGAAAATGGGCAATGGAGAAACCGGCACTTCCCACAAGAATAAAAATGGCCAATGAGCAAACGAAAAAGATTCAAAAGCACTAGAAATCAAAGAAATGTAATGAAAACAATGAGATTTTCTGCTTAAAGACCAGCAAAGATGACAAATGGAAGGGGGAACCTGGAGCTCTGTCCCTGTTGGTGGGAGCATAAACTGAACCAATTTTCCTACAGGATAATTTGAACATTTCTTTTAAAAATCCTAAAACAGTTTTACATTATTTTCCTCTAGAAATTCTACTTCTATGAATTCAGTGCAAAAATCCTTACTGGAGTCCATTAAAATGTATATAGAGGAAATTCACCTCTGGGGTGGCAATGATTCACTTAACATAATCCAGCTATTAAAAATGATGATGCCAGGATATACTTCTGCCCTAGAAACATGTTTAAAATATAATAAGTGACAAAAGCCCATTTACTATGATTGTACTTTTATTTTTTTTAACAGTCACAAATCAGCTTTATTTAACTTTTCCAAAATATTTCTCAGGCCATTCTCTTTCAGACATTCAAAAAGAAAAAGTTTCTAACTTTAAAATAATTAAATGACAAATGGTAAAAGCTGCTAGTTATCTCCCAGTGGCTGTTCCCATGGTGGTAGGGCCTTAGATGTGTGGCCATTTGCAATGGACCCAGCATTTCTAGCTTGCAGCCAGGCACAGCCAATAGCAGGAGAGAGCGAGGTGTGTTCCTCCCCTCTCTTGTCTTCCAATCCTTTCCCTGTTCTGCTCATCTGGAATGTGATACTGGTAGAGGCCAGTTATTCGTGGCAAGCAACACGTTTACAGGGATTTTCCTGGGAATTTCAGATACAATGTCTGTATTAGTTAAGATTAGGTTTTGCGGCAATAACAGAAAACCCTCCAAAATGATAAATTAAAGAACATGGAAGTTTATTTTTGTCTCATAGGGATGTCTCAGAAGTGGTTCATGGCTGGCATGATGCTCCATGTTGTCAGGAACTCAGACTCCATTCATCTTGATGTTCTTTCCCGAAGGCTTCAACCTCACAGTCTCAACATGGCAGATTCTACTTTTAAATATGTTTATATGCATAAAAAGTGTAAAAAGCAACAAACCAGAATGTTTTGAGTGGCAAAATTAAAGATTTTTCTTTATATTTTGTCATCCAAATTATTACAAAAAGAATGTGATTTCCTTTATAATCAGGGAGAAGTGTTATTTTCATTTATTTATGTTTACATTTCTTTTCTTTTTCTTCTTTTTTCTCCTGTATGTATCCCATGTAGGCTAGAGAGCTTCAATCCCTGCCTCTTGAGGGAAATCAGCCCATTTTCGGGAAGTGCACTACACAAAGCTGCCCCATCTTCCCTTTATTTTTTATTTTTATTTATTTATTTTATTTATTTATTTATTTATTTATTTATTTTGAGATAGAGTCTCAGAGTGCAGTGGCGCATCTCAGCTCACTGCAACCTCCATCTCCCGAGTTCAAGCAATTCCCCTGCCTCAGCCTCCCAAGTAGCTGGGACTACAGGCATGCACTACCATGCCCAGCTAATTTTTGTATTTTTAGTAGAGAGGGGGGTTTACCATCTTGGACAGCCTGGTCTCAAACTCTTGACCTCAAGAGATCTGTCCGCCTTGGCCTCCCAAAGTGCTGGGATTACAGGCATGAGCCACTGTGCCTGGCCTGTCATATTATTTCTAAAAATTTCAGTGACATTTCAATTAAGTTAAATTTAATTCTTACTGACCTGATCTCTTTTCCTGTGTTTAATGATATCTTCCAGTTGAAAGGTATTTCCTCTGTAATCACAGGCACTAAAGGAAATACAACAAGTATTCTTTAGGTGGATATCCACTAAACCACGGATTCTCCCATTGTAGTCCTTAGACCCTCAGCATCAGCAACATGTGGGAACTTGTTAGACATGTAAATTCCTGGGCCAGCCCCACACCTCCTGAATCAGAAAGTGGGGAAGAGGGACAGCTGTCTGTCCTTTAATAAGCCTTGAGATGCTCCCTGAAGTTTGAAAACTACAGAACTAGAATACATATGGCAGTAAGTGCTCATACTTTATCCCAGGTACCTTCCCCTCTTTTCCATTCTCTTTTCCGTTGAAATAAAATGAGAGCTCTTTTTGACTTAATGGGTATAAGAAAGAAGGCAATGAGATGAGCAGGGTTTCAAGTTAGAGTTCAAAATTTAATCAGTGGATGGTGACAGGGTGCAAGCCTTCTAAACAGATTACTGCAAGAAAGCTGATTATAATCTATACAGTAGGTATCATTAGTGTATTGATGTTAAATTTTTGGGGTGGGATTAATGGTATTGTGATTATATAGGAGAACGTCCTGGTTCCTAGAAGATATCTGCGAAAGTACTTAACACTGAAATGCTGATACTGGCAACTTACTTTGAAATGATTCAGGGGGGAAAAGGGCACATATACAATCTTCCATATGCAGGGGAGACAAAACAAATATGATAAAATGTTAATTGGTGAATCCAGTTGAATAGCATACTGATGTTCACTGTATTATTTTATCAACTTTTCTGTGTTTGCAAGTTTTTAAAATAAAAAGTTGAGGGAAAAGAAACATCACCCCAAATCTTCCTACAAAATGGAACCATAGAAAAACTTTGCAGAAGAGGGCACCGTACCCATCCGGACAGCATGGTCAAAGTGCAGGGTCTCCTCCAGCAGGCTATTCTCTGGTCCCTTCTGTGCTGTCACTTCCCCCAGACGCAACCAAGGCTTTTTTCTAACAACTCTTTTTCTAAAGGTGTAATTTTTTTCATTCATCTAAGAAAGAGACAAAAGAATTAGTATACATTGAGAAAATCAAATTACACTTATACTTGTGTAAAAGCAAAAAATACTTTGAAAAGTGGGGAAGCAAGAAATGTACTGTTCTACAATTCTGTCCTTACCATCTTTTTATTGTGCCAATGACTTCCTATTCCTGCTGCCTATGGTGGGGTGAGCTGCAAATGATTTCTTTTCCTCATTGATTTGAAATGCCATGTTTATAATATACTAAACTCCCCCAGAAGCATTTGGGTTTATTTCTGGGCTCTATTCTATTCAAGTGATCTATCTGTTCACAAGCCACTATCAATTTTGATTATTAGAGCACCCTAAAGTTAAGTTAAATAATTCTTTTTTTTCTTTTCGAGACAAAGTCTCTCGCTCTGTTGCCCAGGCTGGAGTGCAGTGGCGTGATTTCGGCTCACTGAAAGCTCCACCTCCCGGGTTCACACCATTCTCCTGCCTCAGCCTCCCGAGTAGCTGGGACTACAGGCACCCGCCACCTCGCCCGGCTAATTTTTTCTATTTTCAGAAGAGACGGGGTTTCACCGTGTTAGCCAGGATGGTCTCGATCTCCTGACCTCGTGATGTGTCTGCCTTGGCCTCCCAAAGTGCTGGGATTACAGGCATGAGCCGCCGCACCTGGCCAAGTAATTCTTTGATTAGGATATTAGTATTTGATGGAGCCTGACCCTTTTGACTCTAAACTCAAATTCTTATTATCTCTAACTTCTAAAAGTTATGAACAATTATGACTTCAATGTATAAAATGTCAGCTTTTTCAGCTACCTTACAGAATTCTCTTATTTTCCTAATATCGATTCCATTTATCCATTCGGTTTTCTCTCCAAACACTAATGTTTTCGTTTTAGTATCCCTAATCTTTTTTTTTTTTTTTTTTTTTTTTGAGACAGAGTCTTGCTCTGGAGTACAGTTGCATGATCTCAGCTCATTGCAACCTCCAACTCCCAGGCTCAAGCAGTCCTTTTACCTCAGTCTCCCAAGTAGCTGGGACCACAGGTGCATGTAACCACACCCAGCTAATTTTGTATTTTTTGCAGAGATGAGGTCTCACTACGTTGCCCAGGCTGGTCTCAAACTCCTGAGCTCAAGTGCTGGGAGCTCCTGAGCTCCCAAAGTGCTGGGATTGCAGGTGAGAACCACTGCTCCTGGCAGTTTTCCTAATCCCTTCTCTTTATCTTTTGTAGTTGCACTGGCTTATGTGGTTATTAACTGTTAGTGTTAATTAACAGGGATAACTGCAATACTGGACATTTTGTCTTATTCCTGATCTTAAAGGGATGTTTCTACAGTTTCACTCATCATGCATGATGGCAGCTTTTGGCTAGATGTATTTATAATCCACTAGGAGTAAAAAAAATTAGAAATAAATATTGAATTTTATCAAATGTCTTTCTAACATATATGGAGGGAACCATGTATTTTCTTCTTAATGTCTTGCAACCAGGAATCATACCAGATCTTCTAGTAGTGATTCAAGGGAATGAGCTTCATGTGATTGTGCGGCATAATTTTCCCACTGTGCTATGTTTGCATCACTAGCCATGAATGAGAGAGTGTGTCTGTTTTAATGTTACCTTTGTCAGGTACCTTTGTCAGGTTTGGGTTTTCATGTTCGAACAGTTTCAAAAGAAAAAAGTTTGAAAGTTCTACTTTATTCTTTATATGTGGAAATTTCAATAAATTATTTGTGATTTATTGAAAATTTTACTTGAAGGTCTGATATAATTTCAAAGCAAAACCAAACCTTTTTTTCTTTCTTGTTGGGGGAGGGTGGGAGGAGCGGGACAGGAGGACATTAACTCGTTGATATTTTATGTTTTGTTTTTTCCCTTTAGAATTTATCTTCTGGGGACAATCTGACAATGATGAATTTAATTTAGATTCACAGATTTTAAAAATAATTCTTTTGATATTCTTGGTATCATTTATTTACCTATTCTGCAGCTCTGTTGCCCAGGCTGGAGTGCCATAGTCCAATCATAGCTCACTGCAGCCTTGAACTCCTGGACTCAAGCGATCATCCCCGATCAGCCTCTTGAGTAGCAGAGACTATAGGCTCACGCTACCACACCCAGCTAATTTTTTATATTTTTAGTGGAGATGGGGTTTCAACATGTTGCCCAGGCTGGTCTCGAACTCCTGGGCTCAAGCAATCCTCCCTTCTGAGCCTCCCAAAGTGCTGGGATTACAAGTGTGAGCTACTGTACCTGGCACTATTCTCATTTTTATAATAAAATTTTAAGATTGGATAAATAATATAGCCCAATTATTGGAGCCAGACTACATCTACAAAAATTAAATGAAATTTCACTTGTCTGAAATCATGACATACTTTGGAAGATATCTTTGTCATGGTATTAATTAAAATTACGGCTATTTGGCACTCACCAAAATCTGTGGAGCACCTTAAAGACATAGGCGGCATCCTCCGGAGCAGTCAAAACAGTTACAAGAAGAGGCTGTCGGGACAGCTTTGTCAGAAGAGACATGCTATGCATATAAAGACATAAGGGAGACAGAAAAGAAACAACCATTTTACACACAGGCCCCAAATTGAAAGCTATAGGCTGGGTAATGCAGGCACTGATTTTTGCAAATCAGATGCTTTCCATATGGCATCTCCATATAGTGTGCTTTTGCTTTAGAGAGTGGCAGCAAGATTTTTGGTTTTGTTTGTTTGTTTGAAGACAGGATCTTGCTCCACCGCCCAAGCTGGAGAGCAGTGATGTGATCATAGCTCACTGCAACATCAACCTCCTGGGCTCAAGTGATCCTCCTGCCTCAGCCACCTGAGTAGCTGGACTACAGGCATACACCACTATGCCCCCACTAATTTTTGTATTTTTTGAAGAGACAAGATCTCACTATGTCACCCAGGCTGATCTTGAACTCCTGAGCTCAAGCGATCCTCCTGCATCAGACAACCAAAGTTTTAGGATTACAGGCATAAGCCACTGCACCTGGCCAAGATATTTGTTTGCAAAGGATGGTTAATAGTTACAACAAGAAAAATAGGAAGGCTGGGGCACAGTGGCTCATGCCTGTAACCTCAGCACTTTGGGAGGCTGAGGCAGGAGGATCACCTGAGGTCAGGAGTTCGAGACCAGCCTGCCCAACACGGTGAAACCCCATGTCTTCTAAAAATACAAAAATTAGCCAGGCATGGTGTCATGCACCTCTAATCTCAGCTACTCAGGAGGCTGAGGCAGAATCACTTGAACCCGGGAGGTGGAGGCTGCAGTGAGCTGAGATCATGCCATTGCACTCCAGCCTGGGTGACAGAGCAAGACTCTATCTCAAGAAAAAAAAAAGAAAAATAGGGAAGATTTGTTAGTAGTCTGTGAGTTCCACAATCATGTCAAGCATATTAAAAATTCCTTAAATTCCTAATTACCTTTTCCTGTCTTTTTTTAAAAGAGGATTTAACTTCATCAGAATTTTTCTTTACATGTGAAACACCTGCATCTTCAATTGCCTCATCATCTGGCAAAGTGAAGGTCACTCTTTTCAAGCTTTCTTTACATTGTTTACTGTCTTCACTTTCTTCCAGGTCATCATCTTCATCCCTACACTACAAAATTCTTATAAAAAGAAATATACTGCTTTCCATTAGAAAAACAAAAGGAAACATATTTCCCTTAATAAAGTTCTTCTTTTATATGCCTAATGCAACCAAATACTCAGAAGTTCCAAAATCATTCAGGTATTAAGGAACAGAAGGTATCATTTAAGTGAAATGCTATGTAAGAAACAGAACAAAAAGTGTCCAATATATAGAAAATAAATTGTTCAATCTCACAGAAATAACAGGATTTTTGGGGCACAAAACCAAATCAAAGTTCCTGGTCAGAAAGGTTTGATTGCCATTGCCAGTAATATTTTTCTTCATTAAATGATCTCTAATGTCCCTTCAAATACACAGACTTTCCTGTGGCTATCTTGAGAATATCTGATAGGAGAGAATCTAACTTCTTAAAACAAACATATGTGAAAACCACAAGTACCAATACATGATTGGACAGTTCCAGCTCACAATATAAAGGATGGTTCAAATACTTACATTTCAGAAATGCTTAGTTCTTCTGCTGCTTCTTCAGCAATTTCATCAGCTTGTTTGAACCCAGATCATCATCATCATCACTTGCTATGTCTTCATCACTTTCAACTGGATCAAAAAAAGTCTTTGTCCTTCACATTTCTGGAACTTTTACCTGACTAAAATAAAAAGATTTTTAAAACTATTAATTAGGAAGAGAAAAATACATCGTTAGCACACACATATATATTTGTGTGTATACTGTATGTCTACGTTACTTTCTAACTTAATAACACTACAAGCCAAAAATAGTTATTAGGTGAAATCAGCAACTAAAAACATTACCATAAAACTATTATAAGAACAACTGGAACAGAAACTGAATGGAAGTACAGATTCATTTATAACTGATAAGATAGAGCACAATATTTCTTAGATCCAAATCTTCTAACTACAATTACATCTGTCCTAGAAAAACAGAACAAAAGGTAATTTGAGGAGGAGGAAAGTGCTCTCTCCTCTCTCAAAATTTTACCTTAAGTTTTTTTACTTCTAAACAGTGCCCCTTCATCTTCATCAGAATCAATATCTTAAAAAAATCAGTATCTTCTACGTCATCATCATTACCATCTTTTCGTTCCTCTTCTTTTTCTGTTTTCTAAATAGGCCTCCATTTCAGAGAGTTGGAAGAATTTCTCGTCTGCTATGGACTTTTCTCTTGGTTTCCCGTGTCCTTTTTTTGCACCTTGCTCTGCTGTTCCAATTTGTTGATATGAAAGTCAAGGTCAGAATCCTCATCACTGAGAACTGGGCTTTTCATCGGATCGAATTTGCTTGAGTTTGCTCTCTCACTCACTTCAGGATTGTCACCACCCATATCTGACACTTCCTCCTCCTCCTCTAAATCTTCTAGGTCCTCCTGGCCATCAGCCTCTGTCTCTGAACCATCCTCTTCATGCTCCTGTTCTTCACTCTCTGGGATACTGATATCTTCATCTTTGTTTCACTAACTGCATTCTGGAAGCTTTGTAAAATTGGGTCATTTTGCAATTCCAGTTGTTGCAAAGTCTGCTTATCATCAAAACTTTCTATCACAAGTTTTTGTAAAGGGCTTCCATGGATCCTACCATTCTCTAATATTTTATTAAGGTCATAAAGCACTTTTGTTAAAGAAGTGAACTTTGATGCCAATCCATCTTGAATCCTAATGGGAGGAATTAAATGAGATTTAGAGTTATAGTTGATAATTTCACAGCCCTCTTAATTAAAAGAAAAATAAAAACCACAACTCTTCTGTAAAATCAAATTTGAATGAAGTGTAAGTATAGATTCTGGCCCCAACAACATACAAGCTGATGAGCCACACTGATATATAAAACCTGTCAACCAAGTATTTGTGAATCAGCTGTACAGATTTTAGGCAGGAAAAGCATTACAAATCTATTTGCTTGGAGATATATAGTGAATTAGCCTTAAATTATCAACTCTGCTACATTATATACCACTCCATTCTTTCACTCATGTTAGTCAGGATGGTCTGGATCTCCTGACCTCATGATCCACCCACCTCGGCCTCCCAAAAAAGTGCTGGGATTACAGGCGTGAGCCACCGTGCCCGGCTGAATTTTTCTTTTTTATAAAATAGGCTTTATTTATTTATTTGTTTATTTATTTATTTTGAGATAGAGTCTCGCTCTGTCACCCAGGCTGGAGTGCAGTGGCGTGATCTGAGCTCACTGCAACCTCTGCCTCCCCGGTTCAAATGATTTTCCTGCCTCAGCCTCCCAAGTAGCTGGGACTACAGGTGAGTGCCACCACGCCTGGCTAATTTTTTGTATTTTTAGTAGAGATGGGGTTTCACCATGTTAACCAGGATGGTCTCGATCTCCCAACCTCACGATCTGCTCACCTCGGCCTCCCAAAGTGCTGAGATTACAGGCATAAGCCATCGCAGCTGGCTGGCTTTATTTTTTTTTTTAAAGCAGTTTTAGGTTCACAGCAAAATTGAGCAGAAAGTACACGCAGTTCCCATATACACCCTACCCACACACAGTCCCCATATACACCCTACCCACACAAAGTCCCCCTATACACCCTACTCACACACAGTCCCGTCCACTGTCAACCCCCCACACCAGAGTGGTACATTTGTTATAAACTATAAACATACACTGACACATTATTATCACTCAAAATCCATAGTTCACATTACTTTGTGGAGTTTCTATCATGAACAGGTCTTGAATTCTGTTTAATGCTTCTTCTGCTTCTACTGATACAATTGTGTTGTTTTTCTTAGTCTATTAATATTAATATGATAAAGTACAATGATGTATTTTAAAATATTGAATCCTTATATTCAGAAACGGACTCCATTTTGTTGTGATGTATTATCCTTTTTCTACATTACTGGATTTGACTTGCTAATGTTTGGTGGAAGCTTTTGTGTCTAGGTTCATAAGAGATACTGATCTATAGTTTCTTTTCAATGTTGTAATGTCTTTATCTGGTTTTGGGATTAGAGTAATGATGATATCATAAAATGAGTTGGGAGGTTTTTCCTCTGCTTCTCTTTTCTGGAAAAAAAATATGGAGAGTAATTTTTTCACTGGTATAATTCACCAGTGTAATCATCTGAGCTTGAGCCTGTTGCTTTTTTGGAAGGTTTTTATTATTAATTTAATTTTTAGAAAATATGTATAGGGCGGCCGGGCGCGGTGGCTCATGCCTGTAATCCCAGCACTTTGGGAGGCCGAGGTGGGTGGATCACAAGGTCAGGAGATCAAGACAATCCTGGTTAACACGGTGAAACCCCGTCTCTACTAAAAATATAAAAAATTAGCCGGGCGCGGTGGCAGGCGCCTGTAGTCCCAGCTACTTGGGAGGCTGAGGCAGGAGAATGGCGTGAACCCCAGGAGGTGACGCTTGCAGTGAGCCGAGGTAGCGCCACTGCACTCTGGCCTGGGCGAAAGAGCAAGACTCCATCTCAGAAAAAAAAAAAAAAAGAAAATATGTATAGGGCTAGTCTGTTTTTCCTTGCATGAATTTATTAGTTTGTGTCTTTTAAGGAATTGGTCCACTTTATTTAAGGTATCAAATTTACAAGGATAAAGTTGCTTGTAGAATCTTAGAATCTTTTAAAAGTGCACGGTATCAATAATCAGTAGTAATGATTCTTCTTTCATTGCTGATATTGGTAATTTGTATTCTCTCTTTCTCTCATCTTGTACGCTCATGCCTGGGAAGAGGTTTATCAATTTTATTTACGTTTGTGAAAGCCTAGCTTTTGGTTTTGTTGAATTTTTCTATTGTTTTCCTGTTTAAAATTTTATTGATGTATATTCTAATTTGCATGGATTTCTTTTCTGTGTTCTCTTCAGGTTTAAATTGCTGTTCTTTCTCAAGCTCCTAAGGTGCAAGCGTAATTTATTTATATTATTAATTCTTACTTTGTAATATATGCATACAGAAACTGAGTGCTATAAATTATTTTCTAAGCACTGCTTTAGCTACAACCCATAAGTTTTGATGAGTTATATTTTCCTTTTCATTTATTCCGAAACACTTTTTGAGATTTCTTCTTTGGCTCATGGGCTTTTAGAAGCTACCATCTTAGTGCTGATATTATCCATTTGTTCTTGCACATTGTCTACTTTTTTCATGAGAGCCCTTAACATATTTATCACAGTTATTTTTACATTCCGTCTCTGGTACTCCAACATCTGTGTCGTATCTGAGTTTGATTCTGATGATTGCTTTCTCTTCAGACTGTTTTTTCCTGCCTTTGACGTGTCTTGTGTAATTTTTTTGTTAAAAGACAGATATTGCATTAGGTAATAACAACTGAGGTACATAGGCCTTTATGTGAGAATGTATGTTAATTTGGTTAAGAGTTAAGCTATGTTTAATGTTTGTTGCAGCCATAAGTATCAGAAGTTCCAAATTCCTTTAGTGTCTTTGTTTTGGCTCTTCGCCTGGCTTCACAGCTTGTCTCTGCACTGCTCCTCATAGTGAGTCTGTGTCTTTCAGTTCATTCCACTGAAAACAGCTGTAGTCACTGCTTTTAAACTCAAGCTTTATAACAGTGATGATAGGATATAGAAGACAGTAAGCATTCTCCAACCTTCTAATGAAGTGTGGGTCATTTCCTAAGCCAGTAGCTCATGGCTGTGGCTATCCCAGCTGTGTCTGCCTTTCCTCCAGTAGCATGTTCACCTTCTAGCTCCTTTCCCTGGCTGCCGAGCTCCCAGTATATCTCCATGAAGCACTCTATCCGTTGATGATTATTTCTGCCACTACGTGATGAAAGAAGGCTAAAGAGAGCTGAAGTGAGGGGGGATTCCTTTCCCCAAGCTTGGATACAGTATCAGAATGGAGCTCTGGTAAAGTCCTTCCCCTGGAGAAGGCTCTGGTTACATTTCACAATGGTCACTCTTTCCTTCTTCTGCAAAGGCATGAAGGGATCTTTTGGGGATTCTTACCATAAAAATATGGCAAGGTTACTGGAGGGAGCCTCCTAAGAAACTCTTCCTCCAGCAGTTTGTTAAAATTGTCATTTCATTGTTTGGACCAATAGCTCTAGAGGCTCCTGCTGTCTGAAGCACATCTCTAGGCTTTATCAGTTGCAGTGTCTGTTTGTACCTCTCTTTTTAGATTTTGGGGTGGTTATCTGTCCTGTGCAGTGCAATTGTCATGCTATCTACACAGAATTAGGTCAAACCTCACAGGTCAAGGGCACAGGGCCTTAAAAGGGCCTCCCTCATTTCAGACATCAGCTACAAGCAGGGGAGGGGGCTTCCAGGACACACACACTTCTGACCAACTGGCTACAAAGCTGGAGATTCCCACTACCCACTCAAATTGGATACACAACTTTGCTAGAATAACACATTACTCAGGAAAAAGCTGTAGTTATAATTACAGTTATATAATAAAGGATGTAAATCAGGACCAGCCAAAGAAAGAAACCGTCAGGGTAAGGTTTAGGAGGACCTGAGACACACGACTTCCGCTTCCTCAGGACAAGTCACCCTCCTGGCGCATCGATGTGTATCACTACCCAGGAAAGCACACCTGAGCTTCCGTGGCCAAAGTTTTTATCAGGGTTTCATTATGGACACATGACGGATTGAATCTTTGGCCACATTATTGAGCTCAGCCTCTAGCCTCTCTCTCCTCCCAGAAGGCTGGGCTGATAGCACATGCTTCGAAGCCCAACCCTTGAATCACACAGTTGTTCTTTCTGGTGTGATGGGCCCCATCCTGTGTCATCTCCACAGCATAAGCTCAGATATTGTCAGGCCCGCCATCAGTAACAAAATATAATTGTATCATAGGAAACTTCAAGGGTTTAGAGGGCTCCTCTCAGGACCCAGAGAAAAAGATCAGCCAAATTAATTACTATGCAACAAGCCACCCCTTGTTCTTTGACTGCGATTCTTGTTATATGACTAATATCTGGGGGAGCCAGAAAACTTTTAACTGAATTTCACAATACATTTGGCTCTCGATGTCAATATTATAATCTTACCAACAGTGCCAGTATTACATCACAGCATGGCAGATGTCACCTGACTGTACTTTGTCTGCCCTGAAACATTGGAGCTCTATCTATATTTCTCTTTGAAAGCTCCTAATTGACCTGAGAGAAATGGTACCATTTCCCTGTGGTAAAGCAAGTCCTTCACTAGTGACCTCATCTGGCATTGTTTCCTATAAGAGAGCTGTCCTGGAGCTCAGATCATTTTGGACATAAAAGCTATGTAGCCTAGAATATGACTTAAAGGGTCCAATGGCTATGCCCCCAAACACATTGTATCCTTATATATGGACTTTGCCTCGGGAGTCACTGCACCCACAAAACTGTAACAAGGAGCCCTTTGCTTCAGTTTGAGTCTTTACCTCTCCTCTCTTTTCCTGGCCCTTAGTTTTAAGTCATGAGCATAGACCATGCAGACCTTTATGGAAGCTCTCTTAAGTCATAGGCTGGAAGGGGCCCAGTCTCTCTCTTTACCGCTCTGTTCGTCTTATGTACAGTGAACATCTTGTCTCTCACAATTGACTTCAAGCCACACAGGTCCTCTCTACAGAAATATCTTCTTATTGCTTGTTTTCAGAGCATCTTTCCAAAGTTCTTCTTATTCTATGTAATTCAAATTATTGTGATTTCTCACATGGACTCTTACAAATGCCTCCTTACTATTCTCCCAACTTCTTTCTACTTCATTATGTAGTACGGAGGCTTCCCAAGAAAAGAAGGATTATATATTATTAAAGAGGCTTGGCCGGGGGCGGTAGCTCACACCTGTAATCCCAGCACTTTGGGAGGCCGAGGCGGGTGGATCACTTGAGGTCAGGAGTTTGAGACCAGCCTGGCCAACAGGGTGAAACCCCATTTCTACAGAAAATACAAAAATTAGCTGGGCATGTTGGCACGCATCTGTAATCCCAGCTACTCCGGAGGCTGAGGTGAGAGAATCGCTTGAACCCAAGAGGTGGAGGTTGCAGTGAGCTGAGATTGTGCCATTGCACTCCAGCCTGGGCAACAGAGTGAGACTCCATCTCATTGAGGGAAGACAAAGACCCTCTCATATTGTTTTATATTGTTTCATACTCAGTACCTGTTTAAAGAAAAAAGAAAAAAAACAAGGAAGTGAAATCAAAGACAGGCAGCCTGGCACCAGGCCCAAAACCAGGCCTGGGCCTGCCCGGCCTAAACCTAGTAGTTAAAAATCAACTCATGACTTAGAACGCGATGTTACCCATAGATTTCAGGCATTGTATAAAAGAATATTATGAAACTCCCTGCTCTGTTCTGTTTCACTCTGACCACCAGTGCATGAAACCCCTGTCATGTATCCCCTCGATTGCTCAATCAATCACGACCCTTTCACATGAAATCTTTAGTGTTGTGAGCCCTTAAAAGGGATGGAAATTGTGCACTCGAAGAAGCTCGGATTTTAAGGCAGTAGCTTGCTGATGCTCCCAGTTGAATAAAGCCCTTCCTTCTACAACTCGGTGTCTGAGAGGTTTTGTCTGCGGCTCATCCTGCTACATCATAACATAACATAACATAACATAACATAACATAACATAACATAACATAACATAGCATAAAATAGCTAGGTCTCTTGTCACAAATTCATTTCATTAAGTATTGGCGAAAGGTATGTATTCTGGGCTTTCCCTGTGTGAATGAGTAATTCCTAAATGATAAGTTAACTCCATCATTCTAATTTTCCTTAGTCTTTGAATCCCTTCCTCTACATTAAATCAAGGGATATCTGGCATTTCCAATTCACTCACAGTGGGACATCTTTTGATCCAGATTGCAGCCAACAAACCAAACTGGTAGAGCCTTTTGTAACTCCCTGAACTACAACATTAAATGCAGAATCTCTGCTCTGTGGGACCGTATCAACAAACGGGGAACTTTATGTTCCTTCCACCATTGTCTCATACCCCTGTCAATCGAGAAAAATGATGAGACAAATCTCAATCATTTTAGGAGGTTTATTTGCCAAAGTTAAGGATGCATGCCCAGGAGACAGGTCTATGCCTTTCTTCAAAGATGATTTTGAGGGCTCCAAATTTAAAGAGGAAAGGGCAGGATATTGAGAGGTACACAATTTTCATGTGAGAGTGGGGTAGGGAAAAATATTCATTTATTTGTCTGGCTCAGTGAATTTGCATTGTTTTACATAAGATGACATAGACAAATGGGGCAGAGGAAAAATGCTGGAATCTGCATTTTTACATAAGATAACAGACAAAATGGGGCAGGGGACCGATCAGATATGCATTTGTGTCTGGAGGGCAGGGGGGTGACTGCACTGTAAAGACAATTGACATTATCATGGTGAAATTTTAACAGACACACCTTAGGGTAAAGATCTTGGAGCTCACTAGGAATTTCCTCATGGACAAAATGTGGGGGAGGCATGAAGATTTTCATCTTGTAGCCATCTTAGTTAGGAAGCAAAAGGGGAGGCAGGTTTGCATGACCCAGTTCCCAGCTTAACTTTTCCCTTCGGCTTAATGAGTTTGGCATCCCAATATTTATTTTCCTTTCACACCCCTAATATCCATTCCCACACATGTTCCCCAGTTTCCTACCTGTTCCTGGATGTAGTCAGCCTCCTCAGAGATCATACTCTGTAACTCACCTTAGGGGATTGCGGGACTGGAGTCTACTTATAGGTCTAGAATATGGGTGTCCAATCTTTTGGCTTCCCTGGGCCACATTAGAAGAAGAATTGTCTTGGGCCACACATAAACTACAGTAACACTAATGATAGCTGATGGGCTAAAAAAAGAAAATAGCAAAAAAATTTCATAATTTTTTTTTTTTTGAGACAGAGTCTCGCTGTCGCCCAGGCTGGAGTGCAGTGGCGCAATCTCGGCTCACTGCAAGCTCTTCCCCCTGGGCTCACGCCATTCTCCTGCCTCAGCCTCCCAAGTAGCTGGGACTACAGGCTCCGGAGACCACACTCGGCTAATTTTTTGTGTTTTTAGTAGAGATGGGGTTTTACCATGTTAGCCAGGATGGTCTCGATCTCCTGACCTCGTGATCTGCCTGCCTTGGCCTCCCAAAGTGCTGGGATTACAGGCGTGAGCCACCGCGCCTGGCCAAAAAATTTCATAGTTTTAAGAAAGTTAACGAATTTGTATGGGACTGCATTCAAAGCTGTCTTGGGCCACATGTGGCCTGCAGGCCACAGGTTGGATGAACTTGGCCTAAAAGCAAAGAGGGGTGGTGGGGTGGCTCCTAAGGAGAATCAGCATTGTCTTGCTCCACAGCTGCCTTACGGGAGGCCATTCCCATTTCCTCAGGCAGTGCAGGGTTATCCCCTCAGACAGAGGTGGAAAGGTTGATGCCACTGGGGATGGGGAGGCACTTCCTCTGGGGTTGGGGAATTCACTTTTGCCAGGGGTGGGGTGGCTACTTCTGCTGGTGGTAGGGAGACCTGTTCCACTGGTGAGAAAGAAAAGTGGCTCCGAGTCGTCTTAGAAATGTGAGGTCTGCAAAATTTATCGGGCCCTGAGAGATGAGCACGAGGCTTCACTCATGTCCTGGCACCCGTGCCTGGGCATAATTGTTTAAAGGCACTTTGGCTTTCTTTCCTTTCCTGCAGTTTCCAGACTAGCGGATAAATTTCCTAAAACATTACCATAAGTTGCACAATGTGGCCCTCACCCAATATCTTCATGTTCCTGGAATCTGTGATACAAAAACAATGCATAGCCAACAAATAGTTTGTGTTGTGTTATTTTAATGAACCTATGTAGATTATTGATAAGCAACTTAGAAACTGCCCCCAGCTTATTTTTTCTCTTAAACACCCACTTGTAACTGCTGCTAATCTGGGTATATATGTAGGGCAACTTGAATCTATTACTCCTAGGCTGCAGTCCTTAATCTTGGCCCATATAAACTCTCTACTTATATTAATTTTGCCTCATTTTCTTTCCTTAAGTTGACATGGGCAACAAAGGCTCATCAGAGGGGCTCAATGTTCCCAGCTTTACCAAGGCTTTCCATCCCAATTTACAGGATCCCATTTTTTTCCCAGTCAATGCCCTCACTTTATCAGTGGGCACCCTGTGAGGCTGGGAGTTATATTTGCCTTGTAATTCAGCCAATCACAGGATAAAGTCTTGCATTTGATTTTCAGCAATTTCAGCCCTGAAGCTACAAGACCTAACACTCTCCCTCAGGGTGCACCTAGAAGGTCTTAGGTCATTTGTGTGGTGCTTGAGCTGGGAATTATTGTCATTATTTTCCTTAGTTTTCCAAAATCTTTTGAAAGTATTATATATCGCATTACTTTAGTTGACTAGGACTATCCAATGCAGATATTTTGGGTATCTCAATAAAAAATTCACGTCATGGACTATCAGTAATATCTTACCACTGAAAGTAAAGTCATTAGTATTTTCAAGTTTAATCATATTAGAGAAACAATTCCAGAAACCTCAAAACCAATTCACAGAATTTATCCTTAAAATTCTGTTCCTCTAGATCCACTCTTGGGGCAAAAATCTGTATTATTCAGGTTTCTCCAGAAAAATAGAACCAATCTGATATAGATAGGTAGATAGGTAGATAGGTACACAGCTAGCTAGCTACCTATCTGTATCTCATATCTCCTCTTGAAACAGGAGAGTTCCCTGATCCCCTACACAGGATGATTGGTGGGTGTGGCTCATCTGTTCTGCTGCCTCCTGCTCAAACCCCTCATGGGAGGGGAAGCACGCAGACAGGGAGGTGTAGGAGCTGGGGCAAGCACTTTTGGACTCTGGCCCCACGTTACCATATATGGGTGGGTGCCTGCAACTCCCAAAGCTCCAGTGGGCATATTACAGTACTCTTTAGCTCTGCCATCTGCAGACCACTTAAGTGTTAACCAGCTCAGTGCCCTCTTGGTACCAAGGTCCTTGCCTGGCATCCAGGAAGAATCAGGTGACATGGAAAAATTGAAGGATGACAAATGTGGGGGATTTTATTGCCAGACGGAAGTGGCTCTCAGCAGGGTGGATGGGGAGCTGGAGAGGAGTTGCAGTAGGAAGATGATCTTCCTCTGGAGTTTGGCCATCCCGTGGCCAATCTGTTCTCCAACCATCCCCAGCCAACCACCTCTCGATGTTCAGACGTTCCTTCTCTTCTCTCCTTCTCTGCCACCCTGCTCTTCCAACCCTCTGCTCTTCTGCTTGTGAAGCCTGGGACTTGGGGTTTATAAGGGTTCAGGAGAGGGGGGCATGGTGGGCCAAAAGGCAACAGCTGGGTGCAAAAACAGGAATGACTGTTCCCATTTAGGGCTGCAGGTTTCCTGGCTTCAGGGTGGGGCCTTTGACAGGGAACCGCCTCTTCTACCCAGTATTTCCCTGTCGCCTGTGCATATCACTCTTATCCCTGTAGATAGATAATAGATTCTCTATCTCTGTGGATAGGTGCAGAGATAAGAGGAGATCTATAATCAGAATTGGCTTACATAATTATGAAGGCCAAGAAATCCCACAATATGCCACCTATAACCTGCAGACCTATGAAAACTGGTGGCACAATTCAGTCTGAGTCCAAAGGCCTGAGAACCAACAGAGTGAATGGTGAAACTACCAGTCTGAGTCCAAAGACCTGAGTACCAGGAGATATGATGTCTAAGGGCAGGAAAAGTATGTCCCAGCTCAAGGAGAAAGATAATTTGCACTTCCTCTGCCCTTTTTGTTCTATCTAGGCCTTCAATGAACTAGGTGATGCCTGCCCACATTTGTGAGGGCAGATCTTGTTTGTCTATTGAATCAAATACTAATCTTTTGTCTATACCTCAATAAAGCTGAAAAAAACTAAAGTAATTGCACACTTCCAAAAACAAAAAATATAAACAAATACTATTTTCCAAAAACACCCTCACACACTTAGAAATGTTTTACCAGCTATCTACCAAGTCAACTTAATGTTTAACTTTAAACATTACATCCTTTAATCTAGCATAACATCTTTTAAATTCATCAACATTTGTGTAGATCAACAGTTACAGTTCTTTTCTTTTGGCACTTGAAAAATATTGTGCCACTTCCTACTTGCCCCCATGGCTTTAGATAAGAAATTCACTGTCATTCCAATTCATGTGCCCCTAAGGATAACAAGTCATGTTTCTGTGCCTGCTTTCAATATTTTCTGTCTTTTCAGAAGTTTAGTATGATGTGTCCTGGTATATATTTCTTTGGGTTCATACTATTTGGGATATATTAAACTTCTTGAATCTGAGTGTATTTCGTTTAACAAATTTGGGAAATGTTTACCCATTATGTCTTCAAATACTCTTTCAGCCCCACTGACTTTCTCCTCTTCTTCCCCAACTCCGATAATATTAATGTTGGATCTTTTGTTATTGGTCTGTGAAGTTCTGTTCATTATTTTCAGTCTATTTCCTCTATTGTTCAGATTAGGGAAATTCTACACATTTTCAAGTTCACTGATCATATCTCCTGCCCTCCACCCTCTACTATTGAGCCCACCTAGAAAGCTTTTAATTTCTGTTACTGCATTTATCTGTTTCATGAATGTCTTGTTTCTTTTTTATAACTCCTATTTCTTTGCTAGAATATTCCATTTTTTCATTTAAGATAATTTTTTTATTACTTGAACCATTTTTATGCTGGTTGCTTTGAAATTGTTGTCAGATAATTCCAACATGTGGTTTATTTCACTGTTAACATCAACTGATTGCCTTTTGTCATTTCAATTCCCATTTCCCTGTGCCTTGCGCATTTTTTATATTATGTTAGGAAATCTGGGTTCTATTTACATTTTGTTTAATTTTAGTAAGCATTCACCTTTTTGGATTCAGCATGCCGGTCTGGACCTAATTTGAAGGATTTGACTCCTACAACAATTTAATTTTCAGTCTTTGCAGAGCTATTTTAGTTTGCTTTTTAAAAAAATATCATTCCACTGGGGCTCCTACTGGTTTCTGATGGAGCTTCCCCAGGATCAGTTGTCTGTATCTCTAAGTGAATGAATGGAGACTCCGTCCTACAGGGGCAGAGTGCTTCCCTGGCCAAGTGCACATTGCAGTGTGAATTCCCTTCCCTGTGCCCTTGGTTGTGCAGTGTCTCTGGTGAAGGAAATGAGTTGTGTCCTTTGTGGGAAAGAATTGGAAAGTTGGATTTTGGCAATTCCAGTTGCTAGTGCCCTCAACCAAGGGCTTGGGAACAGGGGTGGAAGGAGAGGAGTAGAGACGTAGAGAAAATGGTGTCTCACACTTGGTGAAAAAGTAGAGTTTTCTGGCAGCTTACCGTTAACAGGGCTTCTAATCAACCCGTCTCCATTGTTGGTTCTCCTCTGCTTGCCTGCTATTTCTGGCAGAACTCTCATTTGTTGCAGAAGAATGAGCCTACTTGAGCTACCTTCTGTTACTACATTGGGAGGTGGGAATTGTCAAGCCTGGATCACCTCTCTTGTTGGATGGGGGTTGTATTTTGTGCCTCCAGAATCGAGGCCCCGACCAATTCACCTTCCTCTTACCACCTTTCAGAATTCTCCTGTAGCTGTTCCTTTTACTATTCTCAGTGTTTATAATTGTACTTAGTAGGGAGGGGCAGAGAATGACAAGTCAAGGTGATTCTGTCAACTCTCAAAGTCTTGTCTATTTAAATTTTTAGAAGTAAAAACAGAATCTCTGAATCTGGCAAATACGTATCTGACAGTGGTAGCCTATTGCCCATTTTCTAGGTTTGGTTCAGTTCCACAGATCTAGATGTTGTATGATGAAGGAGAATCCACATACAGTTAAGAAACGAGTTTGCGGCCGCGCACGGTGGCTCACGCCTGTAATCCCAGCACTTTGGGAGGCCGAGGCGGGTGGATCACAAGGTAAAGAGATTGAGACCATCCTGGCTAACATGGTGAATACCCGTCTCTACTAAAACTACAACAAAATTAGCCAGGTGTGGTGGCAGGCGCCTGTAGTCTCAGCTACTTGGGAGGCTGAGGCAGGAGAATGGCGTGAACCCGGGAGGTGGAGCTTGCAGTGAGCCGAGATCGCACCACTGCACTCCAGCCTGGGCGACAGAGCAAAAAAAAAAAAAAAAGAAACAGACTATGGAATAAGTATCATTATATACCTTGGACAAATGGCAGAGCTTACTGCTTTCATTTTTAAAAAAAATTAAAAATGCATCAAGGTTTTAGAAATTAAAAAATTTTATTCTTGAAATAAAAATCTCAATAGATGGGTTGAATAGCAAAATGGATTGAAGAGTAAATCAGTGAACCAGAATATCATGCTAAGTAATTCTCCCAGAATGCAGTGCAAAACAATAGATGGAAAGAATGAACAAAATGTTATGAGACATGAATGACAGCTGTAAAAGTTCCACTATCTGCTTAATATGAATTACAGGAGAGAAGAAAATTAAGGAAGGAGAGTGCCTAAAACAAGGCAAAAATTTAAGACAATTTCTTAGAAATTGGAAATACTCATATTGAGAGGAACCAGTGAATATTTACAGGAAGAATGTAAAAAGACTGACATGTAAGTAAATCATGATAAAATTTCAGGATACTAAGGATAAGGAGGAAACTGAATGTTTTCAGCGTGAAAACAATTGTGTGGGATGGAATAAGATCGATACCAGACTTCACATTGGCAACATGGTAAGTAAGAAAACAGAATAATGTCTTTACAGTTTTCTGGTGAAAATACTTGTGAACTTATGATTCTTGTTAAAGCGAACTAAATATGGCCTGAGGACTCTGTACTTCTGTATTTGAGTCCTTGTGGACTAACCATAACCTAACTTAATAGACAAGATTGAAAACCTAGCTTAGGAGTATGCATCTGTAACAGCAGCTGAGTCTTGGCCAATCCCAGCAACTATACTTCAATCACTCATACACTGCTGAGGGTTCAAACTGTGTTCAAATAAGGCAAATGCCAACCTGTAACCAATCCAGCTGTTTCTTTACCTCACTTTCAATTTCTGTGTGTCACTTTCCTTTTCTTGTCTATACATTTGTTCTGACCATGAGGCATCCCTGAAGTCTCTCTGAATCTGCTGTGGTTCTGGAGGCTGCCCAACTTGTGAATTGTTTTTTTTTTCTTGCTCAATTAAATTCCATTTAATTTGAAGTTTTCTTTTAATATTGTTTAACCAGCCAAAGTGCAAGTGAATGTGAGGGCATCATAAAGACATTTTAAGACACAAAAACAGATTCAAAAAGTTTATAATTCACTGTCCACATAGACTAACCTTTCTCAACAGGGTACCATTGGCATTTGGGGTGGAACAGTCCTTCGTTGTGTAAGATTGATCCACACATTGCAGGTTGCTTAGTGTCCTTGACCATCATCCACTAAATGCCAGTAGCATTTCTCCTCCCCGTGACAATACACAACAGCCCCACATTTGGAGACAGTGCTGTATCACCTCTGGTTGAGAAACCATGGTGTAGAAAATATATTCAAAAAGAAAATAAATCTGGGAAGAAAAAAAGGGATATAAGAAGCACAGGTGAGCAAGATAATCAGTGAAGTTTACTTTTAAGTCTAAATTATAAAAATAAACCTATAATAAAAAACTAAAATCTGAAATAACTCGGGATGGAAAGTTATGAAGTCTGGAAAGGAGGAAGGAGAGAGAAGTAAAAGCATGCTAGGAGTCTCATTTTATCTATACGATTAGCTCTGGATGTCAATCATATGTGTAGCTATGTGTATAAAAATATAAAGATATAGGAACTAAACATATACTTTTCAAGTCATTAGAAGAAAAATTAGTTGGGAACAAGTAAAATGCCAGCAGCTAACTGAAGATCAGGGATGAAAAAGAAACAAAAACAGCATATAAAATAGAAAGCATGGCCAGGCGCTGTGGCTCACGCCTGTAATCCCAGCACTTTGGGAGGCCGAGGTGGGCAGATCACAAGGTCAGGAGATCCAGACCATCCTGGCTAACACGGTGAAACCTCGTTTCTACAAAAAATACAAAAAAATTAGCCGATCGTGGTGGCAGGCACCTGTAGTCCCAGCTACTCAGGAGGCTGAGGCAGGAGAATGGCGTGAACGCGGGAGGCAGAGCTTGCAGTGAGCCGAGATTGCGCCACTGCACTCCAGCCTGGGCTACAGAGCGAGACTCCATCTCAAAAAAACAAACAAACAAAAAAAGTGATTATATGCTTTATTTCAAAGATGAAATTTATGACTATACAGCAAAATAAAATTGGGATAAAAAATAACCTGAAAATCAGGAAACAGGAGAAACAGTCTAAACATTTATTTTGTGATCTTGCCTAATTATTTTTCTTATAGTCAATAAGGAATAATTTAAAATGACCTTATTCCTGAGTACCTGGAGACTTCTAAGAAGTTTTGAAAAATAATTTTATGTTGAAGAATCATACCACAAAATACTTCCAAGATATATATGTGTTGCCATCCTAGTTACTATAAACCAGAGAAAAATGTTCTAATTGCTCTTTTTAATGAATATGTACAAAAATGCTTCATTATAAATCTAGAATATAGGAATATGTTCAATAATTGATTTTTGCAAAAAGTCTGTTTTTTTTTTTCTCTAAAGCAGGGAGAGAACTGTAGCTTCATGATCTGAGATATCAGGCAAGGAAGTCCTCCCCTATTCTTTCTTAAGGGATAAGCTCTTTATATTCCTCTCTCCAGTCCCTCAGAGACAGCATCACATAACTCCCCTATGCTCTGTGCTCTGTTGGCTCCATCCTCGGGGACAAGTGCTATTTCACATCTTACTCTTAAATCACTTCTGAGAAACAGACATAGCTTCCACCAAAGAGGAGCCCTCCCAACAGACCTCTAATAACACCAAAGGGTTTCCATGTGTGTGCCCTTAAGCGAACATACACAAATGAAATGAATCTATAGATTGATAATGAAGCCAGTTTTTATAAGTGACACATGAATATCAGTCGATTAGACACACTCCTGCCGAGTACTGTAACAAATCTCTTCATTTTTACCACATACATGAATAGCTGTCCCATATATTCATAAAACATAAGAATTTTTTTCTTGATTAATAAACTTCATTTTTTAGAGTAGTTTTAGGCTCACAGCAAAATTGAGTGGAAAGTAGAAGAGTTCCCATAGACTCCCTACTCCCATACACACACAGCTTCCCCCACTGTCAACATCCTGCACCAGAATGATGCATTTGCTATAATCGATGAACCTACACTGACACATCACTATCACCCAGAGTCCACAGTTTACATTAGGGTTCGATAAAATAATTTTTTACAACTTAAATCCCCCAATAAACTTAACATTACTTCTCTGGGCCATACATTTTTCTGCATCAGTAAAATGGGATAAGAATATTTATTTGGAGCTGGGAGTGGTGGTGCATGCCTGTAGTCTCAGCTTCTTGGGAGGCTGAGGTGGGAGGATTGCTTAAGCCCAGGAGTTTGACGCTGCAGTGAACCATGATTGCATCACTGCACTAAAGCCTGGGCAGCAGAGTGAGACCCTGTCTCAAAACAAAACAAAATAAAACAAAGACAACAAAAAGGTAATATTTGGAAGGTTTTGTGAGTATTATTGGGATACATTATGAAAAGTGCTAGCACATTATAAGTATTCAGTTACGGTTATTTAAGTTTATCATTAAGATCGTTATAACCTGTAGGAACTGACACTGCTACCCCAATCCTGTCTTTGAAGGAGCAAACCCATATGGGAGTAAAAATGACTGGCTCCCCTCCCTGCCTTGACCTGTCATTTGAGTCTACCTAATTATAAAACAAACAGGGTTTTAAGTTTTGAACCTATTCCCTGTCATGGTGGGTAGAAAATCAATCACTACACCTGTATTTATAAAACAATCAGAACAGAGGAAAAGACACAATTTTGAATTCCAGCCACACATTAAAACAACCCATATTTATAAAACAATCAGAACAGAGGAAAAGACATGATTTTGAATTCCAGCCATGCATTAATTGTGTGCATTTAGGCACATCACTTAAGCCTGTTAAAATTCATTTTATCCACCGAAAGCACTTTATATACTTAAACGAACTATGCTCATTTACAGGGTTCTGTGCATGATCCTGCATCCGTAAAACTGAGAAACCAACAGAATGAGGACAGAATGAAAAAAGAAAAAAACTTTCAGAATGTTCTTCCTTTCCTCAATGCCATACAGTTTGTGCAGTCAGCTGATTGGCTGAAAAGAGTCAGTTTTGACGACTGATGCTTCCTGCTCATGTTTAGTTGGTTTAGGAAGCTCATTAGGATGCTATCTCGGAGATGAGTCTGGTGGGTAGAATATCTGATGACTCTAAGGCAAATGTACTTCCTTCAGCTGGTGAATTAATTTCTCAATAGACTCAATTTGCTTTTTACTGTCTGGCAATATCCCATATTTGCAATGGCCTTTCAAACACTTGCAATAAAATGTGGCTCACACATACAACCTGTTAGCGGTGAAAGAGAAACATTCATCACATTCAAAATTCTCCAAACATGAGAGCAGCTGAATGTGCTTTAAGACAGTATACCTAATGATACATCTCTATTTTCCCCTTCCTCTTACAATCATTTACACAGATATATGAGAGGTAAATATGTGTTTAGAAAGTATTAGTCATCATAGATGTACCTCCAGTCATCCATTCAAATGTAAACATGGTAAAATATGCACTTGTACAATTTTATACTATCAATGAGTATAGGTAGGTGAAAATTAGTGTTGCCAGAAAAAATTCAAACCAGAAAACTGAAAGTATAGAAAAATACTTTTTGTCATTGAAAAACCATTTTAAAATAATATATCGTGTAGAATAAAAAATTCCATGAATATATACATGTAAATTATACATATATGTGAATTTAATTTTGTTAAAAGGTAATTGGCATCTGCAATTTCATGCAGTCTAAGTGAAACCCATAAAGAAATGTGTATGAAATAGGAAAGCAACAAAAGCTCATAACATTTTAAAATTAGAAATCAGATTCAAAACCCATCATGATCTATTTTAAATTTATCTCTATAACATTTCAATTGAGACATAAAACACACTTTATACAACATGCCTCACTATTTTATTAACAGCATGACTTCCCTTTCCCCAATCCCCAAACCATGTTCCCATCTACACCCCACCCCACCCAAATCTCACCTCTTCCATTAGCATTATTACAAACATATTTTACAAATCTTATACCAAGCTTTTCCACTGTCTCTTTTCAATGTAGAAATATCTTATATATAAACCCAAATACCACAAATCTTCACATTTATATTTTCTAAAGCAGTTAAACCTTTATAGACAATTCTACCTAAAAAGCCAAATGTGCTTGACAATATGTCATGTTATGTTAAGTTGACCAGACACAGAAGTCATTTCTGTCGGATTTCTTGTCGATGTTTGCATTAAGTTGGAGCTTTCTGATCTCGGCTCTTCTTGTGCCAGTAATTTGAAAGGTCACCTCTCTGTTGGCCTTTGGTTTATGCAATGCAGTCTGGCATTGCATAATTAAAAGTCTCGGCCGGGCACGGTGGCTCACGCCTGTAATCCCAGCACTTTCGGAGGCCGAGGCAGGCGGATCCCAAGGTCAGGAGATCCAGACCATCCTGGCTAACACGGTGAAACCCAGTCTGCACTAAAAATACAAAAAAATTAGCTGGATGTGGTGGTGGGCGCCAGTAGTTCCAGCTACTCGCGAGGCAGAGGCAGGAGAATGGCGTGAACCCGGGAGGGGGAGCTTGCGGTGAGCCAAGATCGCGCCATTGCACTCCAGCCTGGGCTACAGAGTGAGACTCCGTCTCAAAAAAAAGAAAGAAAAAAAAAGTCTTGTGAATTTGTACATAGAATATTGAAGTTAGAAGAGGCTTATCACTCTCTGGGCTCTAATACTGCCCAGAGGTTATTTGTTTCTTGTTTCCATAAGAAAATCCTATGTCTCTCCATTAGCATTCCTGATCCTTACCTCCAATTCAAAATGTGGCCAGTTCCACCTTCTAAGCCTTTATACCAAATTGACTGGGTAGGTTTATTATGAATCTGTGTTCTTGTCCAAACTCTACATTAGACCTCGCAGGAGAGTTCAAACTAAAAACTAATGAGTAAGTGCAATATTACAATTGAAACGGGAGCAAACATAATTTCAAGTAGGACACATAAAAACTGTGGGACCAAAAGAGGAAGAGTGCACGCCAAATGTTCTCAATTCTGAAATGGCTCTTGTGAAATATCTATGTGAAAACACTTCAAGGACCTGAAAAAAAAAAAATGGTGAAAAAGCGAACAACCTTCCTTGCAAAACAACTCCAGAGTTAATGCCAGAGCTTTCTATCAAAACATCCATGTTAAGTTCGCCGGAAAGATTCAGAAGATCAATGACAGGAGTAAGGGAAAAAACAAGGACATTTTGTGAGTAGGAACGTATAATGACCCTGCAGCAGGAGAACGAGAGAGGGGGAAGAAGGAAATGGAGGGTGTAAGTGAATTAATTGACTGTAACATGTTTAATGAAATAAGTAGACGTGTGATGCAAATTTCTTAATAGTCAAACGTTATGCAACATATGATGCATAAGAATTGTACTATCTCAAATTTTTTTTAATGTGAGATTCTCTTGATGCCACTTTCATTTACCTACACACACACAAATAGCACAAATCACATATACATATACTGACACGAAAATATATATGTGGGAGGGAGAGAAAGAGGGAGGATAACTTTAATCATGATACACTGCCAATATAAGAACTCCCTTTTGGCCGGGCGCGATGGCTCACACCTGTAATCCCAGCACGTTGGGAGGCTGAGGAGGGCGGATCACGAGGTCAGGAGATGGAGACCATCCTGGCTAACACGGTGAAACCCCGTCTCTACTAAAAACACAAAAAAAATTAGCCGGGCGTGGTGGCGGGCGCCCGTAGTCCCAGCTACTCAGGAGGCTGAGGCAGGAGAATGGCATGGACCCCGGAGGTGGAGCTTGCGGTGAGCCGAGATCGTGCCACTGCACTCCAGCCTGGGCGACAGAGCGAGACTCCATCCCCCTCAAAAAAGAAAAAAAAAAAAAAAACTCCCTTTTTAGAAAGATCTTTTATTCAACTTACCAAAATTTTAATTGCCAATGGAACAGAAACCAGCACAAATAAGAACTTGTAACTTACCCAGGTACAAGTGAATTTCAATGACTGAAATTCAGGGGCATTCTAAGCAAGAATAGTTCAATAGTAACTAATCTCATTATTTTTCATTTTTATTAAGTCATATTTATTATTCATAGTGTGATTTCTCATCAAGGAGTTATTTAACATGCCAAAAGCCTGCATCTCTTTAACTAGGTCTTTATGCATAGGGAATGTTTAAGTATCCACAAAAGTAATACATACTAACCAATTTTTTAGATTTTAACATATATATTTGAAGATATGTTTTCCCCAAATGTACAGTTCTTTGTGGCCTGGATTGCCTCAGGAAACTGCCTCTGCCTGTTGTGGGTATCATGGCAAGTAAGGGCACTGGTAATTTACTGCTGAGAAAATGCCTAGCCGTTTGCCTAATTATGCCATGTCATCTTCCTCACACTACAGAGCACGGTAACCTCATTTCCAAAATCAAAGACAGAACAAATCTGAACAGCTACTGTTCCTGAGGCAAACAAGTGAATAAATTCCAAAACATGCCATGGACTCACCGACGATGAATTTTAGACAATTCTTTTTTTTTTTTTTTTTTTTTTTTGAGATGGAGTCTCGCTCTGTCGCCCAGGCTGGAATGCAGTGGCGCGATGTCGGCTCACTGCAAGCTCCGCCTCCTGGGTTCACGCTATTCTCCTGCCTCAGCCTCCCGAGTAGCTGGGACTACAGGCGCCCACCACCACTCCCGGCTAATTTTTTTGTATTTTTAGTAGAGACGAGGTTTCACAATGTTAGCCAGGATGGTCTCGATCTCCTGACATTGTGATCTGCCGCCTCAGCCTCCCAAAGTGCTGGGAGTACAGGCGTGAACCACCGCGCCTGGCTGGATCTTAGACAATTCTACATCGTCTGTTGAATCTATCGTCTGTTGAATCAGCTTTCTATTAACCACACACTATAGAAGTGAAACGAACCTGTACTACCAAGAGTGTGTATTAATTTTGCATGCATTTCCTAGTAAACAATGTAGACAGTATTAATTTTTATGTTGCCAAGGTAATAGTTTTGTCCCTCAACTCATATGCTAAATTTTGCCTCACCTGGCTCAGTCAGAAGGAACAGAATTGACAATATTAACTAGTCTCAGTTATCTCCACTGACAGAAAAAAAAACGTGTTATTTTCTACACGGACTGTGGGAATCAGCATTTTCTGTTATTAACTTAAGATTTTTTTTCTTGCCATTTCTCTTTATGATCCCAATGTATTGATGTATTTCTAACACTACAACAAGATTTGTGTCACTCAACTGTGTGTTGTAATCATTGTCTTTTAACCATTTATATCCATGAAACTGATGTCATTGAAAGATAGAAAACAGAAACAAAAAGCATAGAAGGGAGAGAGGGAGGAAGACTTTAGTCATGATACAATGCCAATGTAAGGACTCCTTTTAAGAAAGATTTTAAAAAATTTCTTCATCAAAATTTCCATTGCCTCCTTGAATGAACTGTGAAGGATTGCAAATTCCTTTAAAACTTGGTTTTGGCAACGAATCTGGATTTCCTTCATTAGCCAGGTATACAGAATTCATTTTCCAATGCTCTATTAAAAATAAGAGGCTGGGCACGGTGGCTCACGCCTGTAATCCCAGCACTTTGGGAGGCTGAGGCGGGTGGATCACAAGGTCAGGAGATGGAGACCATCCTGGCTAACACGGTGAAACCCCGTCTCTACTAAAAATACAAAAAATTAGCCGGGTGTGGTGGCGGGCACCTGTAGTCCCAGCTACTCAGGAGGCTGAGGCAGGAGAATGGCGTGAACCCAGGAGGCGGAGCTTGCAGTGAGCCGAGACTGCGCCACTGCACTCCAGCCTGGGCAACAGAGTGAGACTCCATCTAAAAAAAAATAAAATAAAATAAAATAAATAAAAAAGGGAAGATTCCCTTAATGTTTCCCAGTCTATTAAAGGTTTCCTTCCAAAAGGAGCTCATTCTGATCCCATTTAGTACAACACCCTCGTGTATGCCAGATGGCACAGGCATCATAGCTTCACAAATGTCATTCTGATCCTCACCTTTAAAATGAAATTCCCTTAGTCTACCTTTCTTTACATAAACTACAAAATTGTAGACAAAGACATGCCAAATTAAAAGCCTCTTTTGCTAAATATTCTAGAAATAATTTGAGAAAAATGGGCGCAATTTGAGACCTTAGTTGTCTTGGAAAGGGAGTAGGTGGGTATTTGACTATGATTCTGGTTGGTATTTCTCCTGTTAACTATTTAAATGTGTGACCTTAAAAGAAAATCATTCAGTCTTGTTGAGACTAATAAATGTCTCACCCAAAAAAAATGAACTTAAAATTTCTCCTATGTGTCTTATAGCTCAAAAATTTTCAATTCTGTTTCAAGCCATTCTAACATCCTGGATATTTTCCTGGATATTATAATATCCAGCTTATAATCTGCATAGGTAAAGTTTTATTTGTATTATGTTCCTTAGGTTTTGTTAAGTTTCTTGCAAGTAGGTTGATATTCTTTAATGTTTAAGTATTAAATCTGAGGTGAGCTGAATAGTTACCTGTTATTGTTTTGTGTACTCAATAATTTACAGTAAAATATATTTAGAATTGTTATAGTTGGTTATTAGAAATAGAGTTTCTACCTATTGTGGTTTTTAAAGTACCTGTGGTCCAGGGGCAGTGGCTCACACCTGTAATCCCAGGACTTTGGGAGGCCAAGGTGGGCGGATCACTTGAGGTCGGGAGTTCAAGACCAGCCTAGCCAACATGGCGAAACCCCGTCTCTACAAAATATACAAAAATTAGCTGGGCGTGGTGGCGCGTACCTGTAAACCGAGCTACTTGGCAGGCTAAGGCACTAGAATTGCTTCAACCTAGGAGGCGGAAGTTGTAGTGAGCCAAGATCTTGCCTCCACACTCCAGCCTGGGTGACAGAGCAAGACTCTGTCTCAAAAAAATAAAAATAAAAGTGCCTGTGTATGCAGTGGGCATTCAACAAATAGTTGTTAAATGAATAAATTAAAACCTTGAGATTTGCTAAATGCTTAAAACCCAAAAGAAAAAAATAATATTTTTAAGAAAAATATTAAAAATCATTTTAACTATAGCCATGGATAAGTACATAAGCACACAAAAAATTAATCACTGTGTTGGTAAAAACCTTATTTCAATACCTCTTTATCCTTCATACAAGAATAAATCTCTGGAAGAGAAAAGAAAAGAAAGCCGCTCTGAGCGTACCTACCTTTCTACTCTGGAGAGAAGCTCTTTTGACACAGACTGCCCCGTTTAACAGACTCCAGCTGCTGGCACTGCCTTCTGAGTTCTTTCACTTCCGAATTCTTATCGTCCTGCAGCCCCACCACAGTCAATGACTAAGTTCCTCTGGACTTTCACATGGATCGTAATAGACAACTTCATCCTGTTTTTCTAAAAAGGTATTAATGATTGTTTAAAACATATTTTATTATTTGTAAAAATGCACTCAATTTTTTTAAATGTAAGGAAAATAAAGATCACTTGTAATCCCACCACTGAGAATCACTATTAACATATAAAAAATGTATGTGTATAAATGTAATATACATATACACGTGTATATATACATGACTATACACATGTATTAAGTAGCATGTGTGTATATACATGTAAGTAGTATATGCACGTATATATACCTGTACAGACATACGTATATATACACACGCACATACACATACTACTTACATAGCTACACTTATCAATGGAGTTCTAAAAGAACATTTTCCATGGGATGGAAATAAATTTTTAGGCCAGGTGCGGTGGCTCACGCCTGTAATCCCAGCACTTTGGGAAGCCAAGACAGGCGGCACACCTGAGGTCAGGAGTTCAAGACCAGCCTGGCCAACATGGCAAAACCCCATCTCTACTAAAAATACAAAACTAGTTGGGCACAGTGGCGTGTGCCTGTAATCCCAGCTACTCAGGAGGCTGAGGCAGGAGAACAGCATGAACCTGGGAGGCAGAAGTTGCAGTGAGCCGAGATCGTGCCACTGCACTCCAGCCTGGGCAACAGAGCAAGACTCCATCTCCAAAAATAAAAAAAAATTTAAAAAGATAAATTTTAATGGCAGCATAGTATTCTCTAATTTAAGCAATCCACGTTGTTAGGCTGTTCCAATGTTCCATTATTATTCATTTCACTGTGATAAACATCTCTGTATAAATCTTTGTGTACACTTTTTATCACTTCCTTAGCAGATAAGTGTTTAAGGATCTTGATACCCATTGCCACACTGCCCTCCAGAAAGGCAACTTATATTCTACCAGCAATATATTATTAAGATGCCTTAGTGATATTTAATCTTGATTACATATTGATTTTTTAAAAGTCATGCTTACTGTAACAAATTCAAACCCTCCAGAAGTACATCAAATAAACAGTGAAATTCTATTGCTCATTCCCCAAACCTTCTGAGTCATTCTCAGAGGAAAAACATTATGAACAATTTGGCATGCATCCTTCCAGATTAACTTCTTTTTTTAATGTAATTTTTTTCCTAAATATGTAAACTGCTTATAACCTGAAACTACTGAAAAAAATTCTGAATACTCAGGATTAAACTAAAAGTTCAGGATCTATGTGAAGAAATTTATTAAACTTGGAGGAACTTTAGGAAAAAAGATTTAAATAAATGGAGAGAGACATACCATGTTCTTGGGTAGGAAGATTCAAAATTGCAAAGACCACTATTCTCCCCAAAGTAATCTCTAATTTTAAGCAAAATCACAATCAAAATTCCAAAGAGTTTTTTGTTTTGAACTTGATTCTAAATTTCATCTGGAAGAATAAAGGAGTGAAAATAGTCAGAAAACTTGTGAAGTAATGTGGGGGGTACTTGCCTTACCAGACCCTAAAATGTGCCTCCAAGACAGTCGTGGGAACAGTATGGAGCCAGCAGCAGAAGCCACTCACGAACCAATGGAGGAGAACAACTCAGAAACAGACCAAAGTCAATCTAATGCTTAACTGGAGAAATGTTAAACATTTAGGGAAAATGTTTTTAAAATCAGTGATTGGGACTGCTTAACAATTTGAGGGAAAGGTTCAATTCCTACCACATTCAAAATAAATTCCACCTGGACTAAAGAATTAAATGTTTTAAAAAGTAACATCATAAACATACTGAAAGAAAACATAAGTATATATTGACATAATTTTGGGATAGGAGCCTATTGCCAGACATAATACTAAAAGCAGAAGCCATAGGGGAAAAAATCAATAAACACGACTTCATAAAAATTAAATATTTCTGAAAGGCAAGAAAACGCAAATGACAAGGAGAGATTATTTGCAACATATGACAGACAATAGAGAATATTATTCTTAATGTCGAAAGGAAATATTCCAAAGAAAAATGGACAAAGACTATGACTAGGCATTTCATAAAATAAGTACAAATGGCTTGTAAACATACAAAATTTTGTTCAATATTCATTCATAATTAAATAAATGAAAATTGGAAGACTGCCATTTTCTCTGTCAAGCAAGCAAAAATGCAAAAAAATGGCATGAGTCTGGGAAACATACACACTCATATTCTGCTGATGGGAGCGTCTTTTTTTTTTTTTTTTTTTTTTTGAGACAGAGTCTTACTCTGTCGCCCAGGCTGGAGTGCAGTGGCGCCATCTCAGCTCACTGCAATCTCGACCTCCCAGGTTCAAGCAATTCTCCTGCCTCAGCCTCCCAGGTAGCTGGGATTACAGGCACCCACCACCACGCCCAGCTAATTTTTGTATTTTTAGTAGAGACAGAGTTTCACCACGTTGGCCAAGCTGGTCTTGAACTCCTGACCTCAAGTAATCTGCTCCCCTCAGCCTCCCAAAGTGCTGAGATTACAGGCGTGAGCCACCACGCCCAGCCTGGGAGCGTCATTTTAAATGTACAACCTATCTAGAGGGCCACTACATAGTATGAAATTTAGAAATCAGAAAATAATACGGAGGTGAGGAAAAATGTATCTCAGATGATTGTTGTATTATTACGTAGCAAAATGTAAAATATACATTGTCCTTGACCCAATAATTCCATCCTTACATATTTATTCTAAGGAGATAATCTGTCCTATACTCAAAAAGACATGTGTAAAGGAAAGTTCACTACACTACTGTTCAAAACAGCGGAAATTTGGAAATCACGGTATATCCATATAATGGAATACTATGCAGCCATTAAAATTTTGATACTTTTATTATTTCTGAAATAGACAATTAGTATGTATTAAATGAAAAAGAGACTATTATGCATTGTATGCCTGTGTCAAAATATCTTATGTAACCCATAAATATATATATCTACTATGCACCCATAAAAATTAAAAAATTTTTAAAAAGATGTTACTGAACTGGTTATGTAGTTTTGGTTAAAAATTTATATTTTTATATATCAGCATATTTTAAAATCTACAAAGTTATACAGCAAATTGTTACCACTAAGTATCTCTTTTTTTTTTTTCCTTTTTTAGACGGAGTCTCGCTCTGTCTTCCAGGCTGGAGTGCAGTGGCACGATCTTGGCTCACTGAAACTTCCACCTCACGGGTTCAAGCCATTCTCCTGCCTCAGCCTCCCAAGTAGCTGGGATTACAGGCACGTGCCACCACATCGGACTTTGTATTTTTAGTAGAGACAGGGTTTAGTATTTTTGTATTTTTAGTAGAGATGGGGTTTCACCATGTTGGTCAGACTGGTCTGGAACTCCTGACCTCAAGTGATCCGCCCGCCTCAGCCTCCCAAAGTGCTGGGATTATAGGCGTGAGCCACTGTGCCCAGCCAAACACTAAGCATCTCTAGATGATGGGATTGGAGTAATAATCATTTTTCTTTCTTTGTTTTGCTATGTGCTAACAATGAATATATTATTTGAATAATAAACTACTGAAGGAAAACTTTAGGAAATTTTCAGATGTTACAGTTTACAAAAAGTAATTGATAATATGGTCTGTATTTCCTTAAATTTATAAACATTGTAATCTATATACTTAAATATAAACTTTACCTTTTATAAGTCTTTTAAGAGAGTCCAACTGTGTAGTAAGCAGTATTTCTTCGTTTTTTAATATCTCAAATTTAACTTCATATAGTTCTAACTGAATTTCATAAAATTGCATTTCTAATTCATCTACAACATTTATATTTTTTTCTTGTTCTGGAAGATCTTCCATCTTATTTTCATAGAAAAAAGAAAAATAAGTTAAAATAAATAGTATATTAAAAACAAACTTCAGAAGCATTCTAGCTATTTTCTATTCCTTGTTCAATACTAAATATAAAAAAGCAAATAGGAAAGAAACACTTTTTCATTTCATCTAGTGATGCTAATATTTTATCTCATCCTTGAAACAGAAAAACATTTAGGTTTTGAGAAACATAAATGGCAATGAGGTATTATTATGTATTGCATATTGGTGTCCCCACAAAATTCATATGTTGACACTCTAACTCCCAATGTGATGTTATTTGGAGGTGGGTCCTTTGGAAGTAATTAGGTTCAGATTATGTCAAAAGGATGGCACCCCCATCATGGGATTAGTGCCATTAGAAGAGAAAGACAGGGATCACTTTCTTTCTCTCTAAACTTACACACAGAAGAAAGGCTATATGAGCACTCAGTTAAGAAGGCAGCTGTCTACCAGACAGGAAGAGGATCCTCACCGGACAGTGAATCTGCAGGCATCTTGGACTTCCCAGCCTCCAGAACTGTGAGAAATACATGTCCGTTGTTGAAGCCACCCAATCTGTGATATTTAATCTTGTTATAGCAGCCTTAGCCAACTAAGACAGGTGGTTACAGTGTTTTCTGCTTTAAGGTCATAAGATTATAGGAAAAAACTTAAGTGTCTATGATCCTTCAGTGAAGTATCTCTTTGATTATTTTAAAGCTGTACTGAAAACATTGCTGGATTGATATTCAAGTACAGTACCCACTTCAATACTGGGCTCGGTGTTACTATAAAGTAAATCCTATAATATGGTATTTTGAAACATCTTAACTAAAGGAAAACTTTATGTCTAACCTTCCATAGAAGACAGTGTTAGAATAAGTGAAGAAAAGAAGCTCTTTAACGATGCCTGGAAAGAAAAGTGCTATCTAAAAATAAAAGTGTGCTTTACCACATGGTCTCACTTATAAGTGGGAGCTAAGTAGTGTGTATACACACACAGTGTGGAATAATAGACACTGGAGACTCAGAAGAGTAAGAGGGTGGGAGGGAGGATGAGAAATATTTAGTGGGTACAATTACATTATACAGGTGAAGATTACACTAAAAGCCCAAACTTCACCACTACACAATATATCCATGGAACAAAACAGTACTTGTATCCCTTATTTACACAAACTTTTTAAAAAATAAAAGTGGGGCCAGGCATGGTGGCTCACGCCTGTAATCCCAGCACTTTGGGAGGCCGAGGCGGGCGGATCACGAGGTCAGGAGATCGAGACCAGCCTGGCTAACACAGTGTATCCCCGTCTCTACTAAAAATACAAAAAATTAGCTGGGCGTGGTGGTGGGCGCCTGTAGTCCCAGCTATTCGGGAGGCTGAGGCAGGAGAATGGCGTGAACCCGGGAGGTGGAGCTTGCAGTGAGCCGAGACTGCACCACTGCGGTACAGCCTGGGCAAAAGAGCGAGACTCTGTCTCAAAAAAAAAAATAAAAATAAAAAATAAATAAAAGTGTATTTTTAAAACAAAGTTATGTTTATCTTTGTCTTACCTTTCCCTGAATTTCAGCTCTTTTGTGATTTAAACATAACTCTTTCGCTCTCATGAGCTGCAGAGTCTCTTGAGCTAGCATTAGCTTAAGTTTTTCCAACCTGGGAATTGCTGTGGCCCAGGCAGCCTGGCCAAATCTCTTCACATCCTGTTCCATTTCTTTCTGCATTCCTGTTGGATTATAAAAATAAAATATAATTACACCTCATTAAAAAGGGAAACATTGATCATGAGCTAATTCTTTTTTTATTGCTTCCATACTACCTGCAGAACATCTTTTTTAAAAGAAATTTTGTTTTATTAACTTTTTTATTATTATAAAAATAATACATGGTCATTAATATACAATTTTAGGTATTCAATTTTTAAAAGGACAATAATAAGTCATGATCTCACCTAGTTGAGGCAACTGCTTCTTATATTTTGGCACACTTGCTTCCATATTGTTTCTATGTCTAGCTAGACAGACAGGCTCATATGGATAGTTTGACCAAAAAACCAGGATTATCATTCTGCTTTATATCTTGTTGATTCTGCACAATATATCAGACACTCTTGCCATTTATAAAAAAAATCAAGAATCATGCTTAATAGCTATGTAGTTTTCTCTTTTATGAATGTACCATAACTTAACAAACTGACAGACATTAAGTTGTTTCCTATTTGGTGTTTTTATTAACAATTATTTAAGACTGAAAAAAAGTCCTTCACCCAGCCCGCAAGCCCCTGCACGGTCTGATCCCTGCCTGTCTTGCCAGCATTCTCCCTCGTGCCACACTGTCCTGCACTCTGTGTGATCCAGCCCTGCAGGTTTTCTGTAAGCTCCTATTTGCCAACTTCCCTCAAGCCAGGGGACCTTTACCAGTGCTATTCCTTCTGCCCGGAACACTCCTCACTTTTTCTATTCTCTCAACTTCCGTTTACCCTTCAGCTACTGGGGCAAGCACCACTTCTCAGAGGCCTTCAGCGACCACCCTGATCAAGCCCAATTTCTCTCTCACAGACCCTCAGAGCCCGATGTCTCTCTTCTTTGTGCCATTTATTGTCACTGCCATTTTCCATGTGCTTCAGTGAATAGATAATTAAGATTTCTCTCCCTTCACCAGACTGTACAATGTCTCTTAATGCTTGACACTGAATTCTTGCCACCCAGAAAACACAGTGCCTAGTGCGTAAGAGGGACTCAAATGGTATATGAATAAAATGACAATCAATTACACGTATCTGCGTAAAGCATTTTTTAGATTATCACCTGCTAATGCTTTTACTGTCTAATTAAAATAATTCACTGTGATATCTTGAATAGAGACAACAGCTTCTTCAGCCCGTCTGGTCCATTCTTCAGCTTCTTTCTCCAGGGCAACTATCCTGGAGACGTAGGACCTACGTCATCCTCATCCAAGGAATTCTACAGACAGAAGAGAAAATTATCTTACTAAGAGCTAATAGTTATGTTGACCCATTAGGAAATTGAAAGGAAACTGGTCACATGGATTAATTTAACTACAGTACTACTCAGTCAGTTAAATTTTCATTCATTCAGCAGTCCCTTACTGCATATGAATAAGGCTCTAAGCTGAGCACCACCTGGAAGACAAAAGGACACTCTGGGGCATAAAGGGGAAAAAAAAACCTACTTTCACTTCACATGCCTAGAATAACTTTTTCTAGAGAGGAATGTTGTCAACTTATGCTTCTCTCTATTAATAATAATACACAATTGTTTAAATGAGTGATCTGTGTTGTCAAGCACTCAGCATAGGGCCTGGAACACAGCACTTAAGTGTTAGCTGTTGTTATCGTTTCTTTTAGGGATATGTAATATAATCACCTAAAAGACAGTATCTGTATATTCATGCTTATAACATGCACTGGTATTGGACTGAATGTTTGGGTCCCCCCAAAATGCATATGTTGAAGCCTAAATCCCCAGTGTGATGGTATTTGAAGATGGGGCCTTTGGGAGGTAATTAGGTCATGAGGGTGCAGCCCTCAAGAATGGGATTAATGCCCTTATAAAAAGAAGAGGAGACACAGGATCTCTCTCTCTGCTCTTCACCATGTGAAGACACAGCAAGACAGTCATCTACAAATTAAGAAACTGGCCCTCACAAGACACTGGATCTGCCAGCACCTTGATCTTAGACTACCCAGCCTCCAGAACTGTGAGAAAAAAAGTTTTGTTGTTTATAAGCCACTAATCTACGGTACTTTGTTATAACAGCCTGAACTAAGACATGTACAGCTATGTCATCCAATATGCAATTTTTCTTCTACAAAGCATAAGAAATATGTACAAGTTAGCCGACAAGGAATTACAAATCAAAACCATAACGAGATACCACTTCACACCCACTAGGATGGCTGTAACCAAAGAGACACACAATTACAAGTGTTGGTGATAATGTGGACAAATTGGAACCCTCATTTACTGCTTTTGGGAATATAAATGAGGCACCCACTTTGGAAAACCATCTGGCGTCTTTCAAAAGGTTAAACATTGAGTAATCACAGGACCCAGCAATCCTACTCCTCAGTACGTACACAAGAGCAATGAAAAGATATGTCTACACAGAAACTCACACACAAACATTCATAGCAGAATTATTCATGATAGCCAAAAAGTGGAAACAACCCAAATGTCCATCAACTGATGAATAAAATGCAATATATCCATACAATGAATATTACTGAGCAATAAAAAGAAATGAAATCCTGGTATTTGCTACAACATGGATTAGTCTTGCAAACACTGTGCTGAGTGAAAGGACCACATATTCAATAATGCTGTTGCTATGTCCAGAGTAGGGAAATCCACAGAGACAGAAAGTAGATTGGTGGTTGCCCAGGGTTGGGAGTGACTAATGGGTACAGGGTTTCTTTTGGAGGTGAAAATGTCCTGAAATTACATAGTAATGACCATTGTGCAACTTTCAATATACTAAAAATCACTGAATTGTACATCTTTTATATATACATATATACACATACATATACATACACATACACATACACATACACATATATACACATATACACACATATATACACATATATATACATATATACACATATATATACATACATATATTCATATATATATACATATATATATATATATATAATCTGTGAATGGTATCTTAAAACAGCTGTTACTTAAAGAAAGGAAAAATATAGACCGGGTGCGGTGGCTCATGCCTGTAATCCCAGCACTTTCGGAGCCTGAGGTGGGCAGATCACCTGAGGTCAGGAGTTCAAGACCAGCCTGACCAACGTGAAGAAACCCCATCTCTACTAAAAAAATACAAAATTAGCCAGGCCGGGCATGGTGGTACATGCCTGTAATCCCAGCTACTCGGAAGGCTGAGGCAGGAGAATCGCTTGAATCCAGGAGGTGGAGGTTGCAGTGAGCTGAGATCACGCCATTGCACTCCAGCCTGGTCAACAAGAGCGAAACTCCATCTCACAAAAAAAAAAAAAAAACAGAAGAAGAAAGCAAAATATATGCAAGAAGTAGACTCTCCAAATAATAGACTTTCAAAATAATG
The DNA here is from genome assembly GCF_000001405.40 of Homo sapiens. Classification (NCBI taxonomy): domain Eukaryota; kingdom Metazoa; phylum Chordata; class Mammalia; order Primates; family Hominidae; genus Homo; species Homo sapiens. The sequence continues at coordinate 4,584,209 of NW_011332701.1, forward strand.
AACAGAACAACTTTATCCACAGGTTAGAGTGGCATGAGTTTCATCTAAATGTGATACTATTTTTATAGTACAATCATCTGGCAGGGGGCATGAGATTATATGTGGAAAGATGGCCCAGTGCAGGGGGCAGAAATCAAGAGATCTCTTAGGTGTCTTCTGATTCCCGTTGTTGAGACCCAAGGTAAGATATTTAACAACTCTGGACTCCAGATTCATTTGTAACACTGGAATAAGAATGCCTTTTCTGAATGGGGTCACACGGTTGTTTGATGGCTCAATGAAGCAAGAGCGATAACAGCATTTACTAAAATTTAAGTTACTGAATTACAATCTAGGGTCCTGCTATTTAAATTTTCATCCTATTTTAAGAAATTTGGATGAGTCCTTAGAGGAAAACAAACTGAAGCAAATAAATATCACATCAAAAACAATTCATCAGGCTGGGCGCAGTGGCTCACGCTTGTAATCCCAGCACTTTGGGAGGCTGAGACGCGTGGCTCACTTGAGGTCAGGAGTTTGAGACCAGCCTGGCCAACATGGTGAAACCCCGTCTCTACTAAAAATACAAAAAAAGTTAGCTGGGCATGGTAGTGCACACCTGTAATCCCAGCTACTCAGGAGACTGAGGCAGAAGAGTCACTTGAACCTGGAGGAGGTTGCAGTGAGTCAAGATTGTGCCACTGCACTCTAGCCTGGCTGACAAAGAGAGACCCTATCTCAAAAAAAAAAAAAAAAAAAAAAAGGCATCGATACAAAAAAACTCTTAACTCTTTAAAATCTGCAGGAATCTTAAGCTAGTAAGATGACCAACATAAATGTCTTCATTTTCTATCAATTTTAAATATAAATTCAATATTTAAACATGAGGGTGAACTAGGCATAGTGGCTGACGCCTGTAATGCTACGCTTTGGGAGGCCGAGGTGGGCAGACTGCTTGAGCTCAGGAGTTAGAAACCAGCTTGAGCAACATGGCAAAACCTCATCTCTATCAATAAATAAGTAAAGAAACATAAAAGTAAACCCAAACAAAGTGCAGAGATTGAACATTAAGTGTAAATAAAGAAATAATATATGACAAATAGTAAATGTGATAAAATAAAAATTAAAAAAAATACCAAAATATCAAGCTTACATAAAGTTGCAACTTCTCGCATAGCCCTAAATGGCTGCAGTAAGTACTGGAAAAACATGGTTGCCATGGTAACTAATTCCTGGTAGGCTTCATCTTCCTCTTGGTAAACTTTCATTAATGCTACCATGGTGTTGGCTTTTCCATGTCCTTGGATAACCTAGAGAGCAAATGTGAATAAAGCTCAAGTCAGACAGTGTAATACATACCCAACAAACAAAACTAAACAAAAGAAACCTTCATGTTCTCAACTTTCAATACATCAATTTAAAATATTGATTAAATATGAAAATGTCATCATCCTCCATCAAAAATGCCCAATAAAACAAGAATTGTTAAGTAAATTATGATATATCCATGGCAGAATATTATTACTGTAGTCATTCAGCACTGTGCTTCTGAAGATTGTTTAATAATATGGAGACTTTTGGCCAGGCACCGTGGCTCACGCCTGTAATTCCAGCACTTTGGGAGGCCGAGGCGGGTGGATCACTTGAGGTCAGGACTTCGACACCAGCCTGACCAACATGGAGAAACCCTGTCTGTACTAAAAATACAAAATTTGTTGGGCGAGGTGGCGCATGCCTGTAATCCCAGCTACTGGGGAGGCTGAGGCAGGAGAATAGCTTGAACCCGGGAGGCGGAGGTTGCGGTGAGCCGAGACAGTGCCATTGCATTCCAGCCTGGGCAACAAGAACGAAACTCTGTTTCAAAAAAAAAAAAAAGGAGACTTTTATAATTAAATGGAGAGGCAGAGTACAAAATTTAATCTCAACTATGCACTAAGTATGCAGCGAAAAGGACCCAAAAGAAGGTTTGAGGTGTGGATATTTTTTCATTTGACTTTTCTGACTGTGAAGGTTTTGTGAGGCTGTATTCCTTTTTAAAAGCTCCTAAGGGCCAGGCATGGTGGCTCACACCTGTAACCCCAGCACTTTGGGAGGCCACGGCAGGCAGATCACGAGGTCAGGAGATTGAGACCATCCTGGCTAACACGGTGAAACCCTGTGTATACTAACAATACAAAAAATTTGCTGGGCGTGGTGGAGGGCACCTGCAGTCCCAGCTACTGGGGAGGCTGAGGCAGGAAAATGGGGTGAACCTGAGGGGCAGAGCTTGCAGTGAGCCGAGATGGCGCCACTGCACTCCAGCCTGGGCGACAGTGCAAGACTCTGTCTCAAAAAAAAAAAACAAAAAACCTCATAAAACATTACAGAGCTGTCTCCAAGTACTTTAGCATGTTGATTCTCTTAATGCCCCAGGTTAATATCCCCATGAAGTCCTTAGCAGTCAACTCATTTACAGAGCCTCAGCTGTGGTTCCAGTCTCTGCTGGTTATTGCTTGTGCTGCAGGGCAGAAAACAAACTGAACAGTGTATAATCTAGGTGGACTGATTTGGTTGGAAATTATTTTACTCCCACAAGAAGAGAAATAAAAATAAAATAATATAGATGTTTTTCAACCAATACATTCTTAAAATTCTTCTATTTCCATCCTTCTGCTTAAAGATAAAGTGATCTACTTTCAGCTGTATTTTTTATCCAGGTAATAATATTATGGTTTTTTTTTTAAGTGAAAGCCCCACTGAACAAAATTAAAACACACACGCAAAAGTAAACTTAAGGCAAGTGATACACTTCAGCCTTATTTCTTAGACTATTCAGAAAAATTCCAGAGTTAAAACATTCAGCTTCATTTTATATATGCTAGCAATGCTAGCAATTAGTCTAATTCTAGAATCAATTGCTTTTCTATTTTAAATATAAAGTAAAATATTAAAATTATATATTTGGACATGTTTTGAATTTTAGCTTCCCCTCTCAACCCCTCATTTTTGAGTTCCAGATAAATATGTGAACTACACTAACATGAACAACTAGCTCAACAGAATGAACTACATTCACGCTATAGTACCCCAGAGTGAACTTAAATTTGGGAAAACTAACTTTTCTGATAGTAACTACAGTAAAATGCATCATATAAATGTTCGATTTTAAGGAGAAACCACCTATCTCTGTGAGAAACCAAGAGTGTAAAAAACAAGTCTGATACAAAATGATACCATTTTTGAAACTCCGGTGGGCTCGTCATATCCTAAGGTGAAAGTTATAAAGTTGAAGATCAAAAGCTGACTGGCCTGAAACTCCCCTGTGGTTTCCTCATAGTCTAAAGTGAAATCAACACATGTTAAGTGGGTGTGTAGACATTTACACATAAAGCTCACAGTACAAAAATGACCCCACTAACAAGCTCCTTTTATAAAACCATTTTAATTTAGAAAGCTTATTCTATATTTAGCTTAGGCTGAATTCTTCTTTTCACCTCCCCTTCCTCAAAAGAATGCACAGAAAAAAATCATTCAGGTTAATAAGAGCAGTGAGCTGAGACTCCAGCCTGGCTCTGCTTAGTAAACCGTGGGTGTGGATTTAGAAGGCATACTTTCTCCTAAACCCTTCTATGAACATGTACTTCCCCGTCCCCTAAGTTCAGTAAGTTTACCACTCAATTACTCTCTCAAACTACCTCTTTCAAGCTTAAAAGAGCACTAATGCGGTTAAACTGATGAATAAAGCTCACTTTCTACCGGCTTTCCATTTGACCAAGTCTGTATTACTTAAAACAAAACACCCTAACTCCTAAAAGCCATTTCTTCCTTTAAACCATTTTATCCCACTTGCGACGTCCCCGCAGACACAGACTTGGAATTGCTTACGTGTAGTCCGTGTTATTCTTTCCTACATGGATGGGTTGTTTTCAGTTTGCTTGCAGTATTTCTGACATTTCCCGTTACAACATCCTGCTCTGCCAGCATCTTCAGGGCAAAGGTTGGGGGCCTAGCCCAGCTCCCAGCGGCAAGTACACTAGGCTCTTAACTTCGCTTGTCCTCTCTGCAGGCCCTGCCGAAGCTCCCCCTGGTTTTTCGCAGCGATCCCGCGCAGGTGAGGGTACTGGGGAGCCCGTGGCCTTCTCCGCCCGCCGGCTCCTCCCCATCAGCCGTCAGCCAGGGCTCTCGGCGCCGGGGAAGCCTCCCACAGGGTCCCAGGCCACCCAAGCGCGGTCAAACGCCGGCGGCCCGGCCTCGCTTACCTGACGCAGCCGCGCGTCCGCCTCGACCCATCAGGCGCGCAGGGCCCGCTCTCGAAACTCGCGCGGGCTCTCGCAGTCAGCCGCGCGGCCTTTAGCCGCGAAAACAGCGTGGCGCACGGTGGCGCCGCCGCAGCCGTGGGCCGCCGCGCCCAGGTAGCGCTCCAGCTGCCCGCAAAGCTCCTGCAGCGCCACCTCGCCGGGGCCCGCGCGCGCCTGCCAGAGCAGCGCCCACAGCCCGAGCCCCAGACTCCAGGCCCCGCCGCCGCCCACGTCCAGCTGCGGGGAGCAGCGTTCCAGAGGCGGCCACAGCGCCGCTAGCTGCCAGCGCGCGCCGCGGAACCCCGCGGCCGAGAACCGGCCGGCCCAGTTGGGCGGGAACACGGCAGCTGGGCGGGGACACGGCAGCTGGGCGGGGACACAGCGGCCTTGGGTTTGGGCTCCAGCCCCAGCCGGGCCCCCTCGCGCCGCTGCGGCTGCTGCGCGGTGAGGTCGTGACAAGTCACAGCTAACTTGCCCTCCGCGCCATTCCACGCCACCAGGAAGCGCAGCCGGTGCCTCTCGGGATCGGCGAAGAGGCCTTGCCGGACCGGCGCCCAGCCCTCCAGGCTGTCGAGCTGCTCGTCCTCCATGGCCGTCGGCGGCAGCGGCCCTAGGACTCGGCGGGCGCGGGCCTGACCTCGTCGCACTGCCTGTCAGGGGACAGTCCCAGGTGAAGCATTTTTCGCTCCACTATTGGTATTTTAACAACATGAATGAAAAAAAAAAAAAAAAACTCAGCTGTTTTGATAGAAGTAACAAACGTGCCTAGGAATCATCTTCCTTGAAGGGAGAGGAGGGTCTTGTTGAACTTGAAAAAACTAAATAAGCAAAGTTGATACATAAGGACACCCTTCTCTTTACCCTTACCTATTCTTCTCTTAAAACTTTAATTCATTTCTGACAGTCACCAACTGAAAAACGGTCCGACTAAAAAAAAAAAAAAACTGATCATAAAGGGGGGAGAAGTTGTGACGTGTTCTATCCTAATCCAAGATATCTAAACCAATTTTGCTGATAGAGAAAATATATTCGGTGAATGATGTAAGTACATTAATATAGGTAACAACTCTTTGAAAGTAAAGTTTGCACATAATATGAAATACAAAGAGAATTACTGTAGTCTCGAAGGAGAGAACCCTTGATGGGGAGTGGTAGTCAAAAAGGTGTATGAGCAAGTCATCTGTTGCAAGGTGATGGGAGGAGATTTTTATGCAGGCATTCAATATCAGAGTCAGAGGTTTTAATGATTTTTGTTTTTTATCTTGAGAGTTGGAGACTAGAAGATCTAAAATAGGAAATTTCTGGCATATCCATAGATAGAATGGAAACTCTTGGCCAAAAATAACGTGCTCCAAGTCATGAAAAATAGCACACATGCACAATTAACTACAGAGTTACACAAGATGGTGTCTTTTCATTCGATTTTATTTGAACTCTTATTCTTCTCTTTTATGCTCTGTATCCTTGTTAACTCTTCCATTTTTTCCTCATCCTATGAGGTACTTTAAACATTTTATTCAATAACTCTTAAGGCAATTTTTACAATTCTATTCATATATAAAACTGTCATAAGCATGTTTTGTGAGTGAAAAATTCTAATTTGTAATGCATATCAAGTGAAAAGCCTCAGTTCAGCACTCGTCATATCCAAAATCTGTGTTATATGATAATGTAAAAGAAATATTTTCACACATGTAGCTCAAATGAGATTCTTAGTTACATGTTTCTTTTTTTTCTTTTCTTTTCTTTTCTTTTTTTTTTTTTTTGAGACGTAGTCTCGCTCTGTTGCCTAGGCTGGAGTGCAGTGGCGCAATGTCGGCTTACTGCAAGCTCTGCCTCCCGGGTTCATGCCATTCTCCTGCCTCAGCCTCCCAAGTAGCTGGGATTACAGGTGCCCGCCACCACGCCCGGCTAATTTTTTGTATTTTTAGTAGAGACGGGGTTTCACAGTGTTAGCCAGGATGGTCTCTATCTCCTGACCTCGTGATCCGCTCGTCTGGGCCTCCCAAAGTGCCAGGATTACAGGCGTGAGCCACCACGCCCGGCCTACATTTTTCAAAATTTAACTCAATCTTTTATGTTTAAAAATGTGCATATACTGCCTGTTCAAGTACTTAATCTTTGTATTTATTATTTGAAATTGGAAGTCCATCTTTTTAGATTGTTAGGAGGTCTTCACATATTTGAATGAGTTATTAAGTTGATACAACTATTTTGGAAAAATAATTATCATTATCTACTAAATTTAAACACATAATTTATGACCAGCAGTTTCAACAGAGACACCTGGATGTTCATCAGGATAGAATGGATTGGAAAGCTCCATATTCATTCAACAGGGTGCTACACAAAACAAAAAGGAATGAAACACTGGTCCATAACATAAATAGATTTCACAAATGCAATTTTGAGTGAAATAAGCCAGAAAAAAATAAATACCGTATGCTTCCATTTATATGAAGACAAAGATAGGCAATATTAATCTATGGTAACATGTGAGACTGACTGACTTTTCTCAGCATCAGCTAAGAGCCTGAAAAATATTTTTCTGGGGTGCTAAAAAAGTGCCAGATCTTAAAATATTTGTACAAAAGATAATATTTGTTTTTTTATATAAATAGGTACAAAATACAAATATGGGCAAAAATGTATTTATAAATATGTTAAACAAGATTATTTATAGTTTATACTTCAATATAATTTTTTTCACTTTTGTTGACATTAGTAAACCATCACACTTAATAAACAGCCATTTGGAATGGTTCTTGATTTAGGTATTTCCTTGATCAAGTACCAAGTAGGAACATACCTTGATTCTAAAATATAAAGAATATGATTCCATGAAAGTTTCCATGAAAACTATCTTGCATTCTAAAATATTTTTAAAAGTACTTATTTTCAAAGTTCATTTTCCTATTTTAAACAAAAGTTGAACTAAATTACATATAATCTAGTCCCCAAAGTATTCAGTAAATATCAAATGAAGGTGTGAAAGTTAAAGATTTCAATTTTTTACTAGTTAATTTGCAGTGCTCTATTATTTTGCTTAATAAGCAATTTTATGCTAGAAATAAGCAGATTTCTCTATTCACATTATCTTTACCAAGAGCACTTAAATAAATACCATTGATTACTTGCAAAATGCAGATTGTAGATTCAGAGCTCAAAACTAAAGCTCTGAGGATGTAATTCAATTAAAACAACCCATAGTTGTGAATTCACCTCACCAGTGTCCCTAAGACAAGAAGCTCTTTCTCACATCAAAGTGAATTATTTTAATTCACTTTGGATGTTAGGAATATCCTAACTCCTTTGTAATTAAAAACAAAAACAAAACTTCTGATGCTTCTTTATACCTTAACAATTATGAGGTCTATAACAATATGAACACAGAAGTTTGGGTCAGTTCAATGACTGAACTAAAACATTGTTTCCCAACATGTCCATGTTTTACAAGATGATGGGGTTGTTATCTGTGATGCCATTGCAAAGATCTTGATGGTTCCAAAACACTCTAAGCATCACATAAGCCATGTTATACCTGTCGCCCCAAATTTACCAAACCATTTGGATTAAAACTCTCAGTAAGGACCTCTGAGGCACAAAGATCTATGAATAACTCCTTAACCCCTTTGCTCTTACTCTTCAGGTACAATTTCAAATTTTCACTTTTCCCTTTCTGCACTGACCTTGGGAAAGTCACTTTATCTCTGTGATCTAATTTTCCACATCAATAATGTATCTATACTTGGCATAGAGAGTTATGAGAATAAAATAATAACATATATGGGAGATTTCTGTGAATACCAATTGTACAGGTGGATTTTTAAATAATAGATTTAGGGCCAGGCGCAGTAGCTCACAGAAGTAATACCATCACTTTAGGAGGCCGAAGCGGGTGGATCACCTGAGGTCAGGAGTTCAGACCAGCCTGACCAACAAGGTGAAATACTGTCTCTACTAAAAATACGAAAATGAGCCAGGTGTGGTGGCGGGCACCTGTAGTCCCAGCTACTCAGGTGGGTGAGACAGGAGAATTGCTTGAACCCACAAGGCGGAGGGTGCAGTAAGCCGAGATCGCGCCACTGCACTCCAGCCTCGGTGATGAAGCGAGACACCATGTAAAAAACAAACAAACAAACAAATAAAATATATTTAGGAAAATTATTAATAAGAAAAAAATTGAAAGCATTAAGAACTCTATTATGGACTGAACAAAAAAAGGAGAATTGGTACCATACCTTGGTAAGTTTATTTTGATAAGCACAATTTCTATTAGTTCCTCAGTGTTTCTTCTTGCTCCCTGAATGTATGTTCCTTGCCTCTATCTTATCCCATTTTTTCTATTGTTAATGCATAGAGAGTTGTCACAAGTTCTATTCTCAATGCCTATTGCATCAGGCAATAGAAGATGACTCTGGTTCCCAACTCAGAAAAACCTCATTTTTAAGAAATGTTTGAGCTTTGACTTTGATCTCATTCAGAATATTCTGGTTCAAAAGTTTTTTGTTTTTTTTGTTTTTTTTGAGACGGAGTCTCGCTTTGTCGCCCAGGTTGGAGTGCAATGGCGCGATCTCGGCTCACTGCAAGCTCCGCCTCCCGGGTTCACGCCATTCTCCTGCATCAGCCTCCCTAGTAGCTGGGACTACAGGCCCCTGCCACCACGCCTGGCTAATTTTTTTTTTTTTTGTATTTTTAGTAGAGACGGGGTTTCACCGTGTTAGCTAGGATGGTCTCAATCTCCTGATCTCGTGATCCGCCCGTCTCGGCCTCCCACAGTGCTGGGATTACAGGCGTGAGCCACCACGCCCGGCACAAAAGTCTTATGTTTGTGTAAATAAGAAAAGCACCTTTGAAAACTACACCTACAAATGGGAATATGGAATAAAAAGGACAAGCCAAAGGTTATGGAACAAAATAAAACATGAAGAAAGAGAAATAGAAACACAATATTACTATATACAATATAGTAATGTATTTTAAAATATGAAAAACGCTAGCAAAACAGCAATATGTGAACAAAAGAATTGGAGTAAAATAATAGAATTTGAAACAGCACAATCTGCTGAAAATACACAAAAGACAAACTAGGATATTTCTGAGCTCACTGTTTATAATATTAGAACATGTATATAAAAAGGAAAAGTGACTTTAAAATGTCTGGGGGCCAAGCAATATATAGCTTGTTACATTTTATTTACAAACAGTTTCTTTGACTAGGGAATCAATTTAAATTTTCTGTTTTGGAAATAATATAAATATATCTTTATTTTAGACTTTTTGCTGAAAAGTTTCTTAAATATTTACAACTTTAGGATAATCAGTGTACATTTCAATATATAATGTCCTAAAAATCAAACAGCTACCAAACATTGAATTGAAGTTCTGACTTATATAAATCATTTGCATAAAAACTGATCATTAAAAACAGTATCTAATGAACATTTTGGCCCCAATATTAATTAAAACTGAAATGATAGCATTACAAGCTAAAGATTAATTTCAATGACATGTCGTTCAACCATTTTGACATAATCAACTTATAATAAGCTAAAATTGACTATTTTTATGACATATTTGACCTAAATGAAGAGAAAAAAGCTTTGACTAATTCTTAATTACTCTTTCTGACCAATTGATGGCCAATAACTGAATTTAATTTCAAACCATTTTCTGTTATTTTAATCTTTTAAACATGTTTTACTTTCAGTGATTCATTTTCTAACATTCATAGCCAAAGCCCAGGCTCTGCCCATCTTTGTCTACCTTAATGACTTTGTCAATTGTTGGTATACACTGGGCCTTAAAAACTTGTGTTTCTTCCGAATTAATTAATGAAGTAGAATTGCTCTTATAGGGTTTCATATACCATTACCTCCAAAAGAGTACATTAGAAGTATTAGAAAATACTGATATTTATAAACAGATATTTATCTTATGATACAAAGAGCTAGAGCTGTTTTATTTTCTGTAAAACTAAGAATAACTTCTTGATAACATAGCTTCACAAAAAGAAAACCCAACACATTTGCATAAATAATTCTCTGAAATAACTATGTGTTTGTAACTTTTTATATACATGAGGATATACATATACTTATACATCTATACATATATATGTAACATAAAGGATATTAACATTAGGACTGTTTAATGTCTATTTGTCTTGGAAAGAAAAATATACTTAAAAATATTTCTCAATTGGGATTTGTAATCGTACCGACTTAATTGATAAACTTGGCGACTGCTTTTATGCTCTGTCTCCTTCCATAAATTTTTAAAAATACTAATTCAACAAAGAAAAAGCTCTAATGTTCATTGGAAATAATTTATAGACTTTTTTAGAGCAGAGAAAAATTAAGAAAAACTTTGAAATGGTCTCAAAAAATTACTATTTTCAGTGGAAAACTAAATGTTAGTTTAACTGATTGTATGGGGTTTCTGAACCTTTCACTTTTTGTTTGTTTTACCTATTTCACAACTGTGTAAATTGCAAATAATTCCTGTCCATGAAAATACAAATTATCCAGTGTAGATATATTTCACTGTCACCCTATAGATATTGGCTAATTTTGCCTTTATTAAGCAAATTCATTTCAGCATGAATGTCTGCCTGTATATTCTCTGCTCTTTGTATTCTCCTTTGAACCAGTCAGAACATCCTGTGGTACTCTTATTTATTAATCAGTTAAATAAAATCATGAACATATATTCATTTTACATTTGTATGAGAACCATTAATTTTCTTTTCTTTAAAAAAATTAATTATCCTTTGACATTGGGTTGACATTTTCTTAAGACTTGCCATAAACAGAGGATATCAAGTTTCTCAAGGTCAGTTCTAGAGGAAAAAAAAATTCTTTATAAAAATTTAGCCTCATGTGTAACAGTTTCCATTCCCATAGCAATGACATTTGATATACATTGTATATATTAATCTGGGAATGATGTAAGATTCCAAGTATAATTTTATCAGTGAACTCAACTACTTGATTACTTTCACTTATTTAAATATCTAGTTCAATGTTGTCCAGTGGCATTGTGGATTTAGGTAATTTTACCAGGCAGCCGTTCAATTTCTGCACTTTCTGTTTGCCCATGCAGAACACAACACATTTTATAAGTCAAAGTATAGGCATCTGGTGGCATAATTTTAATTTGTTATCAAATAAAAGCCTCATCAAATTAGTCTAGAAAATAACTCATTATTTACTTTATTTTAGGACTGTATCACTATGTAATGAGATACAAATACATGTAAGCGTTAAGTGCCTAAGAGGCATCCAGAGAGCCTAAGATGTATGCAGTATGCCTAAGAGGAATGCAGAGAGCCTAAGATGTATGCAGTATGCCTAAGAGGAATGCAGAGAGCTTCATTTTCATTGTCAGCTGCTCAGTTGTTTCTCAGGAAATAAATGTGGCCAACTGACACCATTTAAGAGATATAAAGCAACAAGTTTAGAAAATTCTCATAAATGGGAGTGGCTAATGCATAGACAATAGCATTGACCTTTGATCCATGTATATATATATATTTAGATACATACCTCAAAAACATTTGGGTCAATTTAATTGTGAGTACTATAAACTACAAATGAAAGTAAAAAAGCAAATCTGTTGGTATTTTAGAAGAATGAAAGATTATTAACTCATGGCCTGTATGTATTTGGAATGAGAAGGACATACATAGCTTTCTTTGGATGGGGTGGAATTGAAATTGTGATTTACAGTGACTAAAACCTGACTGCTTTCACATTTTTTTTTCACTGTTGGGGGTGAAATTCTTGATTGATTCATGCATTGGGAACTTTTTTTTTTTTTTTTTGAGACGGAGTCTCGCTCTGTAGCCCAGGCTGGAGTGCAGTGTCAGGATCTCGGCTCACTGCAAACTCCACCTTCTGGGTTCACACCATCCTCCTGCCTCAGCCTCCCAAGTAGCTGGGACTACAGGCGGGCACCACCACGCCTGGCAAATTTTTTGTATTTTTAGTAGAGACGGGGTTTCACTGTGTTAGCCAGGATGGGCAGGATGGTCTCGACCTCCTGACCCTGTGATTCACCTGCCTTGGCCTTCCAAAGTGCTGGGATTGCAGGTGTGCACCCGCCTGAGCCACTGCGCCTGGCCGGGAGCTTTTGAATTAACTAAGGAAATTGACAAAATAGAGAATGACTCCTTATGTGACCTGCAGAAAATATTTTGTGTCATTCGTGGTACATTTATCATATTTTCTATAGGTTTGTACTATGTTACTTCACTTCTAAGAATTCGAAGTAGTTCAAAGCCAGCAGGGACTGGTATATTATAGCATATTTAACCTAAGCAACTCTAAAAGCTAACGAAACCAAGTATCTACAAACTTTAGCCATAGCTACCATCAACATGAAGAATGTAATAGGCAAAATGTTTTACATGCTGAATAAGCACTACTGAATTCTCTCTATATTTTTTGCAGTTTTAATTTAAAAGTATACTAGTTAGATATTTCATCTATACCCTGGTATAGTAATAAAAATTCAGATATTGCTCAACGAGGAAGCATATTTTCAAAGCAACAGACCTGAAAACTAGTATTTTATTTGATATTTTAAGTGCTTATTTCATTTTCTGGTTAAAGATGTTTGTGGAGGTAAAATTTAAAATAGATACTCTGTGTTCTTCTATTATATAACATTGAAATTAAATTTTTTATTAGTAAATGTAGAAAAGGTAAGTCTGAAGCATTGACTGAGAAAGATTTAGTAAATGGAGAATTTTGACTGTTAAACATCCTATTTTAACAAAAATATGCATAAAATATTCTTAGGATGATTTAATTAACCTTTTAATAAATACGAAAGACATTATGAAAAAAAGAATACATCACATTGCAGAATCAAAAGTAATAAAAATCACTCAAATTCTACTGCTCAGAAATGAAAATAATTGCTAAACATTAGGTGGCAGTATTTCAGACATTCCTATATAAATATACTTGAATGAGGCCCAGAGCAGTGGCTCACGCCTGTAATCCCAGCACTTTTGGAGGCCAGATAATGGCATGAACCCCGGAAGCGGAGCCTGCAGTGAGCGGAGATCACGCCACTGCACTCCATCCTGGGCGAAAGAGCAAGACTCCGTCTCAAAATAAAAATAAAAATAAATAAATAAATAAATAAATAAATACACGCATTCTTCATTTATAAAATACATTTAATATTTTTAAATAAATAAGTCAAAACAAAACGTTGATAAAATGACTATAGTTATTTGTGTGAATATATGCATGTGTGTTTGTACAGATGCATTAAGAAATCTTAATCCTCAAAATGATGAACATTTTAGAAGAAATATTAAGTATAATAGAGTTTGGGATCTGTATCTTTCTTTCTTTCTTTTTCTTTTTTTTTGAGACGGAGTCTCGCTCTGTCGCCCAGGCTGGAGTGCAGTGGCACGATGTCAGCTCAACTGCACGCTTCGCCTCTCAGGTTCATGCCATTCTCCTGCCTCAGCCTCCCGGGTAGCTGGGACTACAGGCGCCCGCCACCACGCCCTGCTGATTTTTCGTATTTTTAGTAGACACGGGGTTTCACCGTGTTAGCCAGGATGGTCTTGATCTCCTGACCTCGTGTTCCGCCCGCCTCGGCCTCCCAGAGTGCTGGGATTACAGGCTGAGCCACTGCGCCCTGCCCTGGGATCTGTATTTTTCTAAGTAGGTGATTCTGTATCTAATGAAAAATTATCACTTAAAATTTCAAAATGTTTTAGTTTGTTGTTATTATTATTATTTGTATTACTTTTAAAGCTGGGGTCTTCTTATGGTGCCCAGGCTAATCTTGTTAATATTTTTATATTATCATTGTATCTTAGGCAGCTCAAGCTGCCATAACAGAATACCAGAGACTGGTGTCTTCAACACACATTTGTTTCTCACAGTTTTGGAGGCTGGGAAATCCTCCACAAGGTTCGGGCAGATTCAGTCCCTGGTGAAAGCCCCCTTCCTAGACTACAGGCTCCTGCCTTCTGACAATGTCTTCACATGGCACAAAATAGAGAAAGACAGAGAGCTATGGTCTCACTTTCTCTTCCTATAAGAACACTAATCCCATCATGGAGATGCACATGATCTTAACCAGACAAATTTTTTTTGGATATTTTGAACTGATCAAATAACTCACATTGATTCAAAATATCACAGTTATTAAAACTCAGGCACAAAATCAAGTTAGTTCATCACTAATTGAGGCAGATAATTTTAAATCAAAATATAGCTACACAAAACATCATTTCCTAATTATCTTAGACTTTAAAAGTAGTTAGAGGAAGAGAAAGCTCATCTCTCTATTACAGTATTAATGGGTTTCCCATCCTAGGTGTCTTAATCTATTTAAACAGCTATAACAAAATACCATAAATTGGTGGATTATAGGCAATAGAAATTTGTTGTTCACAGTTCTAGAGGGCAGGAAGTCCTAGATCAAAGTGCCGTAAGAGTTGGTGAGGACCTGCTTCTTGATTCATGAATTGCCATCTCTTCCCTGCATCCTCACTTGGTGAAAGGGGCAAGAGTCTCTCCGGGGACTCTTTTATAAGTGCACTAATCCCATTCATGAGGGCTCTACCGTCATGATCTAATCCCCTCCCTCTAAGGTCCCACCTGCAAATATCATCATATGGGTGTTACATTTCAACAGCTGAATTTTGGGGGGCACTATCATTCAGTCTACAGCACTGTGAAATCCCTAATATCGAGTTTTCTTTTTAATTTTTGTTTTGTTTTGTTTTGAGACAGAGTCTCGCTTTCTCGCCCAGGCTGGAGTGCAGTGGTACGATGTCCGCTCACTGCAAGCTCTGCCTCCCGGGTTCACGCCATTCTCCTGCCTCAGCCTCCCGGGTAGCTGGGACTACTGGCGCCCGCCACTACGCCCGGCTAAAATTTTGTGTATTTTTAGTAGAGATCACCGCACCTGGCCCTTAGATGAATATTTGAATAAAAGTTGTATGTATGATGATAAAACAACAAGAAACTGAATTTTTGCAGAAAGTAAAAATAAAACTTGTCACTCTTTATATAGGCAAATCAGAGACTAGAGGTTTTAGAAAAGACATCAGTATGTTCCATATAAAGTATGTACTGGGACCCCGTCCGTCTTTTTCACCATATAATAACAGTGCTTTTAATAGTACCTGGGATGGCTGGGTGCAGTGGCTTACGCCGTAATCCTAGCACTTTGGAAGGCCGAGGAGGGAGGATCCTGAGGTCAGGAGATCAAAAACATCCTGGCTAATACGGTGAAACTCCGTCTCTACTAAAAATAACAAAAAAATTAGCCGGGCGTTGTGGCGGGCGCCTGTAGTCCCAGCTACTCTGGAGGCTGAGGCCGGAGAAAGGCGTGAACCCGGGAGGCGGAGCTTGCAGTGAGCGGACATCGTGCCACTGCACTCCAGCCAGGGCGACAGAGTGAGACTCCATCTCAAAAAAAAAAAAAAAAAAAGTACCTGGGACATGATATGAACTCAATGACTATTTATTGAATGAATTAATTGAACAAGTTTATGCAAGAAATTGACATAAAATTAAACATTGTCTTCTTATATCATATAGTGTCTACAAAAACTAAGTTGATACAGAACCTGTATTCTAACATGATTAAATTTGAGCCAAGTACATTTCTCTCTTAAGAATTTAGAAGTTTATAAAGAAATCAGGGCCTGGGAACTGAATCATTAATGGAAGATCTCAAAGGCAATATTCTTTTCATTGTAATTAATATTAAGTCGTTAAAGTAATAATAAATAACTAACATTTAGGTTCCTGAAAAAAATGATTAAATTGAACATCAAATAGTTTGCATTTATATCACACTGTACAATTTATATTTTTTATGCTGCTTTACTGTAAGATTTCATTGAACAAATGCATCTTATGATTTCAAGGTAAGGTATTGAAATATGCCTTTTAAAAATGTAATGCTGTATTAGTGATTTTAAAATATGTAAAAAAAATGTGTGGGAAATACTAGAAACGTTATTTGAAATTAGCCAGTTCTGGATTTGCTTATTTTTTTAATTTTATTTGCCAAACTGAGAACAATAGCCTTTACACATTTTCTATTTTTCTGGACTTGATTCTTAGGAACTTTAATTTTGCACTTTTGCATTCCTCTATAAATGTTAATGTTTTGGCCAATGACATTTCTCTAGATAAATTCAAAAGCTTAACCTAAGTAATGTAATGGTGGCATTTATGAAATTGACTCCTGGTTCTCTCTTTAAATTCTTTTTTATTGTTTATTTCTATGGCACCATTACACTATGCTATCACATTGTTCTTGTTTTATTCCCCATGTTTAAAAAGCTGTATATTCTTTGCTGAATCTTAAAGGTCACTTTGAAACCTGAAGACCATGACTGAAATACAGTGAAGATTAAAGATAAAAAGGAGAAAAAAGGTTAAATTATAAAACCTCTAATATCATTACTCATATATATGATACACACAGAGATGCATCACCTAGGTCCTCCCTGAGAGCTGTGTCAGTAGACAGGACTCAGCTGTGAGCCCCTTCAGACGTCACCTCAGCTGCAGAGCTTCCCCCTGCCTAAGGTCCTGAGGTTCCCAGTTGTGGCGCATATGCAACGACTGATTGAGGTGAGGCAAGGAGGCAGGTGAAAGAGGTGGGGAGGGGACTTGGGGCCTATAAAGACTCAGTCATGTCATTGCAATGTGAAAGGATGCCAGTGGGCCATTTTAACTTCAAAGTCCCCTGTGAGATGAGCCAAAGCTGTGGTCCAGGACTTCTTTTCAGCCCAGCTTTTTCCCTTTCCCTCAATCCAGCTTCCTTCTTCTCCTTTTCACAGGTAGTAATCCAAGGGCACTCCCTAGTATATATCTCCATGTCCAAATCTGCTTACTAGAGAACATTGTATCATGAATGATACCATTCTTCAAAAATATGGGGTACTTTGAGTGAAAGGAGTGAACGGTATGGAAGAACAGCTTTGGTAGAGTAATTAGAATAGAAGCTACTCTACATTGGGTTGATGCATGAATGGGATATTAGGAAGTAAAGTAGCAAATTGAAAACTCCTTTCAAAAGAAGAGAATTAGAAAAGGGTCAGCAAGATAGTAGTTGGGGCCTGGCTGTGATGGATCACGCCTGTAATCCCAGCACTTGGGGAGGCTAAGATGGGAGGATCACTTGAGGTCAGGATTTCAAGACCAGCCTGGTCAATGTAGCGAGACCCCACCTCTTTAAAAAAAAAATGTAGTTGGAAGCTAGAGAATAGCATAACAAAAAAGAGGGTGATTTTAGAAGATAAAAGGGCCCACTGGAGCTCTCTCACATTGGAATGAAATTCTGAAATTACCCTCTTTTTGGTTATGTCATTCTACCTCAATCATTTTGCCTCAATCATGTTTACAGGCAAAATAAGAGATAGAGAAGTGGGAAGGGCTGAAGGCAGAGATATGAGACACAATAACAAATGGGGAAAGATACAAGATATAATGGAAGGCATGAGCTAGATCAATTCTACAAGTGAAAAATTACATTAATTAAGAGGAAGGATCACTCATCACCCAATTATAGGTAAGTTTATAGGAGGGTGGGACTGGCTACATAATGGTAGGTGATACTTTATGTCCTTATTTTCATTAAAGAGAATATGTCATTTCCTGAAAATGAAAGATGTGGGTTTGAATAGAGAGTTGGCAAAATTTGGTATTTATTTGAAATTGGCATTTATTTGGGAAGATAATGTAGGGTAACTAATCCACTTAGATGATAGTTATTAACTATAAACTATGTACCAGGTACTTTGCTATAATATAAAGGCAATGGAAAAACCAAGATTCAATCTTGATTTGACATCCTTAACATTTACAGTGTCGTGGTGGAAACTATGTAAAGAATCCAGTGTGATAGAAGGTGGTAGATGTGGAAACAGGAGGTTTAGAAAAAGCTCCAGGACACACTGCTGATACATCTAACTCAGGATCAGGGCATTAAAGAAAGCATCACACTCTCCCTCAATCTCTCTATTCTGTCTCTTGATTGAATCATTTTAACAAAGTATCAAGATGGCCCTCAGCACTAAGGAGGAAGTGTTATTTGAAAGCATGTGTTTGAATAGTTGCATTTATCTAAACAGAATTTTTCACTCCTGTGTAGATTTGGCTTGGAATTGGTGTATTCTGGCATTCCATGTTGTAAAGCACTTGAGGTGCTTAAGAGATATTTGGTTGGCGGGGTGCAGTGGCTCACACCTGTAATACCAGCACTTTAGAAGGCCGAGGTGGTTGGATCACCTGAGGTCAGGAGTTCGAGACCAGCCTGGCCAACATGGTGAAACCCCGTCTCTACTAAAAATACACAACTTAGCTGGGCGTGTTGGCAGGTGCCTGTAATCCCAGCTACTCGGGAGGCTGAGGCGGGATAATTGCTTGAACCTGGGAGGCAGAGGTTGCAGTGAGCCAAGATTGCACCACTGCATTCCAGCCTAGGGAACAGAACAAGACTCTATCTCAAAAGAAAAAAATAAAAAAAGAAGGAGAGATATTTGGTAAATAACTGAGGCAAAGGTGGAAGAAAATAGTGTTCTGCAGGAGATCAAATAATGTGTGAAGAGAAAATAAAAATTTTAAAGAACTAAAAGAATCAGGTATTGAAGTCAAAGGTGAGAGGGCCACTGGAATTCAAAAATACAATGTGAATAACTACAGAAGATATCATCATTCCTGATGAGGCAATGAATGTGGGTGCCTAAATTAGAGTAGAAATACATGTTATTGAAGATAAGGAGATCAAAAGGTGTAAGGCCAGGGTGTTGAATGTATTTTGCACAAATGCGCTAACGTTACCCAGAGTGTTGGCAAGGGGAAAATCATCTGATGGCCTGTAGCCAGAGTTTTCCTTAAAAATGCAGATGTGTCCTCCTGGAAGATAGACATCTTTGAAAAAATGAAGGAAATTAGGGTCTCACGGCATGAATCTCATGGAGGTGATGAAGGACTGATTTGAGAGCAGCCATGCAGAGTTAGGACAATGCCAGCAACATCTGACCCATGTACATGAAGCTCCAGATAACTTAGGTGATTGCTTTAATGCAAAAGGCCACACAGTGTGAATTCCTGAGAGACTATTTATCTTTTATATTCCAGAGGTTGGAATGGAATAATTCACTCTTTTAAAAGGCTTGCTGGATATCCTCTATTTCAGGGCTCTCCAAACCCATACTAGTCCATAGCTGTTAGGAACTGGGCTCCACAGCAGGAGGTGAGTGGCGGCTGAGTGAGCGAAGCTTCATCTGTATTTACAGCTGCTCCTCATGGCTCGTGTTACCCCCTGAGCTCCTCCTCCTGTCAGATCAGCAGCAGCATTAGATTCTCATAGGAGCATGAACCCTATTGTGAACTAAGCATGCAAGGGATCTAGGTTGTGTGCTCCTTATGAGAATCTAATGACCGATGATCTGTCACTGTCTCCCATTGCCCCCAGGTGGGAACATCTAGTTGCAGGAAAACAAGCTCAGGGCTCCCAGGGATTCTACATTATGGTCAGTCGTATAACTATTTCATTATATGTTACAAAGTAATAATAATAGAAATAAAGTGCACAATAAATGTAATGGGCTTGAATCATTCTGAAACCATCCCCACCACCACCATGTCTGTGAAAAAAATTGTCTTCCACAAAACCAGTCCTTGATGCCAAAAAGGTTGGGGACCACTGCTCTATTTCTCTTCACTACTTAGAGAATCTGTTCTTCCACTCATGATCTACAAGGATTAAATGTTTCAAACAGTTCAAGTCTTCAAAATATGTATTTTGTAAACTTGAATTTTTAGAAATCATTCACAGTATCCATATTATATTTTATTTGCTGCAATGCCCTATACATTTCCCATATAATGCTCTTGAATATACTTTTACAACTTCAGTAACTTTACCCTTTACTGAATCTCAATCTGTCTCTCCATTTCTCTCTCTCAGCAAATCTAAACAAAAGAGAAACATGTCGACTTGTGCTATGGTCTAAATGTTTGTGTCTCTAAAATTCATGTGTTGAAACTTAATCTCCAATGCAATAGTATTAAGAGATGAAGGCTTTAGAATGTGACTGGCAGAGCCCTCATGAATGGGATTGGTGCCTTTATAAAAGAGGCCTCCAAAATCTCCCTAGCCCCTTCCACCAAGTAAGGAAGCACAGAAGTCACCATCTATGAAGTAGAGAGCAAGCTCTCGCCAGACACCAAATCTGCTGACACTTCAGTCTTAAACTCCCACCCTCCAGAACTGTGAGCAATAAATTTCTGTTTTATAGTTGTCTAAATTATCCTGTCTAAGGTGTTTTTTTATAGTAATGTGAATGGACTAAGACAACTTGAAAATGCAAGGTACCACACCAATAACAAGGAAAATACTCATGTTTTGTAACATTTATTTTATACCAAAGATACGCCAATTACTGTATACAAATATATGCCAAATGTTGGGTAAAATTCTTTACATAAATTATATTAATCCTGACAACAACCTGAAGGTAGATACTGTTGTCTGCATTTAAAGATGAGGACGTGGGGCTTGAATTAAGTAACTTAACTCACATCTCATCATGCTAAATGGCAAAGCTGGGATTCAAACCCTGCTCAGTCGGACTCCCATCAGGCTGCTCTTAGCCTGGTTATATTTTGAAGAAAAGAAGTTCAGAAACTTATCCATAGACATGGCCAGGTAGGGCCAGAGTCCAGACTCAACTGACTGTCAGCCAAGGCCAGCCTCAACTCTTCCATTTTACCTCCAGCCTGAACAGCTTAAACATTTTTTCTCTTGCCATCTTATTAGAGTACATAATGCCTATAATGATGGGATCCACATGATATAGCATGACAACACTCTGTTTTAAAAAAGGTGAAATGTAATTTTTTTTTTTTTAAATTTTAAGTTCTGGGATACATGTGCAGGACGTGCAGGTTTGTTACATAGGTAAACGTGTGTCATGGTGGTTTGCTACCCCTATCAACCTATCACCTAGGTTTTAAGGCCCCCATGCACTAGCTATTTATCCTGATGCTCTCCTTCCCCCCAACCCCCCAGTAGGTCCCAGTGTGTTTTGTTCCCCTCCCTGTGTGCTTGTGTTCTCATTATTCAGCTTCCACTTAGAAGTGAGAACATGCGGTGTTTGGTTTTCTGTTCCTGTGTTAGTTTGCTAAGGACAGTGGCTTCCAGCTCCATCTATGTCCCTGCAAAGGACATGATCTTGTTCCTTTCTATGACCGCATAGTATTCCATGGTGTATAGGTACCACATTTTCTTTTTCTAGTCTATCATTGATGGGCATTTGGGTTGATTCCCTGTCTGTGCTATTGTGAATAGTGAAGCAAAAAACAGACGCGATAGGAATGCTTTTACACTGTTGGTGGGAATGTAAATTAGTTCAACCATTGTGGAAGACAGTGTGGCAATTCCTAAAAGACCTAGAACCAGAATTGCCATTTCACCCAGCAATCTCATTCCTGGGTATATACTCATAGGAATATAAATCATTCTATTATAATGAAACATAATGTAAAAATACCTCGAGTGTATTTGTATTTTGGTAATATCTGAATAAGACATAAAATATAACGCACACATCTTTATATCGTTTTATCCATATCTCTCTTTCTTTAAATCCTTCTGGTTAAAATTTGTCATTGCCTCCTGACTATGTATTTATTTTTTCTTTTCTGGAAGAAAGCTCACCTAGGCCTTACTCAAATGCATGTTCTCAATCTTTACCTACCACCCCTCCTGCCTTTTTGTTCCAGTTTCCTCTTATCATTGTACTGATGTGGAGATAACGAAAGAGAATATCACTGTCAGCCACCAGCAGTGCCTTTTCAGAGAAGAGCAATGGGGAAGAAATTGAGCAGACAAAGCCAGAATCCCCATTAGCAAACAGAAAGAGGGAGCTCAGGATAACCACATACGTTAATAATTCTTGCCCCCCAAAGGGAAGCTCTGTAAAATAAGTTGTATTACATCCGTACATAGCAGTACTTTAAATATAACTCTAGCTTAAGTATTTTAAGCATCTCCATGATATGAACCTAAGGGAATAAACTCAATAAATCAATATTTATAAGCTCTGTTCACTTATTTCTTGTGGTTTCAGCCACTGATTTCAGAATATGCATGAAAAATACATTTCTTCTGAATATTTGATTTCATGATCCCAAGTAGACACATCTCTGTATTGGGTTTCAACAAGTCCACAGAAGTTAAATACCCACTTTTAGCCAGCTTTGATTTTCAGAAGTTTAATTCTGACATTTAGTGATATACAATATGTAAAACAACCTGGCACTATATCTGTCATATCATAAGTACTTGGCAAATATTTCAGTTTACTCTTTCTCATAATTGAATAATGGCTCAATAGTAAAACTCTGTAGGGAAAAATTTAACCTCTTATTTATCAGTTACAAATAGTTTAAGACAGATAATACCCCTTTCCTTGTTAGCTTTAATGATGAGTCATTAAAATTGTGAGCAATGTATTTATTTTGAGGAAACTATTTTTTACTAAGGATTTTTTTTTTTTTAGAATTTTATGAGTCTTCAAAATAACTAGAAAATCTTAAAGTGTTACCAAACAGAAGTGGACATTTAATAAACACCTCAACTTTAATACTTACAGAAAATCATTTGAAGGCTGTCACTCCTCTGGGTATTATAAATTTTAGCCTCGGTCAAATCAGATCACCAGGAGGCTACAAAGTTGAACTATATTGCCTTAGTTTCCAACAGAGTTTCTTTCCTTGAATTAAGTTTTGGGGCCATGACCTACTCCTTTTAATAAAAGAACAATACAACAAATAGTCATATGAAATCCATTTTGTTGCCTAATACAAAAATATTGTTGAAGAGTATCATAATTCAATGGCCCATATATATAAAATGTCTCAGCAAAGGCACTTATGTCATAATTCAGTACTAGGAAATGATTTCCTTCAGGCAAGCTCCCCCTTAATTTTTTTTTTTTTTTTTTGAGACAGAGTCTTGCTCTGTTGCCCAGGCTGGAGTGCAGTGGCACCACCCTGGCTCACTGCAAGCTCCACCACCTGGGTTCACGCCTTTGTCCTGCCTCAGTCTCCTGAGTAGCTGGGACTACAGGCTCCTGCCACCACGCCCGGCTAATTTTTTGTATTTTTAGTAGAGACAGGGTTTCACCGTGTAAGCCAGGATGGTCTCGATCTCCTGACCTCGTGATCCGCCCGCCTTGGCCTCCCAGAGTGCTGGGATTACAGGCATGAGTCACCGCACCCGGCCCCTCCCCATTAATTAAGGTGAGAAATACATAAATGATGATGGTAGTCATTGACGCACCAGTTACGAAAGAGTGAGGCTGGGTAACTGGATGACACCTGCACAGGGCTCTGAGGTCTCAAGGAAAATGACAGGTGTTTGTGTATTTCAAAAATGTGGACATGATGGCATGAGGCCCAGTGAAGAAGGGGTAGATTATGAATGGTGTTATCCTGAACATAAGGAGACTGAGATAGTGTAGTTTTAAAAATGGCAGCATGAAAAAAGGTGAATGCTAACCCCACCCCACCTTACGGTAAGTGTCTGAAAAATAATCTTTCCAGGTACTACTAGTAGGTATTCTTAAAGGACAGAGGCAGCTTTCTGTTTGAGTAGGAAGGTATTGGAAGCAGTATATGAAGGAATAAAAATATAAAAGAGAGAAATATTGGAGCAAGAGTGGGAAGTATGGTTAAAGATAAAGAAATGGCAGAGCACTTTAGGGAAATATGGTGTGAGACAGAAAAGAGGCATTTTTGAGTGATGAAAATACTAATCATGGCTAACACTTACATAGCATTTATCGTATGTCAAGCATTTACGTGTATTAACTGTTATGATGCTCACATTAACCCCAGGAGGTCAGGCCTATCACTTTACAGGAAGTTTAAGCAACTTCTGAAATATTAACAATTCTTCTGAATTGCTTCTCTGGTGACAGGAATAAGAGTCGCAGTAGCATCAACTTGCTAAAAAGTTTAAAATGGTGCTCAGAATAAAGGTATTTTACTGCTTTTTGAGACTCATTGTAAAATGGCTTGAAATGTCTTTGCCCTGAATCTCTGCCAGTGGGAAATTGGATGAGTTGCTAAAGAATGTGGAATTAATTATCCAAAAACACTTTAGATATTTCTCTTTGTATAGGGTATTGTAAGTGGTCTTTAGCTAATTATAATTTAATATCTCACTTGTCTCTCTCATACATAGGTATATATGATATATACACATGTGTATGTGTACAATTCAATACATCTATGTGTCTATGTAGCTACCTATGTATGCATGTATGTATGTATGTATCTGCCTATCTATTAATCTATCTCTATGTATCTACCTACCTATCTATATCTGTGTCTATCAACTTCAGGAATGCTTGGCATTCTTCTAACATCTGCGGGGTATTTAGGGATTAGGCTATGATGATAGATTTCCAGCTTCATTTCTTTTTAAAATCTTTTATTCTTCTTGCTCATTTTCCTTTTCCTGTCCCTAAAGGACAGTTTCTCCTCAGTTTAGGACTTCTTCCTTTTGCTCTCTTATCATTTGCAGACTTTCCGTTCTCAGCCAGAACCTCCCTTTTGTGCACTGTACAACCTGTTGACACTGTCACAGTTGCCACTTGATCATTGCAGATAAAGGAGGAAGTAGCAATTCTGGAATGGGTGGCTTATCTCTTGGCTTTATAACTGGATATCTTCATCTGCTATTCAGTCACTCTTTTTTATTATGGAGACATGTTTTCTGGGAAAATGCTACCATGAAGCAGGACCAATCTCCAGTTCAAGGTACCTCTTGATTTGTTCATTCCAAAGCATCCCCTGTTAGGAATTAGGGCTCAGATCATGGGGTCATCTATTCTGTAAGTAAAAGGCTGACAAAAAGTCTGTTACTTCACTGCTTTTTACATTAGGGTAATATTAACAATGGAAATCCAGTTCATTCAATAAAACAAGTGTCGATGAAGAGTCAAACTCGGTAAAATATTTTAAGAGACTTATTCTGAGCCAAATATGAGTGACCATGGCACATGACACAGCCCTAAGGAGATCCTGAGAACACGTGCCCAAGGTGGTCAGGGTGCAGGTCAGTTTTATACATTTTAGGGAGACATGAGACATCAATCAAATACATTTAAGAAACACATTGGTTTGGTTCAGAAAGGCGGGACAATTCAAAGCAGGGGTGGGGGGTGCTTTCAGGCTATAGGTAAATTTAAACATTTTCCAATTGATAATTGGTTGAGTTTGTCTAAAAACCTGGGATCAAAGGAAAGGATATGTCCAGGTTAAGCTAAAAGATTGTGGATACCAAGGTTCTTCTGAAGTCTTATAGTGGCTGCTCTTAGAGATAATAGATGACAAATATTTCCTATTCAGACCTTAAAAGGTGCTAGACTTCTACTAATTTCTTCAGGATTGGGAGGGCTTGGAAGAAAAAGATCTAGTTATGTCAATAGAGATTCTTTACAGATGCATATGTCCCCCAACAAAGGGCAGCTTTGCAGGACCATTTCAAAATATGACAAAGAAACTTGCTTTTGGGGTAAAATTTTTTTTACTTTCTTCTTTGTCACATAATGTTATGCCAGAGTCAGATTGCAAAGTAAGCCATGATATATAGGGTTAAATAAAATCCATCTGATGAGAATTTATGGTTAGTAGGGGATGACTCCCCAGACCCCTTAGATAAGAATTTGGGCAAAATAAAAAAATCAGAGCTTAGTCTTCACAAGTTATTGAAAAACAATGAGCTACCAATTTTATTTATTTATATTCTTTCAGTGGTCTTCAACAGGTGGCTCATGAATTCAGATATTTGACAATTTTAATGTGAAATAAATTTAAGATATTTCAACAACAATCATATAGGAAAATATAGATAAATAAGAAACTATAAAAATTATACTTTCAAACCTTTCCCTCTCTAAGACACATGGTTTACCTGATCTCACACAGATATTGAACATACAATTTAATTTTTAAAATTAATTTTTCTCACTTTAGAAAACTGGCATCTTGAGGCCGGGCACAGTGGCTCATGCCTGTAATCCCAGCACTCTGGGAGGCCGAGGCAGGCGGATCACGAGATCAGGAGATCAAGACCATTCCTGGCTAACACGTTGAAACCCCGTCTCTACTAAAAATACAAAAAATGAGCCAGGCGTGGCGGTGGGTGCCTGTAGTCCCAGCTACTAGGGAGGCTGAGGCAGGAGAATGGCGTGAACCCAGGAGGCGGAGCTTGCAGTGAGCGGAGATCGTGCTACTGCACTTCAGCCTGGGCAACAGAGCGAGATTCTGTCTCAAAAAAAAAAAAAAAAAAGAGGAAAAGAAAATTGGCATCTTGAAACAAAAGAAAGTGTCTGCTTTCCCCTTAAAGAATCATAAAGAAATATAATCAATTAGACTCAGCCTAGAATTTAAAGCTTAATCAATTTTATTGATTGGCTTCAAGAATTTTATTGAAATGTCATATATTTATAAATTAAGACTAAGATGATACATATACTATCTACTGATTTTAAAATACAACAAATCATTTAACTAAATAAAATTAAAGATTGTAGTCTTTTAAACTTACCAACCAGAAATAATAATAAGCCAGTGAAATAAAAGATGTTCCAATAGAGAAATCCTTTGTCATTATATGACATACATTTTAATATGTTACACAGATAATCTGTGTATTTAAAATTTAATGATAAAAATTATTTGCAACATTTAACTGAAAAATTTTTATTCAGAATTTATCTTGAGACTTGCCATGTATTAATATAATTAATGTACCTTATAAGTAAATATTGATTATATTAAATTTTTAGAATTGGGTCGAATGTGTATCTCCTCTCCTCTGATAACTTAGTTCATTCTATGAAATGGTGCTAGAGACTAAGAAATACAGAGGTTCTGTTATCAAGTGTCATGAACATCAAGTGCCTTTTTCTCCACTAATGTTAGAATGCCTCTCCAATTATCCTCTTTAGTAAACTGTGAGCTGAAAATAGTGAAGTCTGATATTGCAAACAATGTCTCCAGTATAAAGCTTGCTTGAGATGAGAATCTTTTCTAAGAACATTTTTCTTGTCACATAAAGTATGTCACACGGTGGCATATTCCAACTTAAAGTTAACGTGTACTAATATAAAGGCCTCAGCGGAATGTATTAAGTGGATTTCTTTTGGCATTGGGTAAAGGAATCTTTCAAGGATTCTGTGGATATACAAACAAGAAACAAATTTCAAAAGAAGCATATGCACAAAATTTTTATAACCGGTTAGAATCATGATCTGGACTAAACACAAACAAGTGAACCAAAGTACAATACAATACAAAGCAAAAATTAAAAATAAACAGGAAATTTAATTCTATACGATGCAGAAACTATGTGCCAATACTCAGTGTAAACATACACTATTAGGAGGAAGTTGCTGCCACACAAGCAGATGACAAAGTTTAAGCAAAGCTGAAGAAGTTAGGTAGTGGCGTGCGGAGGGATCACTTTGATTATTGGCGTAGTTCCTACCCTCCTATTATTCTGGTTACCATACATTAGTGAGGTGTCTCCAATGGGTTTCGAGGGTTACAAATACCTTCCTGCATATTAGTCTACCTTCCTTAGAACTTCTTAAGATGGGCCATTGTCTCATGATACTCAATAATTCAGGAAAATCAATAATTGGGATTAAAATAAACCAATTAATTACATACTTCTTTATCTCAGTGTGACATAAACATACATTTTCAGACAAGTTTTCATTACTGGGCAACTATGGTATCTACCCAATGTTGTGGCCAAAGTTGGAATATTCACAGTTCCCCCATACTTATGCCCTCCGTGTTTTGGTTTTCCAGATACATGCTGTTGCTTGTACTTCAAATACACTTTCCCTATATCTCTGTCAATTCACGTCTTTCTCAAAAAGAACAGAGAAGTCAAATGGCTCCTCTACTAAACCTCTAAACATATATGATTTCTCCTGTCTTGACATTTTTACCAATTCCTATTCTCATTATAAGCTATGGTATCCAACTTGCACTTCTCTTCCTCTAACACCCCTGGCTTTCTTACCCCATTGTCTACATAGCTCAACTTCTTGCAAGTTGTCCATTCTTGCTCTCTCCTCTGTCTACAGCGATTTGCCTTCTGCTCCCACTGTTCACAAAACTTCTGTCCTCCATGTATTCATTTACAATGTTTTAGCCTTGGGCTGACCATACACCAGCTGTTCACAAAATTTATGTTGAACTGAATGACACTCGAATCAATAAATAAAGGAAAAAAGGGGAACAGAAGGGGAAGCAAACAACATCCTTCTTCACATGATGGCAGAAGGAGAAATACAGAGCAAAGAGAGAAAAGACCCATATAAAACCATCAGATCTCACGAGAACTCACTATCACGAGAGCAGCAGCATGGGGGTAACAGCCCCCATGATTCAGTTACCTCCCACTGGGTCCCTCCCACGACACATGGGGATTATGGTAACTACAATTCAAGATGCGATTAGGGTGGGGACACAGCCAAACTAGATCAGTGCTACAACTGACTTCACTGTAAATGAGTTTACAATGGGTAACTCCATATTATCTGAACCAAACAGCATAGAGAGACCTCAAGAAGAGTAAAGAAATCTTTGTCTCATGTACATGGTATACCATCAATAATGAAACTGAGGAAGATTCACGGAGGGAAGTCATCACGCTGCAGCAGGCAATTATATCTAAACCAGTGAGATATGAACAGTGCAAAGAAGAACTAGAACAAAGATACTGTCTGGCATAGAAAGTCCAGTATTAAAGACACAGAAGGCCCTACATTTGTCCAGTAAAGCCATGCTTGATTAATGCCTTGGAAACCCTGGAGACTGGATCAGAAATCTGTATATAAAATGGTTCTTCCTGGATAAAGTTGAGAGAAAAAGAAAGCTTATTGTGTTCAAGTAGAAACTGGGATAAGCTGTGGGCCATCTGGCTTTTCTGTTGCAAAAACCAGGGCTTAAATCTACATCTTTCTATAGTCATGAATGAGCAAACTGATTTTGAACAATCATCTAACAACGAAATATTTAGGATTCAAAAAGAATGTACTTATGAAAAGAATGTAACACAAGAAACTGAAAATTAGAAAATTTCCCCTTTTTACACTAAAAAAGACAGAAGAGCCATGACTTTTTAAAAAACTGGAGCAGTAAGCTTGTAGTGGGAAAAGTGATGGTGAGAAGTGCAGGCATAGAAAGGAAGCAGGTTTAAGTAAGATGAGAAAACACAAGGAAATCCAAAATCCCAAATAAAATAATTTTGCCTTAAATTTTATTATGTTTAATAGTAGACTGCTGTTTTCTTTTGTCAATTGCTGTCAGATAAGTTTTGCTCTTTTGATTTATTTTAAAAGAAACATTAACTCTTGGTTGGGCATGGTGGTTCATGCCTGTAATCCCAGCACTTTGGGAGGCCGAGGTGGGCAGATCGCTTGAGGCCAGGAATTCAAGACCAGCCTGGCCAACATAGAGAAACCCTGTCTACTGCAAAATAAAAAAAATTAGTCGGCTGTGGTGGCACATGCCTGTAATCCCAACTACTCGGGAGGCTGAGGCACAAGAATCACTTGAGCGTGGGAGGTGGGGGTTGCAATGACATCACCACAGTCTGGGCAACAGGGGGAGACTCTGTCTCAAAAAAAAAAAAAAAATTAGTGGCCGGGCATGGTGGCTCACGCCTGTAATCTCAGCACTTTGGGAGGCTGAAATGGGTGGATCACAAGGTCAGGAGTTCAAGACCAGCCTGGCCAATATGGTGAAACCCCCTCACTACTAAAAATACAAAAATTAGCTGGGCATGGTGGCAAATGCCTGTAGTCCCAGCTACTTGGGAAACTGAGGCAGAAGACTCGCTCGAACCCAGGAGATGGAGGTTGCAGTGAGCCGAGATCGCACCACTGCACTCTAGCCTGGGCACAGAGAGAGAGCCCGTCTCAAAAAAAATAATAATAATAAAAATAAAATTAGCAAAAAATTAGCCAAAAATTCATTAAAAATAAATATCCATATATTTATATATACATTTTATTCATTAATAAAATCATTTTATTAATTCAATAAAATGAATTCATTATATATAATGAATGAATAAAATGTATTTTTCAATTAGGGATTTAAAAGGAGCATTGGATAAATTAAAAAATTTTTTGTCTTTTCTTTTGAAAAAATAAATTTAATGATGTATTTTTGGACTTTGATTAAAAATAATTCAATTTTATCTGTAAGCATAAATATTAGAAATACTCAGAGAAATTTAGCAGAAGGATAAGCATCATTTTGTAATGACAATAATTAAGTAGGGCTGCATAAGTGGAAGAATGGACATATAAATGCCTTTTTTTTTTTTTTTTGAAACGGAGTCTTCGCTCTGTCGCCCAGGCTGGAGTGCAGAGGTGCTATCTATGCTCACTGTAAGCTCCGCCTCCCGGGTTCACCTCATTCTTCTGCCTCAGCCTCCGGACTGGCTGGTACTACAGGTGCCCACCGGCTGATTTTTTGTATTTTTTTAGTAGAGATGGGATTTCACAGTGTTACCCAGGATGGTCTCAATCTCCTGACCTCGTGATCCGCCCGCGTCGGCCTCCAAAATTGCTGGGATTACAGGCGTGAGCCACCGCGCCTAGCCAGATTTTTTTTTTTTCCAGAGGCTCCCTCTGTAGCCCAAGCTGGAGTGTAGTGGCGCGATCTCGGCTCACTGCAGCCTCCGCCTCCCGGGTTCAAGCAATTCTCCTGCCTCAGCCTCCTAAGTAGTTGGGACTACAGGCACGCACCACTACGCCCGTCTAATTTTTGTATTTTTAATAGAGACAGGGTTTCACCATGTTGGCCTAGGATGGTCTTGATCTGACTTCGTCATCTGCCCGCCTCTGCCTCTCAAAGTGCTGGGATTACAGGCACGAGCCACCGCAGCCGGCCGACAGATTTTATTTCATCTGTAAAGTTCTATAATGTCATTCACAATAAAATAAAAAGATATTATGCAAACCAAACAAAATTTTGCCAGATATGTGATACACTATACATAGAAAATAATTGCATATCAGTAAGAAAATAACTATAAATAGATAAAATCCATGAATAGTAACAAAAGTATAGGATATTAGAGAAAAAGTATTTGACAGAATGAAAGAAAAAAATGGTTGTTTTAGGATAAGTGGTCTGAGATGCATTCATGTGTTACTTCATTAGCTTGTATGTATTTAATATATTCTATATGTGTTCAACAATTGATGCAGATTCAAAAACAAAAAAATGTTCGTTTAGTAAGGAGATACACAACAACAAAAATTTCCTATAAAAGTGGATTACAATAATGAAAGTATCTAGAAATCTAATTTTAAAAAGTGGTACTCATTATCTGGGATCATCTGGGAAGAACTCATTTAATAGACCATTTGAGTAGACACTTGAGGATGAAGATAAATTTTCAGGCAGATTAATAACAATGGGGAGAGTTTTCAAGGCAGAGGAGATGACTTTTATAAAACGAGGAAAGCATGAAGTTTATGTAGCTTGAAAAGTGTGTTGTATTCAGGTAGTAATGCACTGACTCCATCACTCTTGCATTTTGTTTGTTTGTTTTGAGGCGGAGTCTCGCCCTGTCGCCCAGGCTGGAGGGCAGTGGCGCGATCTCGGCTCACTGCAAGCTCCGCCTTCCGGGTTCACGCCATTCTCCTGCCTCAGCCTCCAGAGTAGCTGGGACTACAGGCGCCCGCCACCATGCCTGGCTAATTTTTTCGTATTTTTCTTAGTAGAGACGGGGTTTCACCGTGTTAGCCAGGATGGTCTTGATCTCCTGACTTCGTGATCTGCCCGCCTCGGCCTTCCAAAGTGCTGGGATTACAGGCGTGAGCCCCCGCGCCCAGCCACACTCTTGCATTTTTTATTGGAGGCTCTGAGGAAAGGTCTGCTTCCACGTTTGTTCAGATTGTTAGCCACACTTAGTTCCTTGAGTAGGTATTATTGCAGTCCCCATTTCCTTGCTGGCCGTCAGCTGGGACCAGCCTTTCCTCCTAGACTGTCCCTGTTCCTTATGCTTTTTTCATGGGCCTTTCCAGCAGCACGAACATTTCAAATATCTCTGCCTTTCCCTCCTGCCCAGTCTCTCAGAAATCAACTGCACATGGTCTCAGCTTTTAAGGGCTCATAGTGATTAGATTGGACTCATATACGGTCCTCATTTTAATATTCATAATTCTAACTGCAAAGTCTCTTTTGTCAGGTAATACAGCATATTCAGGTCTCAAGGATTAAAGTGTGAGCATCTTTGGGGGTTTTTATTCTGCTTACAACATTTACCTAGAGTATAAATTCAAGACATAAGGCAGAATCTTATGAGAAAAAGAAAGTACTATTTTGAACATACCTGTGGCAATCCTAAATGGGAATTAGATTCAGATTTGGCAGTTCTGGATAAAAGTGAAGGCTGAAGAAATAATTTGGTAGTCATCATGTTATACATTTTGTAAATGAAGCCACTATTATATATGAGAGGGTTAGCATTCACCCAGGGAGACTTCAAGTCAGTTTACAAAGTTAATATTCTATGGCATGTTCAATAGTAGCACCACCTTTTATTCAATTGGATAGTAGCCTGGGGTGAAGATTAAAAAGAAAGAAATATAACTATCTCTATATGGAGATGCCATGAGGTATAAAGAATTTGTATATAGATATATATGGAGAAATATTTATGCATACAGGAAATCCTAAGGAATCCACACACGCACGCACACATGCACACATTAAGATGATAAAGCTGTGATTTTTTAGGCATAACTTTGTAGTAAGATGTTACATCAGGAACAGGAAACTACTATAGCAAAGCACCCAGAACAGTCTAAATAGTCTTGAAACAGAAAATTTTCTACCAAACTATATTAATTCGGTGTTGCATTAGCATAAAGATAGACATATAAATTTAATGAAATAATATTGAGCATTAATCAATAAACCTTATATTTATGAGCAATTGATTTTTAAAAGGATGCCAAGAAAATTCAAAGGGGAAATAGTAGTCTTGTCAACAAATAGTGTTGGGACAACTGTACATATGCATGCAAACAAACGAAGTTGGATTCTGACCTTACCTTACACACAAAGTTGATCAAAACCTAAATGTAAGACCTAGAAGTAAAAAACTCATAGAAGAAAACATAAGCAAAATCTTCATGACCTTAGATTAAACAATAGTTTCTTAGATATAGCACCAAATTACAAGCAACAAAAGAAAAAAAAGGGGGCTATATTATGCTTAATTAAAACTAAATTTTTTCTTTAAAAGAAAAAGCCAAGGAAGGGAAAAGACAACCTACAGAATGGGAGAACAATTTTGCAAATCATACATCTTCTAAAAGACTTGTATTCAGAATATGTATCTTACAACTCAATAATAAAAAAACATATAACCTATTTTTAAAATGGAGAAATGATTTGAGTAGAAAATTCTCCAAAAAAGATACACAATAGGCAAGAAGCACATGAAAAGATACTCAACATTATTGGTCATTTGAGAAATGCAAATCAAAACCACCAGGAGATACCATTTCATACTATGATCAAAAAGAAAATAACAAGTATGTTTGAGAATGTGGAAACAATCCCACATAAATCGCTGGTGGGAACGCAAAACGATGCAGCCATGGTAGGAACAATTTTGCAGTTGCACTTTGGGAGGCCAAGGCGGGAGGATCACCTGAGGTCAGGAGTTTGAGTCCAGCCTGGCCAACACAGTGAAAACCCATCTCTACTAAAAATACAAAAATTACCCGGGCGTGGTGGCAGGCACCTGTAATTCCAGCTACTTATGAGGCTGAGGCAGGAGAATTGCTCGAACCTAGGAGGCGGAGGTTGCAGTGAGCTGAGACCACGCCACTGCACTCCAGCCTGGGCGACAGAGTGAGACTCTGTCTCAGAAAAAAAAAGAAAAAGAAAGAAAGAAAAGAAAAAAAAGTTAAACAGTGTTATCAAATGACTGGACAATTCTACTCCTTAGGAATATCTCCCAAAGAATGAAAAACATGTCTACAAAGAACCTGGACACAAATGTTTATAGCAACATTATTTGTAATGGCCATAAAGACAGTGCAAATGTCCATCAATTGATGAATGGATAATCAAAAAGTGGTATATCCATACAATGGAATATAATTTAGCCATAAAAGGAATGAACTACTGATACATGATACATGTATGAATCATGAAAACATTAAGTGAAAAATGCCAGACACAAAATGTCACATATTCTATAATTCTACTTATATGAAATGCCCAGAAAAAGCAAATCTATAGAGACAGAAGGTAGATCAGTGATTGCCAGGGGCTAGAGAGAAGAGCAAACAAGGACTGGCTAATAAGAGACACAGGATTTTTTTGTTGTTGTTCAGTGATGAAATTATTCTGGAATTTGCAGTGATTATACCATAACCTTCTGAATATACTAATCACTGAGTTGCATCCTTGTTAAGGACAAATATTATGGTGTATGAATTATATATTAATTTTAAAAAGTACAGTAAATTAAAAACAAATTGTGTTTCAATAATAAAATATTATTTTAATATCACAAAATCAATTATTGTAATTCACTATATTAACAATATGGAAGAAAATCTCATCTCAACAGATGCAGAATATATTTTTTAATATGCAAACAACAATGAAATGTATTTAATCTGGTGAAAGATAATCATAAAATCTTACAAAAATATTATAATTAATAAGGAAATATGGAAAGCTTTCCTTATGGGATCAGAAACAAAATTCCCTATTCAGTTCAATAAGAAAAAAAAAGTAAGAATTAGCAAGAAAGAAATACACAGGTCATTATTTGCTAAGGACATTATTGTATATGTAGAATATCTAAGATAAAATATTAGAACGAATAACTAAATATAGCTATCAGGATCACTGGTTACAATATGAGCACATAAAAGTCTATTTTATTTCCTTACACTACCAATAACCAATTACAGAATAAAATTTTATAAATATACCATTTAGAATCAATATTTTGTTAACTTCATAAATTAACTGGAAAGTTTTTCTTTTGAAATATATTTTCAAAAATTGAAGAATTCTTCAAGTCAGTTAAATGGTTTTAAATATTTCTGGCCTGCAACAACAAGGTTAAATCTGCATGTGATAATGGATCTCCCTACTGATACTAGAACTATCCCATTACTGAAAACCATTTTTAGATATAAATGGCAGGCACTTAAGAATGACTTCATTTCCTGTGGTGTTCCTTTAAAACAATTTTCCAAAACAGGCAAATCTTGCTCTCTCTCTCTTTCTCTTTAAAAAGTAACACAGGCTTATTTTTAAAGTTGCAATCAAAACAGACAGGTAAAAAGTAGAAAATTAAAATGACCCATCAGGCTTGTCTTAAAATTAACTACTGATAATATTTTGGTATATGTCCTCATATGTTTTAACGTATTTTTTCAGGTTTGTTCTATCAAAACCTAATTTACCAAAATCTGAGCAAATCATCCACTTCCTTTTCTAATATCCTTTTATACTGTGTGTTTATACATGTGGTTATGAATATATGTTCACAAGTGAGGGTATATATACACATACACACATACATGTGTGAGATAGAGACATAGGCAGAGGCAGACAGAAAGGCAGAGAATAGCTAGGAAAGTTGAGCTCAATTTAATATTGTAATTATAATATGCATGCTATTTTAAAATTGCTTTCATTTCTGAATTTAGACAGCATATAGAACTTGATAAATACAGTAATTAGAAATCCGAGAGTTATTTGCATACTTACACATCTGAAGTATCTTCCTATGTACAGATAAACATTAACCACAATTATCTACACATGTTGCTTGAATTTTTTCCTCCAGCTGTCATGTTAAAGCCATGATTGACACTTGTTTGCATACGATTTGAGAATTTAATATTTGGTTGAAATTCTCTGATCCTAAAACATACTGCTTGGAAATACACATTTTGTTTTCATACACATGGGATGTTGCACGCATACCGAAATTAAAGAATTACAATTAGTTGGTACCCAGCTTGCATCCTTAAGCAATCTTTGTAAATACTATTTTTCTTATTAATGCTGCTTTCTGTTCTCATTAAGTTTCAACAGAGTACTCTCAGTAATTTAAAACATATTGTTCCTTCAGTTAAATAGGCAATTTCCCTCTCAACAAATGCCTGGACCTTAAAGTAAGGTGTGGAAATGGACAAAATAGTCCCAAATATTTTAACCAGCAATATAAACTTTTGCAATGCTTTTATAGGATGTTTAAAATAACAAGAAAGACTTGGTTCTCGTGATTTTCACCAACGGTGGTTACAAACAGTCTTCTTCTTTACTATGTTTGAATGGCATATTTCACTTCACATATCCTTTACTTGCTGCCAGAGCCTTAATATTGCTAGGGGGAAAAGCTTACCTAGCTCCGTGTTTGTAAATGTCAGCTAGCCAAAAGATATTTGGAAACCTATAAATGTTCGCCTTTCTAACATTTGCTTAAAGCTATCTGGAATTAACGTTCTCCTCTTTCCTCTTCTCTCACCTCAAGAAAAAAAAATCTGTATACAGAAGTTGACACAAAATATATTAAATAAAGCTGTTATTCAGCCCTCTTGCATTCAAGCAAGAATTACCCATGTATGTAAAACAGAAGAAAATGTCTTGATAGTATTCTGTACCCGTGCTGTCAAACTACCCTTTGATATGTCTGCAATTTTCTCAGTAAAACACATTTTGTTTATTTTGGATTAAGAGCAAGCTCTTGCATGTCTACCAGGATTTATTAGCCTGGTAAAGAGCAGCACTACACAGAAACAACGAATATAATGTGCTCTTTGCTATGGTTTTAAGTTCCCCTTCAAACTCATGTGAAATGTAATTGCCATTGAAACAGTATTGAGAGGTGGGGGCTTTAAGAAGTCATGCAGGCTGTTGTCGTTTTTTTTTTTTTTCCAGGTTTTTTCTATCAAAACCTAATTTAACAACATCTGAGCAAATCATCCACTTCCTTTCCTAATATCCTCATTTTCACTACTCTCTCCTTCAGCCGCAATGATCCATTCCATCATCTAACATTAATTTAGTAAAGATTTACTAAATCCCTTCTCTGTACAAATCATTTTATAGGATCTGAGTAAAGATACAGTGATTAGCATATGGCAGCCCTTGTCCTTTGACATGGCAAGAACAACTTTTCCTATTTTCAAGAGCTTGAGTATTCTGTCACTAATAGATCTAAAACTATCCAAGTTTACCTGGCCAACTTTTTCCCTTAAACTTCTGCCTCCCTTTTACAAAACTTCAAAAAAAAGAATTCCAAATTTAATCATGCTGTTAAAACAGATTTTCACATCATCCCGTAGTTACATAAAGGGCAGTCTCCTTAGCTCATACTTAAAATCATATCTTTTCAACCCTTGAGTATTGTTACCATTACCTCAAACGATCATATAGCTACTGTCTTTCAGGTTATTCACAATACAATAATTTGAATATGCAAAAACACCACAGAATTTAAATGAAAAGTAACTAACGCACCCTACTCCCCTCAAAAATCAATTAATAAAATTTGTAATTTCAACAAATATTTTTGAATATTTACAAATCAGAAACAAAAATGGCTAACTGGAAACACAAAACAGATAAAAGATTTGGTAAATTAACCCAACATGCAATTTTGAAAAATGTAAATTTAATTTTTACTTAATAAGTGATTTCTCAAAAAGTAACATTAATAAAGGGCATTGTCAGAAATTTTGAGTCTTTTAGGAGTGAAAACATCTGTTTGAACTAAAACTAGGAGACACAGAATGATGAGAACATATGAAGTTTTAGCTAAATATCCATGAATTACAAGGTTATTCTCTGTTGGTTTGGAGTACTCATTTACACACTAATACTCAGCTTTAGGAATTTAGGGCTCATTAACTTTGCTAAACATGGAATTTAGCGTTTTTTTTAAAACTACTTATTTCTTCACTATTTTTATATCCAAGTATACTCTTCTCATTACTCACAAAGGACAAATCTTCACCAAGCCCCTGCCCCTACAGTCAGGATAGTAATTTCATTCAAGCATCCCTTGAAAGCAATTATTTATGCTCGCTGCAGAAATTAGGGTAAATTTGTTGTGGTCCCATTTATTTTCTGGAGATTGGCGATTACATGTAAAATAATTTGAACGCTTGATAGATAGACTCATAAATATTTGGTTAATACAAGTAAAGCAGGGGGAGGCCAGGCGTGGTGGCTCACGCCTGTAATCCCAGCACTTTGGGAGGCCAAAGTGGGTGGATCACAAGGTCAGGAGACCGAGACCATCTTGGCTTACACGGTGAAACCCCGTTTCTACTAAAAATACAAAAAATATTAGCAGGGCGTGGTGGTGGGTGCCTGTAGTCCCAGCAACTTGGGAGGCTGAGGCAGGAGAATGGCTTGAACCAGGGAGGCGGAGCTTGCAGTGAGCTGAGATTGTGCCACTGCACTCCAGCCTGGGGAACAGAGCGGGACTCCGTCTCAAAAAAAAAAAAAAAAAAAATGGAGCGGGGGGGGCCGGGCGCGGTGGCTCAAGCCTGTAATCCCAGCACTTTGGGAGGCCGAAGCAGGCAGATCACGAAGTCAGGAAATCGAGACCATCCTGGCTAACATGGTGAAACCCCGTCTCTACTAAAAATACAAAAAATTAGCTGGGTGTGGTGGCGGGCGCCTGTAGTCCCAGTTACTGCGGGAGGCTGAGGCAGGAGAATGGCGTGAACCCAGGAGGCAGAGATTGCAGTGAGCTGAGATAGCCCCGCTGCACTCCAGCCTGGGCAACAAAAGGAGACTCTGTCTAAAAAAAAAAAAAAAAAAGTAGTTACTTTCTTCTTCATCCCTTTCAGTGTGGCCACTATTTATAATGCAGTTTGGTTCATTAGTGTTTGTATTCCAAAAACACCCTCAGCCTTCCTATCCTAGTTTTAATGAATTATTAGGGTGAAACATAATAAGAGTTGGAGAGTCGGAGCTATACAGAAAGGTCTACTCAGAGGTGCTTTGTTCCCTCCTGTTCTGTTCCCACCACTCCTACTTTCCACTACTTTTTCCACTGACCCTGTGAGCATCATATTTATTGTTAATGGCAGTTACATTTTTACCAAGTGCTTACTATCTGTAGGCACTTGGTGTGTATTGCTTCTTCTGGTGTTCACAGCAACCTCTTGAGGTAGGCACTATTATTATCCACCACCCCCCGCCCCGTTTTTTGAGACAGAGTCTCACTCTGTTGCCCAGGCTGGAGTGCAGTGGTGCGATCTCAGCTCACTGCAACCTCTGCCTCCCAGGTTCAAGCAATTCTCCTGCCTCCGCTTCCCAAGTAGCTGCAAGTACAGGTGCGAGCCACCACACCCATCTAATTTTTGTATTTTTAGCAGGCATGGGGTTTTGCCATGTTGGCCAGGCTGGTCTCAAACTCCTGACCTCAGGTGATCCCCATTTTTTAGATGAGAAAGCAGAGTCCCAGAGAGCATAAGGAGCTTGTCCAGAGTGGCATCTCTGATGCATAACCAGTACTCAAACCAGTATTTTTCTGACACCAAGACCTGTGTGTAAACTGTAAAAGGGCTGTTTGGTACCTGCTTTCCTAAAGTTGTCTGATCCCTTCTCAGTCCAGGTCTTCCTGAAGCTTGGCACTTCTGAAGTCACCTTTCTGAAAACATTCTGGTAACTGTTAGATCCCTTGTTGTAGCTATTCATATGTTCTGTGTGGTTAAACAAGGTTCACAGTGGGCCACCTGGCCTTTGGAACTTGGCTGAAGAGGCTGCCTTCAGTTCATCCTCCCCACCCCCATTTTCAAAACATGGGTTTCCATGTGTTCGTTGTAAATTAGGAAACATAACCATGTTTTGAGGCTTCATAGAAAACAAACGTCTGGGGTCACACAGGTTAAAGGAGGAACCAAATTCAGCACTATCACTGTTCTATTCGGCAGGCAATTCTGGGGCCTTCCTGTGTCTCAGGTTCTGTACTAGTTGTTTCAGGACTTTGGGATAAACACAAACTATCCCTGCCCTCAGGGGGATTAAGGTCAGGTGTACAAATGACTCTAATGCGAGGCAAGGCTGGATTCAGTGCTGGAAGAGGAGGGCATACCTAACACTACGGGA
Source organism: Homo sapiens (assembly GCF_000001405.40). Taxonomy (NCBI): domain Eukaryota; kingdom Metazoa; phylum Chordata; class Mammalia; order Primates; family Hominidae; genus Homo; species Homo sapiens. Next base: position 4,624,692 of record NW_011332701.1, read on the forward strand.
ATTCAAAGAGGAAATGATCAGAATGAGGAGGGAGAGATGGGTCATTCCGGGAGAAGCTTCAGGGAAAGGCAACATTTGAAATGAGACTTTGGAGAGTGAGGGAGGTTTGGGCAGATGGATAGAGAGGATGCAAGGCCAGGGGAAAGGTTTGAGCCAGAAAGTCAGCTTGGGCAAGTGCATGGGTAAAAAAAGAAAATCCACTTTGGGAGGCCGAGGCAGGTGGATCGCCGGAAGTCAGGAGTTGGAGACTAGCCTGGCCCACATGGTGAAACCCTGTCTCTCCTAAAAATACAGAAATTAGCTGGGCATGATGCTGGGCACCTGTAATTCCAGCTACTCGGGAGGCTGAGGCAGGAGAATCACTTGAACCCAGGAGGCAGAGATTGCAGTGAGCTGAGATCACACCACTGCACTCCAGCCTGGGCAACAAGAATAAAACTTCATCAAAAAAAAAAAAAAAGAAAGAAAGAAAATCACAAGGCAGTGTGGGGAATGGTGAGTAATCTAATTTGGTTGTTGCAGAGAGGATGTAGAAGGAAGTGACAAGAGAGAAAGCCAGACAGGTGGCTTGGGGTCATCTTAAGGGCCTTTGTGCCAGTTAGGATGTTCCAGACTTCAGTCAGGCTGCCCAGCTCAGACTGGCTCAGACAATGAGGGGGTTTATTGGCCGTGTAATTGGGAAGTCCAGAGGCTCTAGGACTACAGAAAATTATTATTTAGTATTAGTTTGACAGCAACACCTTCTGTTTTCTGGGAGCAGGAGATGCTTGTCAAGCTGTAGGTCACTGAGTTGAATATTATCCTGCTTTATTAAATTGCCAAGGGCACGGTAATTGTTGAGAGGGGAGAAGTACACATGAAAGAAAACATGACCAGCTTAGAAATGTCAAATGATTATGACGTTGTTATAAAGTATTATAATTCTTTGAGCGTCTACTATAAGTAGAGAAACTTGAGTTCCAGGTTGTGGGCTTGGTTCCGCCAACAATCAGGAACGTGGTTTTGCATGAAGCCCTTCTTTCTTCTATAATCTTCAGTGTCCTCACCTGCAAAATGAGGCCTTTATATATATATATATATATATATATATTTTTTTTTTTTTTTTTTTTTTTTTTTTTGAGACGGAGTCTCGCTCTGTCACCCAGGCTGAAGTTCAGTGGTACAATCTCTGTTCACTGCAAACTCCCTCTCCTGGGTTCACACCATTCTCCTGCCTCAGCCTCCCGAGTAGCTGGGACCACAGGCACCTGCCACCACGCCCAGCTAATTTTTTGTGTTTTTAGTAGAGATGGGGTTTCACCGTGTTAGCCAGGATGGTCTCGATCTCCTGATCTCGTGATCTGCCCGCCTCAGCCTCCCAAAGTCCTAGGATTACAGGTGTGAGCCACCACGCCCGGCTAAGGCCTTTATTATACTATGGTTCCTACTGTTTTTTAAAATACTTTTATTAAGTCCAACATTTTTATTAAGAACATTGCTTTTATACATGCCTATTTATGAAAGGGGTTTTCGAGTGTTTACCACTTTTTATTAGAAATAGAGACAGTAAGAATGTTTGACTTAATTGACACAGGCATAATTGAATGGGTATAAATGGCATGCCATAGAAAGAGAAAATTAAGTTGAGCTACTCTGTTGGTTTCACTGATGAGGGGATACATCATTCAAACAGCCAGGAATTAAATCCGTCCAGCTCACAAATGGGGAAACCAGCTGTGTCTGTACCCATGGCCAGCCAGACTGAACACAAATCAGGAAAGTCAGTAACTTTTCCTCAGTTCTGAGGGACTTCAGTGGCTGCGGTTCATTTTCCTTTTGCTTCTGAAACAGTGCAAGTTGATGCTCGCCTGGACAGAGCGGCAGTGAGTGGTGGCGTCTGAAGGCCAGGTCTCTGTTGAGATGACAACACGTCGTCTCCCAGTGCCCAATGCATAGAAAAGATACACTACTAAGTGTGAGATGCTCAGTGAAAAATAAAATCTGGGGTTGAATCATCATGGGGGATACTGCATACTCTGTTTCCCCCCTGCAGATTTCCAATGCTCATTAGTTTATAGAGACTCTGAGAATTCCTACAGCAAAGGCACCTGCCGAGGTACTTACAAACTAGTTTAGCTAAACCAGACTTTCAACAATTGGTTACTAAAGACCACTCAAAGTCTGTCAACACTCTGTCATCTCTATGTAATGATAGAAACATAGAAATTCAGGGTAAATGTTTAGAAATTTCTATAGAAACTTGACATTCTCCCAGCATGTGACATCAGGGGACTTGTCTCAATGAGCAGTTACAGACCAACTCAGGTTTTGTCAGACTCGATGGAAAGATGCAGAGGCTGTGAGCTGCAAACGAGTCACATACACAAGGACCACATTGCAAGCTGCGTTCTTTAAGGTTAGTTTGTCAACTATAGTATAATCTCACACATCTGAAAAATGGGAACATCTATTCTATAAAGTCTTATTTTTGCAATATTAATTTTAAATCAAGCCAATGTTAGCATTATTAGTGAAAACAAAAGAAAGTTGTATTATTTATTATTAAACCTAATTTGAGAGTGAAATAAATTGTATTAATTTTTTTAACCAATAAAAGATGCACCTTGTAAACCAAGAGATGATTATGAAAGTGATTCTGAGGACATGAAGACCAAAGGAGTTTGTCCTCGTTTTACTCAGAAGTACTATTTCTAATGGACAGATGATCCCTGACATACAATGGTTTGACTTATAATTTTTTGACTTTATGATGGTGTGAAAGTGATACGCATTCAGCAGAAACCATACTTCAGTATTCAATAAATTACATGAGATATTCAACACTTTAAAGTGGGTTTGTGAGAGAGAATTTTTGCCCAATGGAAGGTGAATGTAAATTTTCTGAGAATGTTTAAGGTAAGCTAGGCTAAGCTATGATGTTAGCTTAGGTGTATTAAATGCATTTTAATTTAATTTAATTTAATTTTATGTTTTGAGACAGTGTGTTTTGTTCTTGTCACCCAGGCTGGAGTGCAATGGCATGATCTCGGCTCACTGCGACCTCTGCCTCTTGGGTTCAAGCGATTTTCTTGCCTCAGCCTTCGCAGTAGCTGGGATTACAGGTGCGCACCAACATGCCTGGCTAATTTTTGTATTTTTAGTAGAGACAGCGTTTCACCATGTTGGCCAGGCTGGTCTCTAACTCCTGACCTCAGGTGATCCACCCGCCTCAGCCTCCCAAAGAGTTGGGATTACAGGCTGAGCCACTGCACCCGGCCTTAAATGCATTTTCGGCTTATATTTTCAACTGATGATGAGCTATAACTCCTTTGTGAGTTGAGGATCATCTGTCTTGAATTTGGTTTTACAGGCATAACTGAAGGTGAAAGGACAGAATCACCGTGTGTTACTGGCACAGATGCATCGGCTAGTGAAGAAAGAAGACATTCAAACTGTAAGTTGCATTCACGTGGGAAGCACAAAGAATTAAATTCAAAACAATGAAACATTAGAGAAAAGCATGGAGTTAAAACACAACAGAATCAGATGTTTACTATTTCTCATTTTAACACTAGTGCTTTGCGGGCTTCTAATAAAGTTGTACTCCAGGAGGCTAAGACTGAAAAGTGACACTAGTGAAAAGTAGCATTGAAATAGTTCCTAGAAAAGTTGGGTGAATGTGGGGCAAAGATGCTACTAAACTTTAATTTTCCATCGACACACAAATTCAAAGTTTTCCAGAACTGGCAAGTAAAATGGAAGATCCACTCACAGGACACATGCAGTGTGTGAGGGGAATGCTTTTCAGCACTTCTTGATGGATGCACAAATAATGCCAACGTGGTAAATGTCTTTGGTAAATGTGCAATGGAATGTAGTGGTTGTGTGAAGGAAGAATTTTGTTTTCTGCTTCATTTTTGATAAACACAAGCAGCTCTGGACTGTGTGAAACCATGGAGCACTGCACAGTTAACAGAGGTGGTTTGGAGTTTTTTAGCTTTGCATAAGAGGATGTTCTGATGCAGAATCTACAGTGACAGGAAACCATTCTGGACAAGTTACAGAATTAAGGGGCTTGTGCCGGGATGGAAATAAATCAATGACTTCTGTCTTTGAGAAGGTTTTTCTCTGCTCCTCTGTGATGGTTAATTTTTTTTTTTTTTTTTTTTTTTGAGATGGAGTCTCGCTCTGTCCCCCAGGCTGGAGTGCAGTGGCGCCATCTCGGCTCACTGCAAGCTCTGCCTCCCGGGTTCATGCCATTCTCCTGCCTCAGCCTCCCAAGTAGCTGGGAGTACAGGTGCCTGCGGCTAATTTTGTGTATTTTTAGTAGAGCCAGGTTTCACCATGTTGGCCAGGATGGTCTCGATCTCCTGACCTTGTGATCCACCCGCCTTGGCCTCCCAAAGTGCTGGGATTACAGGCATGAGCCACCATGCCCCACCTTTTTTTCCTTTTCTTTTTTTTTTTCTTTCTTTCTTTCTTTTTTTTTTTTTTTTGTTAGTCCTTCCCTCCAGTGTCGTGGAGATAATTGGAAAATATTTTAGAGCAAAAAAGTTTATTTCTCCTTCTTGTTGTTAGCAAAGAAATTTATTTTTCCTTCTTGTTATTTATTGGCCTTGGAGACATACACCAAATAGCTCATTCTACTTCTGAAATTTTGTTTTGATTTCCCTGGCCCTCCCGACGAAGTATTTCAGATTAGCAGGGAGTCAAGCATTGTCTGTCTGTCTGTGAATAAAATATTTCAGGCTGCTTTTGCATAATATACATGCTCTTGCCTTTAAGAGTCACACTCACATCTTCTGGTTTTGTAAGACACCAGGTAGAGAAGAAAACAATGTTTCTGAATTCTGCTTTATCAGCCCAGTAGAGAACTCCTCCCTTCCCTGAACTGAGGGCCACATCTAAGGGGTTGAAACAGGGCCAGTTACATTCTATGTTCCCAACATAATTGTCCATGCACGGATCCGATCAAGTTAAATGAGAAATAGGATATTTATTCTAAAAACAAGTTATTGCTACAATAATAATAATATTATAGTAATATTATTATTCTAATAATGATATTAGAATAAAAACTGGTTATTAAAGTACTAAACAGTTGAAAATCTAAATGTCTCACAAGGTCAACTATAGCAAGTATATAAGATTTCATATTAGTCGCACGTCAAAAATTATATCCATAAAAGTAATGACATATGAAAACAGTTTATTGATACAGATATAACAAATATAACTAAACTGTGCTGAAATGTATTTTAAAATAAAATATGCCAAAATATTATTGATGATGACTTTGGATGATGGTATTACCACTAAGGTTTCAAATTTAATTTGCCTCTTACTTCTGAGTACTTTTATAAATTTTTAAATAATAAAATTAGTGTGTTAAAAAATATCAAGTGATATCTAGAAATCAGAAAAAGGCATATTGCCAGAGGAGGACCGAGTTAGTAGATTTGAGGCTCCATTAAGTTTTGTTTATGATCAAAAAACAAACAAAAACCAGGCAACAGTGGCAAAAAATATCTCACTTCCTTCCTGGAAAAGTAAATGAGACTACAAAGAATTTCCAAACTTAAAAACTATACATTTCAAGTCTGTTCATAACTAGTGAAGTCACAGTTTCTGAAAACAATGATAAAATTTTAATTGATATTTAATTCATATTTTTTGTTTAAAAAACTATCAGTATTGGAAGATAAATTTCATGGGAAAAGCATTGAATCATTAAGTTTTGCAGTCACAAAGGTAAATATAATTTGCTTAATGCTGCCCTCAGTTTACAATGAGTCTTTAGTATTTTCTAAGCTATGAGTTCACCAAAATATCGGATTGTTTTGCTGTATATAATTTGCTCAGTGATCAAACACTAAGGAGTTACCTATGTTAAGATGTGAATAATAAATTTATGCAAAATTTATGAAAGTGTACATTGTAAAGACAATAAAACTTTCCATTAAATTGGTGGGAAAGGAGCTCAAAACCTAGCTGGGTGATTCATTATTTTAATGACTTCCTGCTTTACTGCAAAACCTCTCTCTTCATTCGGTGTTGGTAGTTTGAACCCCTGTTAAGGATATAGGCTCACAATGAAGCTTCTATAAATTTCTGGACCTCTGTCATGCTGGCATGTGTGTCATTCTCCTTTAGGAATGATGAGGAGACTGGAAAGCGGTTGCTCCAAGGGAAGGGATAATTTTGCAAACCTGAGCTGTCTAAGCTCAGCATGAATTGGAGTGGGCTGCTGACTCAGGCTAGCAGAGGCAGCCAGGAAACATGCAAATCTGCAATCCGTTCTGCCAGGTCTGTCGCAGCAGGTGTCACTAAAGGCACCCCTGTGTGCTTGTCACTGTGGCAGCCTTGACAAGGAAGGTGGAAAGGAAAAAGAGACCCAGTGCTGAACTCCAAGCAGAGATGGGGCTTTTCTCTATGCATATTTTCCCTCCCCTCCCAGCCTGCATTTCCAATAACATATTGATTTATATTTGTATTATGAAACAAAAGTGGTTGTAATCAGATGTTCTTTCCTTTTACACACAATGTTAGCTCCTATTTACATTCCTAACTGAACAATGTCTAAAGAGGTATTTAAACTGATGTAAAACGCAGATAATCTCATGACCAAATGCTTAGCGCAAGAAAAAACTTCAATTTGCAAGAGAAGTCCCTCCAAATACAGAAAGGACCAGTATTGTAAGAGGTACCTTAACTAAAATGTAGCAATGTAAGGCGCAGAGCAGGAAGAACTTTTAAGTCTGAAACTTACAACAAGTCAATTTCATAGTCAGTTTCCCTGGGCCTTCCACAACAGCCTCCGGCACCTGTTTTCTCTACAATGGAGGTAACAATAGTAGCTATTTCAGAGTAGGAAATGGCTTAGAGCAGTGCTAGAATATGGTCGTGGCTATATAAAGTTTAGCTATTTGTATATTGTAAGAAACCTACGATGTGTTCTTTTATCGGTAGTCAGTAATGGATTTCTTGTGGGAAAGTAGCAGCCTCCTATGGGGGGAACACCCGCAGGTCCCACTAAGTGAACACTGGTGTCTGCTAACCTTTGCCTCTATTTGTCGCAATAATATACTGTCAAGCTGTTCCTTGAGTTAGCAATTTTATTTACATTCTTTTTCTTTTTTTTTTCCTTTCCCTTTTCCTGCCACAGAGTCCCGCTCTGTCGCCCAGTCTGGAGTGCAGCAGCGCCATCATAGCTCACTGCCACCTAGAAGCCGGGGTGAAGCAATCCTCCTCCATCAGCCTTCAGAGTAGCTGGGACTACCTGCGCGGCCCACCACAGCCGGCTAATCTTTGTGGTTTTTCTTTTGTTTTCCGTTCTGGGTTTCCGTCGGGCGCAGTGGCTCAGGCCTGCAATCCCAGCACTTTGGAAGGCAGAGGTGGGCGGATCACCCGAGGTCGGAGACCAGCCTGACCAACATGAAGAAATCCCGTCTCTACTAAAAAAAAGAAAAAAACTACAAAATTAGCCGGATATGGTGGCTCATGCCTGTAATCCCAGCTACTAGGGAGGCCCAGGCAGGAGAATCACCTAAATCCGGGAGGCCGAGGTTGCGGTGGGCAAAGATCACACCATTGCACTCCAGCCTGGACAACAAGGGTGAAACTCCGTCTCAAAACAGAGACCGGGTTTCACCATGTTGCCCAGGCGGTCTGGAACTCCTAGGCTCAAGCGATCTGCCACACTCGGCCTTCCAAAGTCCTGGGATCACAAGGGGGAGGCACCACGCCAGGCAGATCTATTCCTTTCTGGTTACTAAATTGGACCGGGGGCGCGGTGGCTCACGCCTGCAATCCCAGCACCCAGGGAGGCGGAGGCGGGCGTATCACTCGAGGTCAGGAGCTCGAGATCAGCCTGACCAACACGGAGAAACCCCGTCTGTACCAAAAAAATAAAACCAAAATTAGCTGGCATGGTGGCTCATGCCTGCAATCCCAGACACTCAGGAGGCTGAGGCAGGAGAACCACCTAAACCCGGGAGGTGGAGGCCGCGGTGAGTCGAGACCACGCCACTGCACTCCAGCCTGCAAAACGAGCGAAACTCCACTCAAAAAAAAAAAAAAAAAAGACAGTGTTTCACCACGTTGCCCAGGCCGGTCTGGAAGTCCTAGGCTCAATCGATCGCCGCGCTCGGCCGTCCACAGTACTGGGATCACAAGCATGAGCTACCACGCCAGGCCGATCTATTCCTTTCTGGTTACTAAATTGGACCGGGGGCACGGTGGCTCACGCCTGCAATCCCAGCACCCAGGGAGGCGGAGGCGGGTGGATCACCCGAGGTCAGGAGCTTGAGATCAGCCCGACCAACACGGAGAAACCCCGTCTGTACAAAAAAAAAACACCAAAATTAGCTGGCATGGTGGCTCATGCCTGCAATCCCAGCCACTCAGGAGGCTTAGGCAGGAGAACCACCTAACCGGGAGGTGGAGGCCGCGGTGAGTCGAGACCGGAAAACACTCTAGCCTGGAAAACGAGCGAAACTCCACTCAAAAAAAAAAAAAAAAAAAAAAAAAAAAGACCGTGTTTCACCATGTCGTCCAGGCTGGTCTGGAACTCCTAGAACATGTAGATGTTACCTCATTTGGAAAAAGCAGATTTTCAGGTATGATTAAGTTAAGGATCTTGAAGAGAGATTATCCTGGATTGTCTCCGTGGGCATTAAATCCTGGCACATATATCCTTATAAGAGGGAGATAAAGGAGATTTAACTTCAGACAGAAGAGAAGGAGGCCCTGTGACCAAGAAGGCAGAGCCTGGAGTGGTGGAGCTGCAAGCCAATGAATGCCAGCAGCCATCAGAAGCTGCGCAAGTCAAAGGATGGATTTTCCCCTCAGCCTCTGAGAGCACTGGCTCTGCTGAGACCTAGATTTCAGCCCAGTGATACTGATTTTGGACTTCTGATATCCAAAACTGTGAGAAAATAAATTTCTGTTGTTTTAAGTCACCACATTTTTGGTAATTTGCTCTAACAGCCACAGGAAAGTAACATACATGCCTACCTGGGTCCAGTTGTGTCCTGTGACTCCTGCTTTCCTGGGACAGGCAGGCTGCTCCGTGCCTCCTGGCCATCCTACTGGGTGCTGGACGCTGTAGGCTGCTCCATGCCTGTTGGCCATTCCCTTTGGTGCTGGACAGCACTCACATTGTGAAATCCACTGGCCCTGTGAAAAACACCTGGAAATGTTACCAGGAGAGGGGTTAGTTCTCTTTTTGGCAACCCATGTTATTGCTTATGGCTTAATATCTGTGCCTCCAAGATCCCTTCTCTCTGCCTTCATCGATGCCAGGAAAGCAGTCAGTCACCTTTTGCCTTTCTTTGCTTCTCAGCAAGTGGCATGTCTCCATGTCACTTTAAGCATCAAGCACACGGAGCCCAATAAGATGCTGAAAAGTGTCTGCCTACAAGGTTACAAGGCGGTGGAGACATTCTGAGCCGGTAACTGCAGGGCTCAGTAAAACCGCTACAGGAAATCTCAAGTTCAAAATGCTGAAGTGAAAAATGGGTGATCACAACGAAGGGAAACACAAACCCCTTCTTTTAAAAACATTATGGTGATAAGGCACAACATAAAATTTACCATATTAGCCACTTGTAAGTATACAGTGCAGTAGTGTTAAAAATATACATGTTGAGTAACAAGTTTCTAGAACTTGCTTCTCTTGGAGAACTGAAACTATAGCCACTATACAACAACTCCCCATTTCTCTATCCCCTGGCTTATGGAAACAACCGCTCTATTTTCTGTTTCTATGAGTTTGACTAATTTCGAACCTAATGTAAGAGAAATTGTACAGCATTTGTCTTTGTGTGATGGGCTGATTTCAATTAGTGTAATGTTTTCAAGGTTCATCTATATTGCAGCATGTGACAGGGCTTCTTTCTTTTTTAAGGCTGATAATTTTATAGTATTCCGTTGCATGGATAGACCACATTTATTCATTTATTTATTTATTTATTTATTTACTTATTTATTTATTGAGACAATCTCACTCTGTTGCCCAGGCTGGAGTGCGGTGGCATGATCATGGCTCACTGCAGTCTGAATCTCACATTCTCAAGCGATCCTGCCGCCTCAGCCTCCTGAGTAGCTGGGACTACAGGCACATGACACCATGCCTGGATATTCGTCTTTCTGTGTAACTGGTTGAGAAACAGGGGAGTAACAGTGAAGAAACGGTCTTAGAATAAATCTGGTGACAGCAGAAGAGAATATGAGACAGATTGTGCTCACAGAGCCTTGAAGAGTGTGACAGTATTTGAGGGCCACGCTGTTGTCTTAGAGTGAAGTGAGGAGAACCTGCACTGGTTTGGTAGTCATGGGAATGGAAGGAGGAAAGAAATGTGAAAGCTCATCGGTGGCAGAGTCAAAATGGCTTGGTCTTTGTAGTCAACGATTAAGTGAGAAGGAGGAATTACTGGCTGACTTAGAAGAAGTAAAAAACGTGAAATACCGATAAAACACAAATCTCGTGATTTTAGTCAGCGTAAAGACTAAGCATTGTGTGATTCTAGATATATTATTAAGCAGTTTTGTTCCAGTATTTTATATCCCATATCTTCTAGCTATGACCCTATTTCTTTGTTTCTTGACATAGACAAACATTTTTTAAACTAAGAGCTTTATTGTGATACAGTTTTTGTATGATAAGCCTCACCCTTCAAGTGTACAGTTCAGTGGTTTTTAGTATATTCAGAGTTATGCAGCCATTACCACTCCCTAATTTCAGAACATTTTCATCTCCCCAAAAAGAACCCCGTACCCACTAGCAGTCACTCCCTGTACCTCTCTCCCCCACCATTGATCCTGGCAACCTCTGATCTAACTTCTATCTCTGTAGATTTGCCTATCCTGGGCATTTCATATAAATAGAATCATACAACAGTGGCATTTTGTGACTGATTTTTCTTTACAGTGATTATAAATCAAATGCCTGAAGACGCTAAGCTTAGGATAGTGTTTGCTGTACAACTTTGATAACTGAACTTTTGTAAAGCTGAAAATGTGACTGTGTCTGTATATGTGGCATATTATCCTTAGATGATCCTTACTTCGATTATTAAGAATTTTTTCCCCTAGTAATCTTCAACTGTCTCAATATTCAGCAGGAACCCCTTGGAGACAAAGATCAGTACGAATTTGGAACACCTATTGACAAAATGAATGTAATTTAATTTAGTACAGTAGTAAAGTCAACCACTTTTAGGTGTTGATGCTGCTGAAAGTGTATATTAAGGAAAAACTTACTTACCTTACTTTTTGTGGAGGTGCTAGAACTACTTCTGTCTTGTGTTTAGATTTCAAGAAACCTTTGCATGGGCATTATGTGGTTGCACAAATGTACTTCGTTTTGACCTGAAAATGCAAAAACTTCCTTTCTTCCCACTTTCTGAGACTCTGCAACCTTAAAGGAAGAGTGGGGTTCTTTAAAGGAAAGGTGGTGGTGGTTGGGTCATGGGTAACAATGTCTACTGTGTACTTCCTTTCCCAAAACAAGTCCCTGTCTACCGTCAGCATTTCCAAAATTTGAAGGTCAAGTGTGGTGTTAACTCATGAACTAATGACTAGACTTTGAGCGGTTGTGGAAGCAAAATCTCAGTGAGTGCCTGGATGTTCTAATTCTGTTAAGTCAGTGAGTGCATATTCTGTACAATACTCTCTTAGCCCAGTGGTAGGTTTAAGGAGTGGGAGAGAGATTTCTGTGTTTCGGAAATCAGATACACAAAGAATAAAAATTTTTAATCCCATGAATCTTTGCCCGAGTTTAATTTCTTGGAGAGTTTTTCTTTTAGATTTTCTTTCCCTTCCATTAAACTTTTACTTAGAAAGGTCCCAGGGTTTGGGCAAAGCAAGTGGGAAAGACACTTGCTTGGGTTCTCCAGGATAAGGGATTGAAGAGGACTTCTTTCCCTCATTTTATTATTGAATAATGTCACAATATCAATTATTAAGGTGAATAGTCTACAGTGGAAGTGTTTAGATGCCTTGTCTGCAAAATAATTTGGTTTAGTCAACCCAAGGATGCCTTTGGTTAGCTGGAATGGGAGATGTGCATGTTAGAGTGGTCTTGGCAAGTCTTCCAGGGGGAAATACAGCATTTGGAAGGGTAGGAAGCAGAAGGAATCTCAGGCAAGGGAAAGGCGTGGGCAGAGCCCCGGAGGACAGAACAGGTTGTGGTGGACTTGGTGTCCACATAGACCTAATTAGTGGTCTCAGCTTTTGTGTTTTCAAAATTACCACAGTTTGTGTTCTAAAACTGTCATTCTCTTGATTTTATTTTAGACATACTATCTGTGTATTTTGAAATTTAAAATAACGGTAAAGGAGAAACGAATTTATTTTGTTTGAGAAAGAGTTAAAAGGTTAAAACATCTTGATCTTAATAATTTTCTAATGGGAGATTTGGTACACCCCCAGAAGTTGTCTTTGGTTCAGAGAATAGTCTTCAGATCTAGAAAGGACTTGAGAAGTCCCAGAGAGGTGCTGCATGGTCTGAACCATTTGATTCTCACGACAGAATGGATAAAAGCAATTTGAACCAGGAAACCATGCAGATGTTCATATTTTGGATAGGGTAAGGTCAGTGCCGTCGTCAGAGGAAAAACTCTCGGCCATCACAGGATGGGAGAGAAAGTTTGAGTTGTGAAGAATACTCAAATGCCGTTTAAGGAAACGGGTTCTTCTGCACCTATTCTTTGGAATATTTAGGGCTAAGTTCTTAGTTTTTGACATCATAAAAATGTCAAAGTATTCTGTTCTAAGAGCCATTTCAAACAACTGACTAGAATTTCAGAGCAATTACATGAGAGTAATACCATTAAAATGTTTAAATTACCCATAGTCCTATATCCCTAACAAGTATGTTCACGCTTGCATGTCCTCTTCTCATCTTTACTGTGTGCATACTTAGTAATGGCACGTAGACATTGTTTAAGCAGGAATAATTCTCGAGATAATTTTGTATGTTTCCTTTTTTCTTTTTAAGGTAGGTATTGGGTGGAGGAGCATTATATTTGCAACTTCTCGCAAAACACGTGATTATTTTCTTATAATATTCAATTTTCACCCTCAATACAGTGTTTTGATTATGTAAGTTAGACAGAAAGTAGAAGGTTCTCTTAGAGAAATTTTAGTGTTTTTTTTCATAGCTCCTACTTTCAAGAATGAAAAAGGTAAACCAGTAAAATGACACTGTACTTGGTGCTGCATCTATGCTGGGATAGGCATTAAGAGTGACCTTTATTTAAGGTTCTAATTTGCTCATGTTGGGCACTTAGAACGTCAGTTTGTTGCTTTTTGTGAGATTTTGGAAATGGTCCAATTTTACTTTTTCCCCTTGACTCCAGACTTTTTAACACTGATCTGCTGCTGTTGAGGCATATGCCGTTTTGTTAGGCCTCCTCAAGTGGGAATCAGGAATGCTGCTGTGTTCCAGAGAGGTTTTGTTCTTCCTGTAGGGCTGAAGCAGTGCCTACTCAATAGAACCAGTCATCGTGCAAAGACATGCCACCTGACTCAAAGGCAAAGCCAGAGTGCAGCTTGGAGCAAAGAAGGTATTTTATTAAGAATTTTCCATAAACCATAAGATATATTTTATATTACTTTGCGAGCCTTCTTCCTGTCTTGACTTAATTCTTTTTGAGAGAATTCATTTCATTTTCATTTGGTTGGTTTTCTTCTTGTTACAAAGATGATCTATAGAAAATATAGAAGTATAAGAAAATTAAAGATACTAACTGATAATTGCTTAATGATTTAGTATCTGCTTGTTTAGTCTTTGTTATATTTACAGTAGGCAAACATGTCTACCGTTGTGAATTTATTACTGGTATGTATACCCTAGTAAGTTAAAAGTTGTACGTACTTTGAAGTTTTGCAAAATTGAGTTCATATTATAGAATTAATTCCTGATGAACTTTTATGTGCTAGGCACTGGTCTTTTTATTTAATTATTTATTTTTACTTTTTTTTCCTCTGTGCCTATGCTTACCAAGTCTTTTTATTTTTTACTTTTTATTAACTCTTTTAATCCTCTGGATAAATTAAAAAGAGGGTATTATTAATATCTGCATTTTGTAGATGAGGTAACTGAAGGTAGGTAACTTGTCCAAGGTCACAGGTGGCAGAGCAAGGATTAAAACTAGACAGTCTGGCTGCCCAAGGCCCAACGAAGAGGAGCTGAGAGCAAGCCACCGGGCAGAAGGATGTTGGTCAGGCTGGTTTCCTGTTCAGTTAACAGGAAACGCAGGCTTAACCTTAATTCTAGGACGTTACCGAGAAAGCCTTCCAAAGCCATAGGTTTTTTACCATGACCATGACTTCTTTTTTTTTTTTTTTGAGACAGAGTCTCACTGTGTAGCCCAGGCTGGAGTGCAGTGGCGCTATCTCGGTTCACTGCAGCCTACCTCTCTTGACAGTCCGCTGGTTAAAGTGATTCTCCTGCCTCAGCCTCCCGAGTAGCTGAAATTACAGGCGCCGGCCACCACGCCTGGCTAGCTTTTGTGTTTTTAGTAGAGACGGGGTTTCACCGTGTTGGCCAGGCTGGTCTTGAACTCCTGACCTCAAATGACCCACCTCTGCCTCCCAAAGTGCTGGGATTCCAGGCGTGAGCCACCGTGCCAGGACCCAAGGCCCTTAAGTTTTAACGTCTCATTCTTCAGTCAGGTTTTCCTTGTTCCTGCGTGTTCAGCCATTTGTTTTTAAGTTTGTGTTGAAGGAGAAACTAACAACGAAAATGGACTTGTTGACGGAAGAAAAGTAGGAATGCAGCCTCTGGTGCTGTTTGAGTGATCCCTCTGCCCCAGGCCTGGCTGCGCGCTGCTGTGTTCTGGAAAGGCGCATTGTGCCCTCGCTGTGGCAGGTAAGAGTCCTGTACAGGTGCTCTGCCCACTTTACCTTTCAGGCTTCTGTATCAGCTGTTTTTCCCTTGTAGAATGTGCCCCTGACCTGTGCCCCTGACTTCCACCCCTTAACCCTGCCCAATACATCTTTACATGTCTGACCATCAAGACTCTTCTGGGTCATATTCAGTTCATGCTGATATTTTCCCTTCCTCCCCTCTTTAGTCCTTACTATTTTTGCTTTGGTCATGTTATGCTATATTCTGTAAGCCTTTAAAAATTTTGTTGTATCATGGCAGGGGAGAATATTTTATAATTATGCTTTGTGCGTTTTATCTTCCACTCAATGAATGCTTGGTAAATATTTGTTTTATTGAGTATATGACCCTTTTCTAGCTATACCGTGAACAAAAATGTTAACTGCCTTGTACGTTAACTGCTAAGAATTTGTCAAAAGTGCAGAGATGACATCCAGAACTTGTCAGAATATTACAAAAAGGTCTCTAAGGGCATGATGGAGGTCTGTAAATTGACTTCATGTGAAAGAGTGTAAGAAGTGAAAATGTGAAGCATGACTGGAGAGCCGGAGTGATAAAGCAAGGGTCCCTTTCTCTAGATCCTTTGTAACAGTGTCATGTGACCTCTTCTAGATCATTCTGAAAGACAATGCCAGCTCGGAACCTAGGAAAGCATCCAGTGGGTTTCTGCATGTTAGGTGGTTCAAATCCTCATTAGCACCTTTGTTTTCTCTGCCTCAGTTTGCTTACAGTGATGTTCTCAGTAGCTGTAATTGCTGTCTGTCTTTGAATATTTAAGCATTTTTTTTTTTTAGATCACAGGGTATATGTGCATTTTTATTTTACCAAGTGTTAGAATTTTTACTCTGCCTTTGTGGGCTCTGGGTTAGCTACTTGGCTGTTTCATCGTAAAATGATTAGCAGGAAAAACTGTGTGTGTGTGTGTGTGTGTGTGTGTGTGTGTGTGTGTGTGTGTGTGTGTGTGTGTGCACGTGTGTATTTTAAGTTTCTTAATTGGGTTGGTACATGTAAACCATTTAGAACAGTGCCTGCTGCATATCACATCCCCATCAGTATTCACGTCTCTCATATTCTACCCTCACACTTGATTGATAGTTTGCTTGATTACGTATTTCTAGGTTGAGGATAATTTTACCTTAGAATTTCAAAGTCTGTGCTGTTGTCTTCTAACCAGTCGTGGTGGCGAAGCCTCATGCCATCCTGAGTTTCACTTGTTTATGCATGACTTTCTCCCTGGAAGCTTTTAGGAGTTTGTCTTTTCCTTGGTGAGCTGAAATAGCACAACAGTGTACTTAGTGTGGGTCTTTTTTCATTCATTATGCTGGGTACACCAAATGAACAGGCCTATGGATAGGCTCTTTCAAAGTTGGAGTCTTGAATCTTGTCATATTTTTGTTGTTAACTTTCTCTTTTCCATTTTATTTGTTCATTTGGAAGTGTCTGTTAATTGGATTTGAGACCTCTTGTCTTGAGTCTTATATCTCACGTTATTTCTAAATGTTTTTTAAATTTTCAGTTCTGGAATATTTTCTTATCTTTCGACTTTCAGGAAATTTTATTTGGACTGTCATAACTTTAAGTTTTGTTTTGGTTATTTATTGTTGCTTAACCAATTATCCCAAAACTTAATGGCCTAAAACTACACATCTGTCTATCTGTCACGACTGTATGGATTACCTGGGGCTAGCTGGACAGTTTTTCTGCTGGTCTCATTTGGCAGCTCTCACTGTGTGGTTAAACAGTGTCAGGGACTGGTCATCTGGATGCTCAGCTGCAGTGGAATGTCTGAGACGGCTTCTTTACCCACAGGTCTGCTGCCTTGGTAATTCTTGATGTGGCCTTTCTCTCTGCATAGCATCTCATCCTCTCGGATCTCTTCATGTGGCTTTTCTTTCTCCAAGAAGGTAGCCAATTCTTATTTTTGGCTTCCAGAAGCACAGAAATGGAGCTGCCAGGAGTTCTTAAGGCTTAGACCTGGAACAGGTCCAGTGTCATTTCTACCACATGCTATAGGTTAAAGTGAGTGTTGGGGCCAACCCAGATTGACTATGGGATGGGCCTGTCTGAGGACATGATGACAGGAGGTATGGCTCATTGGAGACCAACTCCCAAGATGGAGCATGAGTTCTAAGAACTTTTTCTTCTCTGATTATTTCTTATTCATATTGTTTTGTTTTATACATGTAATATATTCACAAGTGTCTTTATGAAGTGATTTTGATACTCTTTGTCTTCTCCCTGGCATCTCCTTGTTCTTTAATAATTTTTTTCTTAGTTTATTTTGGTCTTATTTTTCTTTTTAAAGCCTTTCCTTAAATATCTATTCTATGTTGCTTATCATTTGTAGTCTTTTTTTTTTTTTTTTTTTTGAGACCCAGTTTCGCTCTTGTTGCCTAGGCTGGAGTACAATGATGTGATCTTGGCTCACCACAACCTCTGCCTCCAAGGTTCAAGCAGTTCTCCTGCCTCAGCCTCCCAAGTAGCTGGGATTACAGGCATGTGCTGCCACACCCAGCTAATTTGTGTATTTTTAGTAGAGATGGGATTTCTCCATGTTGGTCAGTCTGGTCTGGAACTCCCAACCTCAGGTGATCCACCCACCTCGGCCTCCCAAAGTGCGGGATTACAGACATGAGCCACCGTGCCTGACCTGTAGTCTTTTTTCCATTCCTTTATTTGTTCATTCATATTTGAGAGAGGTACTAAAAGACTGGGAGCCGAGGTGTGGTGGCTCACACCTATAATCTCAGTGCTTTGGGAGACCGAAGTGGGAGGATCACTTGAGCCCAGGAGCTCAAGACTAGTTTGGGCAACATAGTGAGACCCCATCTTTACAAAAAAAAAAAAATAGCTAGGTGTGGTGACACCCATCTGCAGTCCCAGCTACTTGGGAGGCTGAGGCAGGAGGATTGCTTGAGCCCAGGAGGTTGAGGCTGCAGTGAGCTCTGATCATGCCACTGCATTCCTGCATTCCAACCTGGGCGAAAGAGCAAGACCCTGTCTCAAAATAAATAAATAAATAAATAAATAAAAATAAAAATAAATAAAAATTGATTGGGAGTTCTTTGTGGCCAAGACTTGTCAACTGATAGCTTTAAGGGGAATGTATGCTGATTCCTAATTGTTATCCTCCATCCCTCTATCTTATCTCCTGTTGCAATCATAAATGATGGCTGGGTGACTACTCCATTCCTCTGGATGTAAAATCTACATTCTCTTGCCTGAGGTGGATACGTTTGCTTGGGTTCTGTTTAAGGAGATGGGGCCAGCAGTGTGTTTCAGGGCCTGTGAAATGTGTTCTCTATCCGGGCTTTTGCTTAATCTCTGTTTTCAGTCTTGCCTATCAGTCCCACTGTCGGGGGTACCTCGTGTCTGAGTCTAGAACCTTTCCAGGTTGCTGTGGGACAGATTAGCCTCCTTGTTCTCAGTATCCCCCTGACCTCCACCTTTGTTGCTTTGCTCCATGAATTAACCATTTTCCATGTACTGTCATTGTCTAATGAAGATGAATTCTCTTCTGTTGGTAACCCCATTCCTTTTTTGTAATGGTGTGCTTATACAATGTTTATTCTTCACTGTATTTCTATTGGAGCCTCAGGACAAAGAGCAGATGGTGAGAATCTGTGTTCAGTGTTAAGTTTTCCTTCTGTAAGACATGTGCAACTTGTGTTTTTCACTGAATAGATCATGGACTTAATGCATATAGAGCTACTTTGTTTTTCATGATTGTGCCTTCAATTATATGTAGAAATATAATTTGTGAATTGCCTGATGAAATTTTCCTAATTTTGAATTATCTTTGCATTCCTATAATAAACACTGTTAGAATGGCTATGGTAATATTTTATTTTTGCATTTTTACTTCTGTATTAAATAAGATTATAGTTTTGTTTGTTTCCTTTAAGGCTGTTATTTCAGTATCAAGGGTATGCAGGGCTGAGTTGGGAAGCTTTACATCTTTTTTCTAAGATCTAGGATGTAGATCTGGTTTACACAGTAATTTTCAACTGCAGGAGTATTTTGCCTCCTATGGGACGTTTGGAAATATCTGGAGACATTTTTGTGGTCACAACTGGTCATGGTCGGGAGGTCTCATTGGCATTCTGTGGGTAGAGGGAATGTTACTAAATGCCCGACAACACACCAAGAGAACCCTCCACAAAGAATTATCTGGCCCAATATATCAATATTGCTGAGGATGACAAATTCTGGTTTAAATATCCAATTTGGAGGATGAGTCTTTGTCTTTTTCCTTCTTCTGCATATTGGTCTCCAGATTTCCCACTTCTTCAGTTACTTCTCGTAACTGTAGGTTCTTAAAAAAAAATGAACACTTTGGATGGGTGCGATGGCTCATGCCTGTAATCCCAGCACTTTGGGAGGCCGAGGCGGGTGGATCACGAGGTCAGGAGATCGAGACCATCCTGGCTAACATGGTGAAACCCTGTCTCTACTAAGCCAAAATACAAAAAATTAGCCAGGCGTGGTGGCGGGCGCCTGTAGTCCCAGCTACTCGGGAGGTTGAGGCAGGAGAATGTTGTGAACCCGGGAGGCGGAGCTTGCAGTGAGCCAAGATCACGCCACTGCACTCCAGCGTGGGTGACAGAGCGAGACTCCGTCTCAAAAAAAAAAAAAAAAAAAAAATGAACATGTCATCCATACTTCTAAGGTGTTGTAAAGATGTGTAAAGTTTTCACTTTTTGCATCATATTCACATGTGGCTATATGCCCTTTTCTCTTCAAAGTTTTCTTTATCTTGATTACTTATCAGAGGCTTGACTGTTTTATTATCTCAGTCTTTTGAAAGAATCCTCCTTTAGTTTTATTTTTTAAATCTAGTGGTTTTTCTTTTTCCTTTTTCCTTAGGTCTTAATTATTTCCCCCTTTTTGTTTGTTTTGCTTTTCCTAGTTTAGTGGATCAATGTAATTTAAATTGCTTTTTAAACAAACGTGTAAGGGTATACATTTTCGTTGGCTGCTGTTTGACTTCGTTGCACAAGTTTTAAAATCTATTTTTTAATAGTTTGTATTTTCTAAATTATTTTATTGCATCTTTTGTTCACATTGCTCTTACTATTAATTTTTTATTTTAATTAATTAATTAATTAATTGAGATGGAGTCTTGCTCTGTAGCCCAGGCTGGAGTGCAGTGGCATGATCTTGGCTCACTGCAAGCTCCACCTCGGGGGTTCATGTCATTCTCCTGCCTCAGCCTCCCAAGTAGCTGAGACTACAGCTGCCTGCCACCACATCCAGCCTTTTTTGTATTTTTAGTAGAGATGGGGTTTCACCGTGTTAGCCAGGATGGTCTCGATCTCCTGACCTCATGATCCACCCACCTTGGGCTCTCAAAGTCCTGGAATTACAGGCATGAGCCACTGCACCCAGCCCAAAAGCTTTGTGCTTTTACAGATATTAGACATGTTTCTTGTTTAAGAAAAAAAATCTTAACGAAAACGTAGGAGAATAAGAGAAACATTTTTCCAAAAAAGAGAAATCATTGTGATTATTTTATCTTATTAGAATGTTGGATAATATAGTCTGCTTCATTAATCATCAAGCATGCTATGCATTTTCCATTTTTATAGGATCTGTATCTCAGTTAAGGTAATACTGGTAATTTTTGTACTGTAATCAAAGATGAAAAATATAGGCCAAAATCATAGACCTTGCATAGAAGCTGGATAATGAAGACAGCTATGGAGAAAAACATAGATACACACACGGACACACATATATATATAAAGTATACACACATATATTTTTTAAAGTTTTAAAGCTTTTAAAGCAAAAGCCAGCCCCTCTTCTCTTCCAGAGTGGGAGGCCTCTCCCCTCTCTTAGAGTGGGTGGGGAGAGCGGTTGCCATGGGCAGCTTTCCTTGTGAGCCACAGGGCCCTCTGGACACGCTGCTGTCTGGCCACGCCCTTTCCCTTTCATCTTTCTCATTGACCAATGGGCTTGGAGCATTAAGGCCACGCCCCTATTCCGCATTCTACTGGGGCCCTGGTTACGCCTCCTCTGGCTCAGTCACACAGCTGCCTGGTAGGTGACTGGAGGCCTTGATCGGTTCTTATTGGGATTTTGCTGCTGTGGCCCCAACCCTTCCTCCCTCCCCACCCTGCGATGGCAGAAGAAACTCAACACAACAAATTGGCTGCAGCCAAGAAAAAGGTAAAAACGCACTAGGTCATAGCCCCTCAACCCAGCCACAGATCCCCTCTGATGACAAGACCCCTGCCAGAGTCTATACGACTCCTGAGGCACACTGGACTGGTCCCCCCAACCCCGGTGCCTTGGGCTACCCCCACCAAAGTTTTGTCAGTCAGCCCCACCCCTTCAGAAAGCAGCCCAGTCCTTGCCCTCGCCAATCACCCCAGGGTGACTTTGGGTGGGTGACTCCTGGGGCTTCCCGCTCCATTACTGGGCCGTCATCTCCTGCCGCCCCAAGCTTGATCTCCGTGGGCTCTTTGGGCTCTCATCTCCAAGGAGCCAGGCCCCACCCTCGCCAGTCATCCTTGGGTGACTTTGGGCTGGTGACTCCTGGGACTCCCTGCTGCAGACTGTGCCCTCCCCTCCTGCTGCCTCAAGGTCGACCTCCCTGGGTTCTTTGTGCTGGCGTCTCCAAGGAGCTGGGTCCCAACCCTGTGCTTCCCTCCCCCATCGTGGAGCAGCGACTTGGACATGGTGCTGACATGGTCCCTCCCCCCGACCAGGAGGAGTGGAATGTTGTGATGTCACAGTCCACCTAGTAACTGCCGTTACTGCAAGACTGGCCTTTGACCTTACGACCCAGTCCCCTAAGCGTTCTCACCCCGTTTCTGGTTCCTCTGGTCACAGCACAAATTTCCAGCTGGAAGGGGAATGGAGACTATGGGACCTAGGAGCAAGAGGTTCCAGGCTGCCTCACTCCCTTACAGATGTTGACGGTGGGAAAAGCCTACACTTCCCCCATGAACTCAAAACAATGACAGTATCTCTGGGTGGCAATGAGAGAATGGGTTTGATTTGGTTTTCTCCCAGGCTTCTACTTTCCAGAGAGATTTTAACATTTTTTTCTGAGTTCTCCACCTCATATTCTAATTCTCCATGGTTCTGGGACCAGACTCTCCTTCAGTCAGTGGTCTCTGAAGTGAGATTTGCTCATCTTCTGTGGAATAGATCTTGGGAAACTGAACTTGACACCTTGAATCTTCCTCATATTATCTCAACCTTGGGTACTTTGAGTGCCACAGGATAAATGTGGGACATCTTTCTGAAGCATCAGTTTCCCTTGATTCTCTTGAGATCAAGAGAAAAAACATGAATGTACTTAGGGATGACAGTCACATAGGTTTCTAAGAGTATACCAGACCTCTCTCTGAAATGAGGCTTGGGTTGTCCTCTTTCTGATAAATTCTGATTTAAGAGAAAGGCTGCCTTCTGCCATGAGGACACATTGATATAAAAGTTTGAGAGGTACTGGTGCACTTCTTCACACTAACAGACGTGTGAGGATGTATGACTAAACCACATGGCATACAGTTCCTGCCTACTTAATGTTTACTTTTCTACCTCTGCCTCTGGTTTTGGTCCCTGGCAGCTGCTGATTCTTGGCAAAACCTCAGAGCTTGGAGTCAGAAGACTGAGTCTCAAAGTTCCAGTATTGCCTTTTTCTTTTTTTTTTCTAGCCATGATATCAATCCTTCTCAGTCACTAAATGAGTGTGACAACACCTTGTACAGTTGTTGGTGTCATTAAATCAGACGGTGTGTAAGTGTATTTTGTAAAAACTGTAAAGGAGGTTGTGGCTGTAGGGGCTGACGGTTCTCATGAATATTACTGCTCTTCTTTCCAACAGTTAAAAGAATATTGGCAGAAAAACAGACCTAGAGTTCCAGCAGGAGTGAACAGGAACAGGAAAACAAATGGCAGTATCCCTGAGACAGCCACTTCCGGTGGTTGCCAGCCACCTGGGGATGTGAGTCTTGGCTGACCAGGCTTCTGGGGACAGGGGGCCCAAGGGGCAATAGAGGGTAATTCTTAAGATTGTGGATGGACTGCTGGGTACTGGTTAAGAATTCTGGCTTTAGCCGGGTGTGGTGGCCCACGCCTGTAATCCTAGCACATTGGGAGGCCAAGACAGGCGGATCATGAGGTCAGGAGATCGAGACCATCCTGGTTAACACGGTGAAACCCTGTCTCTACTAAAAATACAAAAACATTAGCCACGCGTGGTGGCGTGTGCCTGTAGTCCCAGCTACTCAGAAGGCTGAGGCAAGAGAATGGTGTGAACCTGGGAGGTGGAGCTTGCAGTGGCCAAGATTATGCCACCGCACTCCAGCCTGGTGACAGAGCAAGACTCTGTCTCAAAAAAAAAAAAAAAGGAATTCTGGGTTTGAATCCTGCCTCTCCATCTGCTCTGCTAGGGATATGATTTAGGGCAAGTTGCTTGACCTCATTGGGCCTCTCTTTTCACATCTGTATAATAGAGGTGTTATTGTTTCACTTCCATTTGTGAAGTTTAAATGAGATTTGTTATTGTTGTTTTTATGTTAATCCCTAGTACATGGCCTGCTGTAAACACTCAGGACACCCAGGATATGGTTTGATTTTCCTCATCCCCAGTCTCAAGGGGAAACCAGGACAAAGAGAACAGCCACTTGCCATCAGGAGTCACTGAAGGGGCCCCAGGATGGGATGGTGGGGAGATAAGAACCATGAGAGAAGTTGGCACAAAGGAGTTATGGGACAAAAGGTCCAAGATAGGCAGAAAAGAAAATGTTGCAGTTGATGGGGAAGAAAGGAAGTCAGAGGGCTCAGACACTGTGGGGGACAGAACATCTCCATGTGCACTCTCATCTCTTGTAGTCAGCAACAGGTTTCCACAGGGAAGGCCCTACATCATCTGCTACCCTGAAAGATCTGGAGGTAAGAGGCTCTGGGTGGAGGTGCAGTGACCCTTCGGGTCAACCCTCCAACCTCCTCCTCCAGGTGGGACTGGGTGCCCCTCTGCCAGCTGAGACAGCCCACACACCCCAGCCCTAACGATCGTTCTCTCTACCTCTCTCCCCACTCCTGCTCCACCTCCTCCTCTCTGCATGCACCTCAGAGCCCGTGCCAAGAACGAGCAGTAGTCCTGGATTCAACGTCCGTAAAAATCAGTCGACTGAAGAACACCATCAAATCTTTGGTAAGAGTCCGGTGGGGTCCCCTGATTCCACGCTGCCAATCCTGGGCTCCAGTTTCCCCTTGGGGCCCTGAAGAAAGGGGCTGGGGGTCCCTGGTGCCCGGGACAAATAGGGAGCTTGGGTGCCCAGGCCTCACCTGGAGGGACCCCAGAGCATGCAGCATGGCTCTTCTTTTGCTGCCCTCTTTGCCGACTCTCTCCTCTCCAGACACCCCTGCTCGAGTCCTTGCTACACACGCCCTGGGGTTGTTGCCTCTTGGGGAAGTGCTAGCCTGACTGGTTGTCAAGGGCCCCGTATTTCTGCCATGACTCAGTCCCTAATTTGCTCTTTGATTCTGGACAAGCCACCTCTCCTTTTTGGGCTCGTGTTTCCAGAGGAGGTAGTGAGTATCAAAGGTCTCTGTTAGCTCTCGAGTCTGAGATTTAAAGGCCCCCGGGAATGGAAACCTCAGGGCTAAGGGCTCCTGTCTGTCCTTTTCCATCCTATATCTGCTGTGAAGAACCGTACCTGGCCCATACGTGCTCAGTAAGTGTTTATTGAATGAACCCACTTTTCTAAATCACAAGCTGCCAGAAGGAGGGGCCTTTCTGAAACTCCATCTCTAGAGGTTTATGTTGCTGTCCTCTCAAGAGATTCCAGATTCAGACTGAGTTCTGTGGCTGTGGGCAAAAGCCAACAAAGACCCAAATCCTCTGTCCTTGGGAGCTTGAGGAGAGTTTACCGGTTCGTGTTCCCATTATGTCTGAGAACTTTGCCTTTAAAATCCATTCCTGGCCCCTGCCTACCGCTTCCTGGTCTGGGGAATAGAGTTGAGGGGGCCACCCTCCATCACCTTATTTGACTCTCCCCACAGAAACAACAGAAGAAACAAGTGGAACATCAGCTGGAAGAAGTAACGTGATTTCGTTTCCTCGCGACATGACTGCTGGGTTTGGGGGGCACTCAGACATAGAGGCCCCAGTCTCGTCTCACCCACTCCCAGCCTGGGGAAGAAGGCTGACCCCTCAGATTCCACCCCATCCCCACAGGGCCCCTGATAACCTGGTCCCATGGGTGGGCCTGTCCTGGGGCATTGGTGGCATTCTGGGGGCATGTCTCTTGCTGTGCCATCTCTGCCTCCCCCTGGTAAGAGCTCTGTCTTCCTCTTCCTACAGGAAAAGAAAGCAAACAACGAGAGACAGAAAGCCGAAAGGGAGCTAGAGGTGAGTGGAGGGTGTGCAGTTTCCTCCTGTCCTCCGGAGAATGTTTCTTTCCTTCTCTTTCAGCACTTGCTTGGCTTTTCTCCCAAAGGTTCAAATCCAGACATTGATCATACAGAAAGAGGAACTAAATACGGACCTGTACCACATGGAACGTTCTCTCAGATACTTTGAAGGTGGGAATCTGGGCACCCTGTCATCCTTCAACCTGGCACTTTGACAGGTCTTCAGGGGGAGTCCTTTGGGCCCCATCTCAACTCTCTCATTACAGAAGAGTCCAAGGACCTGGCTGTCCGTCTGCAACATTCATTGCAGTGTAAAGGAGAGTTAGAGAGCGCTCTGTCTGCTGTCATCGCCACAGAGAAGAAGAAGGCAAACCAGGTGAGTCCAGCCACCTGCCCCATCCCCTGGGAGCCTGGTTTTGCAGATGGAGGAGTGAGCCTAAAGGTCCCTTCTGCAGGATGGCGTGTCCTGCCCAGAAGGCAGCATGGCCATTTCTTGCTACTTTTTTGTATGGTTTTTAGTGGCAGCCTGGGGCCGAGTCAGCTGCTGTGGGTGAGTTGGGGGGTACTGTGGGGAGTGAGCACTGGACGCAGAGCTTGGAGGCCAAGTGCCTGCCCCGCCCTTACCTGGCTGTGGTCTTGGGCAAGTCCTAGTCCTAGGTGGGGTATTGGGTACTTGTACTGTGAAGGTACAGAAGAGTACCTTTAGTATGTTACCATTTCTGTAGAAAGAGGAAACGTGTGTGCGTGTGTGTGTGTGTGTGCATACTGTGATAATATACATAAAACATGTCTGCAAGGGTTCATAAAAAATTCAGGAGAGAGCAACAAGATGGCCGGGAGATACTTCCCTTCTGTACCTTCTGAGTTTTGGACTATGCAAATGTTATCATCCTTTCAAAAAGTGAACAAAAGATTAATTTTCCCCTTCCTATCTGTGCCCCCATCCCCAGCAAGAAAAACGGGCTTAGAGAATTGGATAGACCTGGGTGTTTATATCCCAGCTCTGCCTAAGTGAACTTAGGCAAGCACTTAACCTCAAATACTCCATGTTTTTTCATCTCCACAATAGAGGGAATCATAGTAACTGTCTCCTATGGTGGTTGCGAGGATTAAATGGGATTGTTAGCACGGTACCTGGTGAAGCATTCCACAAAGGTTCAAACAGTGGTAATAATGACAATAATAACAACAGCAATATTATCTGATCTCTCTGGGCCTCTGTTAGCCAGCTATAAACTCAGTCTCATTCCCTGTCCGTTCCAACTTTACTGTGTTCTTTTAAAAACCAGACCACGGGCTGGGAAATGCCTTGATCTTTACTGACCGAGTTGTATATTGGGCCTAGCCCTAGCCCTGTTAAGGGGCACTGTGTGGAAATGCCCAGGCTCTCCAGATTGAAACTTCTCACTCTTCACCATCCAGTTGTCCAGCTGCAGCAAAGCACATACAGAGTGGGAGTTAGAGCAGTCCCTACAGGACCAGGCACTGCTGAAAGCGCAGCTGACACAGGTGAGGTTTTCCGAGGGAGGGATGTGGAAGGACGATGACCCCAGGTGGCCAGGAGCAGGTGAGGACCAGTGACAGCCCTTCCTAACTTCTGTGCCCATTCTTGCAGTTGAAGGAGTCATTTCAACAACTCCAATTAGAAAGAGATGAGTGTGCTGAACATATAGAAGGAGAGAGGGCCCGGTGGCATCAGAGGATGAGTAAAATGTCGCAGGAGGTGAGATCTGACCCTTCAGCCCCCCCACATTAGATAGGTCACTGGATCTTTCTGGGCATCTGTAAAATGGGAATAGTAGAGCCAGAGGTGGTCATGGGTCTGGGCTTTGTGGAGGTGGGGGCAGAGAGGGAGAGGGCAGCCTGTCCAGCCACCAGCCCCTCTCTCCAGGGCCCTTTCCCCCTGTGCTTTGGGCAGATTTGCACATTAAAGAAAGAGAAGCAGCAAGATATGCGTCGGGTAGAGCAGCTGGAGTGGAGCTTGTCCAAACTCAAAAACCAGACGGGTAAGATGGGGCTGGCATGACCTGGGAGCAGGACTGGCATCAGAGGGCTGTGAGGGTGGCTTAGAGTGCCCCAGGGAGGTGGGTGGATGGAAGGGCTTTGAGGCAGAGGGAAAGAGATCTGTGCCAGGAGACCGCAAGTCTTGTCATCTCAGTGAGTCTCAGTGTCTCAGTGTCCCCATCAGCAAAGAGGGCCCGTTGTCAGCCACCCGCAGTGCTCTTTCTCTGAAAGTGCTTTGGAAGACTGGCTACCATCTGGGTGCGAGGAATCATTAGCAGTGAGGCCAAGTTTGAGGAGCCTGAGAGGAGCTGTGCGCCAAGAGGAGGGTTTTTCTTTTCCGAGAATCCAGAGGCCCTTATTATCTGCTTCCTTTGTCAGCTGAACCCTTGGCCCCGGAGCCCCCAGCAGTGCCCTCTGAGGTGGAGCTGCAGCACCTGAGGAAGGAACTAGAGAGAGTGGCAGGAGAGCTCCAGGCCCAGGTCAAAAACAATCAGCACATAAGTCTCCTGAACCGGCGACAAGAAGAGAGGATTCGGGAACAGGAAGAGAGGCTTCGGAAGCAGGAGGAGAGGCTTCAGGAGCAGCACGAGAAGCTTCGGCAGCTGGCCAAGCCACAGAGCGTCTTCGAGGAGCTGGTGCGTTGCCCCAACTGGGGAGCCTGCCCTCCTCCCTAGCCCTCCGGGCCTTTGTTTCCCCACCTCTAAAATGGGGCAGTGTAGCCCTCGCGTGAAAGGTTACTTCTAAAGGCACCTGTGAGCCAGGTGGCTGTGGGAGAGAGGGGGTGATTTTTCTAACCTGCCTCCAGCCTTCCCAGTGCCATGGGAGGCAGACACCAAGTTCTGGGGTCTCCAGCTGCAGTGGGTGGCTGCTGATTGCTTCTCTCTGTCCAGAACAATGAGAACAAGAGCACACTGCAGTTGGAGCAGCAAGTAAAGGAGCTACAGGAGAAGCTTGGCGAGGTGAAGGAGACGGAAACCTCCACCCCATCCAAGAAGGGCTGGGAGGCGGGCAGCAGCCTCTTGGGAGGGGAGGTGCCAGGTCAGAGGCAGCTTCCAGCCTGGGGGCTGGTGACCACAGCACCCCCCAGGGCAGTCCTGCGACTGTTTCTCGCTTCCTGCCTCTGACTTTTAAAGGTGGGTAGCCCTGGGCTCCTCTCAGGTCTGGACATCATCATCCCAGCTAGAGGCATGGAGCCCCCAATCACAGGGGAAGAGACAGTGCTATAACAGGCTCCTTATACCAGGTGCAGTGGCTCATGCCTATAATCCCAGCACTTTGGGAGGCTGAGGCAGAAGAATCACTTGAGGTCGGGAGTTTGAGATCAACCTGGCCAATGTGGTAAAACCTCATCTCTACTAAAATTAAAAAAAAAAAAATTAGCAGGGCATTGTGGCGCATGCCTGTAATTCCACCTACTCGGGAGGCTGAGGCACGAGAATTGCTTCAACCCAGGAGGTGGAGGTTGCAGTGAGCTGAGATTGCACCACTGCACTCCAGCCTGGGCCACAGAGTGACACTCTTGTCTGAAAACAAAACAAAAAGACTCCTTAGATTGAAACTGGATTCCAGCCTCGGTTCCACTGGTCACCATTCAAGTACTTTGCATCTCTAAGTCTCTGTTTCTTTAACTTCAAAGGGAAGTTAGCATTTTCCTTACAGAGGTGCTGAGGATTAAATGAGAAGAGGGTATGAGATTTGAGGCTGGGGAAGGAGGCATGGGGTTCTAGGAAAGGGAGGCAGTCACTTAGGCCTGGAGTAAGGGGACAGGGGCCTGGGTAGCTGACAGAGCCCCACAGTGCCCTCGCTACCCTATTAATGGGCCCAGAATCTGGAAACCAGCCACCACGTGCCCTCACACCCAGGGTCTTCCTGCAGGTGGAGCTGAAGAGCCAAGAGGCTCAGAGTCTGCAGCAGCAGCCAGATCATTACCTGGGTCACCTGCAGCAGTACGTGGCCACCTATCAGCAGCAGGTGGCCGCCTATCAGCAGCTGACCTGTGAGAAGGAGGCGCTGTACAGGCAGTGACTGCAACAGACCCAGCTAATGAACCAGCTGCAGCAGTAGGAAGCTTGGGGCAAAGCAGTGGCCGAGATGGCCTGCCAAAAGTTGCAGGAGACCCAGGGGAGGGAGCTGCCGAGGATGGGGCTGTGAGGGGGACGACCTGGCAAACTCCATCCCTTCTCACTCTTTCCTGGCCCCTTAGGAGCACCTGGAAGCGGCCAGCCAGCAGAACCAGCAGCTAACGGCCCAGCTGAGCCTCATGGCTCTCCCTGGGGAAGGTACGGGAGACTGCTCAGAGGAAGAGGAGAGAGCCCCAGGAGGAAGGGGGGACTGCTAGCAGCATAGGATTGAGGAGTTGGAAGAGACCTTTAGAACAGCTGGTCATTATGCCGACCGGGTGCCTGCACTAAGTTCGGCATCAGTGTGGTGACCTCCTGTGAGCGGGCGGTCACCAAGTTGCCTAAGGGTGGCTGAACTGGCCAAGGTCAGAAAGGGAGCAGGTCAGAACTCCCACATCGACCAGTAGTGGGAGTGTGCCTGGGCGGAATAGCAAGATCTTGATTCTTAAAAGTAAAAATAAAGAACAACAGCTCATTCCTCTCTGGGGAGGGGCTGGCTCAGGGTTACACAGTGAGGGTGGAGGTAGAGGTGGGCCCACAGTACCTCCCTTGTTGGGTTGTCTGAAGACCCCTCTGGCCACCCCCCACAGGACACGGAGGAGAACATCTGGACAGTGAGGGGGAGGAGGCACCTCAGCCCATGCCGAGTGTCCCAGAGGACCTGGAGAGCAGGGAGGCCATGGTGAGCCTGACTCCCCCTGCACCCATTTTGCCACCTTTCTCTGTGGTCCCTCCAAGACCCCTTTATGCTCTTCGTTTCCCTGCCTTCTGATTTCTCTGGACCCTCACCCCTTCCGAGAGCCAGTGGTCAGACACCATTTCACCTGTGGCCAACAGGTGCACTCTCTGAGGCCCCAAGGGAAGGGGCTGCGCTCCACCTCTCTGCCCCATTTCTTCTGTGTATGCCCCTAGAAGAATGCTCACATCTTGCCCTCAGGTGGCATTTTTCAAGTCCGCTGGAGCTAGTGCCCAGGAGAAGCAGGCACAGTTACAAGAGCAGGTGAAAGAGCAGAGGGTGTGCTGCCAGCGCCTGGCTCACCCGGTGGCCTCGGCCCAGAAGGAGCCAGAGGCGGCCAGAGGCCCTGGAGCCCCAGGGCCTGGGGGCGAGTCTGTGAGTGGGGAGACCCACTGGGCCCTGCAGGAAGTCACGGAGAAGCTGGCCCATGCCAGGACTCACCTCCGCCTTCTCCATGACTTGAAAATGCCACCTGAGGGCAGGTCGCTGCCGAGATGTGACTGCAATATTTTGGCTCCAGAGCAGCTTTATGGACCACCTGAAGGAGAAGGCAGACCTGAGTGAGCTGGTGAAAAAACAAGAACTTCGCTTCATTCAATACTGGCAAGAGAGATGCCATCAGTGAGTGGGAGGCCAGGGCACGGCAGGGGGAGCTACAGGGCCATCAGAGGGGCCCCAGCATCTGAGCCCTGTCCTCCCGCAGGAAAATCCATCACCTTTTATCAGAACCAGGGGGCCGTGCCAAAGATGCAGCACTGGGAGGAGGACACCATCAGGCTGGAGCTCAGGGAGGAGATGAAGGTAGGGTGTGCAACATCTCTGTGGGGGTGGGGGTGGGGGTGGGGGTGAGGGTGGGCGCAGGCAGCGGCATGGCAGCTGAGCACCCCTCCCTCCAGGTGAAGCTGCTGGAGCTGCAGCAGATGGTATTGCGGCTTACAGCAACTACAACAATGGGCACAGAAAATTCCTGGCCGCTGCCCACAACCCTGCTGATGAGCCCGGTCCAGGAGCCCCAGCTCCCCAGGAGCTTGGGGCTACAGATAAGCATGGTGGTGAGTAGAGCCCTCAGGCGGGGTGGGCAGGCAGGAAGAGGGGGGCTCCCACTGTGCTCAGATCCCCGCCTCCCTCTCTCCAAAGATCTTCGTGAGGTGACCCTCACCTCCTCTGCCCAAGGAGAGGCCAGGGAGGATCCTCTCCTTGACAAGCCTACTGCACAGCCGATCGTGCAGGACCACCAGGAGCACCCAGGCTTGGGCAGCAACTGCTGTGTGCCATTATTTTGTTGGGCTTGGCTGCCAAGAAGAAGGAGATAAACATCACCATCATCAAACAGCTGCTCAAGAAATTTTTAAATAAGAAACCAAGTTATGGGGTTAATCTCCTACACAATTCATTTACTTCCTTTGAATGTTAGACTCACTCATGATTATTTGTGTTTCTAATTTATAGTTTAAGTTTATTTGTAAAAAGTTAAAAGAGAGTGGGTGTCTGTGGCTCTCACTGATGTTCACTCTGGCATCCTTTAGCATTTTTCTTTTTTAATTTCATAATTGTAGGTCATTAGCATGCATATCGAGTTTGCCCTTACGTGGTGGGAGTTCAAACACACAAAGACCCACTCTTTGCCCAAAACTGTTCTCTTTGGTTTGGAATAGGCTGCCATGCTTTTTTAATGTTATTGCAGCATGTATATTCACTACAGCATTCAGACAAAATTTGCCTATGTTCTGCTGTTGTTTGATCTAATCTTAATCACAGTGAGCTCTTCCTTAGCTCAATATGTAGTTTGCCCCCAAGTGTGCACTGTTTATTACTTTGTAATACGCCACTATGAGTACTGACATTTAGAGTTGTTTAAAGGCCAAGAATTGGAAACAGCCTTTCCTCCATTTTCTGTGTATTGGTGATGGGAGTGATAACCTTTTGGGGGAGCTTTTTAAATCTCACAGAAGAGGAAAGTGGCCTCCTCTGGCAGGTATGTGCAGGATAGAGTGTGTTTCATCTCTTCCGGTGCCAGGAATTAGCGGTGTATTATGGTGGTGCCCTTAGGATTTGTATGTGCTCTGGGCTCATGAAGATATTGCATCATGAGCTGCAGCAGTTGCACTCTTTTTCGATGACCTAAAAAGGGCTTATTTCTGAGGAATGAAAGGTTCCCATCGTTGACTGTGGATGTGGAAAACCTTTCCTAGCTTAGAGCATTTGTATCTACAATACATTTTAAAGTCAGAGTTCATGTTACCTGTTTTAATCACATGACTACATGCCCCAGTACACAAAAGGGCACTGGTTGGCATTCTTCTTAATGTATTTAGTGAAGATCATAAGAAATCCTTTACGAGTTCAAATGTCCCTGGAACAGGCATACAGGCTCTAGTCAAGAATGAATTAGAGTGAAGGAAAGCTGTGTGACTCCTGGCATTCCTCTCTGTTCACGGAGATTCTTTGAGGCTTGAAGATTGATTTTACCATCTAGACCTCTTTGGCTAATACCTATTCTTCAACCACCTTGGTTACTCTGATATAGGAATTTACTTCTTTTTCTTTGAATGGAAAACACTTTAAAAAAAATAGAAACATTCTTATAAACTAATATATGTGAGATAGTTGAAACAAAAAGGAGTTTTAGTAGATGGTATTATACTATCTTTGAAAATCAAGGAGAAGTTTATGAAACTTAAAATGTGTACAAACTGCAGTGCAATCTACTGTTGTTCGTGAATGTCAATGTATTATCAGGAAACGTGTCTATACAACCACAGAGTTATATTTTCTCACAAACTTCTTTACAAAGTGAAATATGTTTTTGTACCTCTGGGTTTCTGTTCGGGACATATTTTGTGCGATATTTATGTGATTGTGCCTATGCATGATGAATGAATGCATTTCAGTTATGTATTGCCTAAATCGTAACTTGATGATGCTTGGGAAAGACTCAACAGTTAAAACTTCATGAAGTTCTAATGTCTGTGTTCCAAAACACATCACATTGTTAGGATGCAGGGAGATAGGTGTGTGTGCTCCCTGCGGTGGGGATTTCTAGTTACTAGATCATCTCCATTTTTAGCATTTGGCATCCTCATGATACTTCTATAAATATGACATTAACAGGAGAGCAACAATACGATTTTACCGATGGAATAACAGATTTGCTGGCATTCACTGAAAGAGTGCAAATATTCGGTCCTTGTGACTTCCACTGACTCTTCCAAATTTTATGAATGTATCAATGTATTAGATAAACCCAGTTTCAGAATGATAAAGAAAAAATCTTAGACCAAATAATGCGGCTAATTAACAGTGGTACGATTTCTAGCCCGTGGGTTTAAAATGCACTTAAAGTCCTGTTCTCGCCTTTTATTTTCTGAACTTGCCGCTTTTGCATTCTTTGAGTTCAGTTTAAAGACAGTTACTTTAAGAGCATTTTAAACCCTCGGGCTAGAAATCGGACCACTGTTAATCAGCCACATTATTTGGTCTAACGTTTTTTCTTTTATCATTCTGAAACTGGGTTTATCTAATACATTGATAAATTATTTCAAAGGTACTTTTATCGTTGAAATCACTTCACTTTTACCCTGATAAATATCAGTGACTAGGAATGACCTTCGGATAGCGTTTAGCATCTGTAACCAATCTGACAATAATGTGTTCATGAGGTGCCTATGGATTAAATCACACACTGGCATATTTAAGCTGAAGGTCAGTCTGGAAAATAAATTTACTATATTGACTGAAATACCACTCTTTGTGTAGGTATTTGTCATATATTTAAGAAAACACTAAAAAGAATGGAAATTGTATGACAATAACTTAAGTCTTTCTCCAAAGTGCATGCAGTCTTTTGCGATACCTCATTCAGCCGAGTATTTGTACTCTTCCTCATTCAGTATAAGGAAGCTTTCAGTTTGCTTAGAAGGCAACATTGGAATGTTAGAGTTCATGAGAAACATAGAATTTTAAACTGTGAGTTCCACTGAATACATTTTAATGTCTGTAGGAAGAATCAAAACACCTATTTAAAGATGGCAATATATAATAATCATTTTAAAAGTATTTGATTCAACCTAATTTTCCAGAAATGAAAAAAAAAAAATCAGCTCTAAAACCAAAGCTGATTTCAGAAAATTTGAAAATGTAAATCAGCCCTATCCATAATATAGTTTCTCTAAAACTTTATCTTAGTCATTTTAAAATAATATAACTATTAAAAAATGTAACTGCTATCTTAATGTTCTGAAATAATTTAAAACATTTTAAAATATGAATACTGTAGTATAAAAGAAAGAAATGGTGGGAACGAAAAGCAGAGAAAGAAATGCCAATTCCAGTCCAAAGTTTTATTTGCCAAGTTTTCTTAGAATGAATTTTACCAGTTTATGAATTATTGTAAACAGAATGTGTCATGGAAATACTGAAAGATTTTTCCCTAGAGTGGCCTTATTGACTGCTGGTGTGATGCCACTGTAATGTAATAAATTATTAAATTGTTTCAATGTGTTGTTTTTGCCTTAAAATTTTATTTTGCGTTTCTTGAAAACTATAGTATTAAAGGTATTGATACTGTGCAAATGCTGGGCATGCTTGGCATGAGATAATGTGTTTCATTTTTACAAAGGTGTAATATAACTATGCAAGTGTTTCTTAACACAAGATTTAAAAAGTTATGGGATTAAAAGAAGTTATGGGGTGAAAAAGTTATGGGATAAAAAATGTAAAAACGTTGTGGCAAAAAAACTTGTGGGAAAAAAGTAGAAAACAGTATTATGAAAAGTTACAAAAGAAGTTATGAAAAAGAAGTTACGGGATTTTTTTTTTAAAAGTCATGGAATAAAAATAAAATGAGAATCATAAGAGAATCATTGAGAATCATAAAAATGCAGATTCTGATTCAGTAGGTCTAGGGTGGGGCCTGAGTTACTTCTTTTTTTTTTTTAGACGGAGTCTTGCTCTGTCGCCCAGGCTGGAGTGCAGTGGCGCGATCTCCGCTCACGCAAGCTCCGCCTCCCGGGTTCACGCCATTCTCCTGCCTCAGCCTCCCGAGTAGCTGGGACTACAGGCGCCCGCCACCACGCCCCGCTAATTTTTTGTATTTTTTAGTAGAGACGAGGTTTCACTGTGTTAGCCAGGATGGTCTTGATCTCCTGACCTCGTGATCCACCCGCCTCGGCTTCCCAAAGTGCGGGGATTACAGGCGTGAGCCACTGCGCCCGGCCCTGATTTACTTCCTTTCATGCACCACATAGCAATGTTTCGGTCAACAATGGACTACATATATATCTATCACTGTCTTCCACCTCCACATTCTGTCCTACTGGAAGGTCTTCAGGTGCAATAACACAGAAGGAGCTATCATCTCCTATGATAACAAGGCTTTTTTCTGGAATAGCTCCCCACAGACCACCACAAATATGTGATGTGAGTAATGAACTGTGCTACAGTGATGCTACTACGTCAACAACATCACTAGGCAATAGGAACATTCCAACTCCATTATAATCTTTTTTTTTTTTTTTTTGAAACTGAGTCTTGCTCTGTCGCCCAGGTTGGAGTGCAGTGGCACGATCTGGGCTCACTGCAAGCTCCACCTCCCGGGTTCACGCCATTCTCCTGCCTCAGCTTCCTGAGTAGTTGGGACTACAGGCGCCCACCACCACGCCTGGCTAATTTTTTTGTATTTTTTAGTAGAGACGGGGTTTCACCGTGTTAGCCAGGATGGTCTCAATCTCCTGACTTCGTGAGCCGCCTGCCTTGGCCTCCCAAAGTGCTGGCATTACAGGCATGAGCCACTGCGCCGGGCCCCAACTCCATTATAATCTTATGGGACCAGTGGATATAGATGATCCTGACCCTGCTCAGGCCTAGGCTAATGTGTGAGTTTGTATCTTCATTTTGGTTTTGTTTGGTTTTGTTTGGTTTTGAGACAGGGTCTCGCTCTATCGCCCAGGCTGGAGTGCAGTGGTGCGATCTCAGCTCATTGCAACCTCTGCTCCCCAGGTTCAAGCAATCCTTCCACCTCAGCCTCCCAAGTAGCTGAGACTATAGGTGTGTGCCACTATGCCTGGCTATTTTTCATATTTTTTTGTAAAGGCGGGGTTTCGTCATGTTGTCCAGGCTGGTCTTAAACACCTGGACTCCAGCAATCCACCTGCCTCGGCCTCCCAATGTGCTGGGATTATAGGTGTGAGCCACCACGCCCAGCCATGTCTTGGTTTTTAACAAAAAAGTTTAAAATGTAAAAAAAATAGAAAAAAATCCTACCGAATATGGAAAGAAAATATTTTTGTACAGCTGTACAATGTGTTTGTGTTTTGAGCTATTACTACAAAGGAGTCAAAAGTTAAGAAAATTTAAAAGCTGATGAAATTAAAAAGTTATAGTAAGCTAACCTTAATTTATTACTGAAGGAAAAAATTTTAATAAATTTAGTGTAGCCTAAGTATATGCTGTTTATAAAGTCTATAACAATGTACAGTAAGGTCCTAGGCCTTCACATTCACTCACCACTCACTGACTCACCCAGAGCAACTTCCAGTCCTGCAAGCTCCACTCATAAGTACCCTACGCAGGTAAAATTTTAAATCTGTGGCCGGTCGCAGTGGCTCACACCTGTAATTCCAGCACTTTGGGAGGCCGAGGTGGGCGGATCACAAGGTCAAGAGATCAAGACCACCCTGGCCAACATGGCGAAACGCCATCTCTACTAAAAATACAAAAATTAGCTGGGCGTGGTGGTGCACGCCTATAGTCCTAGCTACTCGGGAGGCTGAGGTCGGAGAATCGCTTGAACCCGGGAGACAGAGGTTGCAGTAAGCTGAGATTGTGCCACTGCAATCCAGCCTGGTGACAGTGCAAGACTCCATCTCAAAAAAGAAAAAAAAAAAAGAAAAAAATTTAAATGTTATATCATAAATTTTAAATCTGTTAAGATACATAAATACTTGGTATTGTGTTACAATTGCCTACAGTATTCAGTACAGTAATCTGCTGTACAGGTTTGTAGCCTAGGAGCAATAGATTATATCACATAACTAGGTGTGTGTGTAGTTGGCTACACCATCTAGGCTGATGTAAGTACACTCTATGATGTTTGCACAATGACAAAATTGCCTAACAATGCATTTCTCAGAAGGTATCTCTGTCATTAAGAGACACATGGCTATAGTTTCCAGGCGATACCTATGCCGTATTTGAATAGCAAGGCTCTAGTTTAGAGCACTGTTTAGGGAAAACCACTGGCCCTGTATCTTAAGTTGGGTTGCCTGAAAAACAGGTACTGAGATGGAGATTTCCCCACAGGAGGCTTACTTGGGAAGGCTCTTGGAACAACACAAGTAAAGGAGTAAAAGAAACAGGATTGGGCAGCCTGTGAAACAGTTGCCACCATCTCAGCTGCTCCTTCAGGAAGCTCTAGAGCTGGGAGGTCCTTCCGTTGTCTTGAGATATGGGGACCAGGCCTATGAAACCCCATATTAACCAGGCATGGAATGTAGACTGCCCAGAGGAAGGCATCACTTGGGGTGAGGCAGGTCCTTTTCATGGAGCAGCTCTCAGAGGGGGACTTTGTTGTGAGCCATGAGGAACCAACACTTCTGCAAGTGGGGCGAGTGAGCACCTCAGCCTGGAGGGGGATCTAGGTGAAGCACCACAGTGTCTACTATTCTGGTGATAGCCCAGTGACCTCAGGAAATCACTGTACTATTTTCCATCTTAGTCCACATTTAGGACAGAATATGATAGACATTTCTGTTTTATTAATAAATGGAACAATGTGGCCGGGTGCGGTGGCTCACGCCTGTAATCCCAACACTTTGGGAGGCTGAGGCGGGCGTATCACGAGGTCAGGAGATCGAGACCATCCTGGCTAACACGGTGAAACCCCGTCTCTACTAAAAATACAAAAATTAGCCGGGCGTGGCGGCATGCGCCTATAGTCCCAGCTGCTGGGGAGGCTGAGGCAGGAGAATGGTGTGAACCCGGAAGGCAGAGCTTGCAGTGAGCCGAGATCACACCACTGCACTCCAGCCTGGGGGACAGAGCGAGACTCCGTCTCAAATAAATAAATAAATAAATAAATAAATGGAACAATGTGTCTGTGGAATGTGCCAGGCCCTAGAAGCAGTGATTCTAGGAACAATCATTTTGGTTTTACAGAAAAAAACTCGGACCTAATTTGAAAGTTGCACAAATCATCTTATTTCAAGCAGGGATGCAGGTAAAAGGTTCAGGAAGGCCCTTTGGCAGACACTTTATGGACTGATTTCACAGAAATGAGGGCTAGGTGAACTAACATCTAAGGAAAAGGATGTGTGCCATCTAGTGGCACTAAAAGCAAAGCCTAATGCTTAACGAAAGATTTCCCTTTTCATCGTCAGGGAACTCAGTGAGGTTTTCAGTAGTGTTTTCCTACTTTTAGAAGTAGGTGTGGGAGTTCACTAAATGAAATAAAATTACAATATCTACAGCTGGATAGCTGTGTGGGGTAACACATAAAATTGGATCCATTCTTTCTACACTGGATAAATTCCAAATTTAAGGACCGGGCGCGGTGCCTCACGCCTGTAATTCCAGCACTTTGGGAGGCAGAGGCAGACAGATCACCTAAGGTAAGGAGTTCAAGACCAGCCTGGCCAATATGGCGAAACCTCGTCTCTACTAAAAACACAAAAATTAGCCAGGTGTGGTGGCATGCACCTGTAGTCTCAGCTACTCAGGAGGCTGAGACAGGAGAATCATCTGAACCCGGGAGGTGAAGGTTGCAGTGAGCAGAGGTCGCATCACTGCACTCCAGCCTCAGAGATCTAACATTAACAAATGAAAACATAGCAGTACTAGAAAATTAAGTACTAGAATTCACAAGAGTGAATACCTTTATAACTCAGAAGTGGGGAAAATACTCCTATCTATGATCAGAATCCAGAAGCATTAAGGGAAGAGATTAACTATAATTTAAACAAACAAAAAAGCAAGGCAAAAAGTCTAAAAAATATATGTAGCTTATATCATGAGGGACTAATATATAAAAAGCTTCTAAAATATTTTTAAAGACCATCCTGAAAGTAAAAGATGGACAATTTAAATAAAAAGAAGTACAAATAGCCCTTAAACAGGTGAAAAGATTGATTTATTGCACTTTGTTTTCCATTTTAGGAGTTGCTTTTACATTTTATTTTATTTTATTTTATTTATTATTATTTTGTTTAGATGGAGTCTCACTGTGTCACCCAGGCTGAAGTGCAGTGGCCGGATCTTGGCTCACTGCAACCTCCGCCTCCCAGGTTCAAGCGATTCTCCTGTCTCAGCCTCCCGAGTAGCTGGGATTACAGGCATGCATCACCACGCATGGCTAATCTTTGTATTTTTAGTAGAGACGGGGTTTCACCACGTTGGCCAGGCTGGTCTCGAACTCCTGACCTCAGGTGATCCGTTCACCTCGGCCTCCCAATGTGCTGGGATTACAGGCGTGAGCCACCACCTTATTTTGTATTTTAAACATGTTACACATTTACAGGGTTCCAAGTTTATATATAAAACAAGATATATTCAGAGAGGTCTAGCTTCCATTCCTATTTTCTACTTCACCTGTTCTTGATCTTCTCCTATTGTTTACCATTTTTATTAGATTTTGGTTTACCTTTCTATTGTTTATTTTTGAAAATATAAGTAAGTATCCATTTGTATATGTATCTCTACCACCCCGTATACCAAAGGCAGCATACTATATACACTCTTTTATGCCTTGCTTTTTCACTTCACTTCACATCATAGTCATATATCTTCCACATTCCTTAACAGCTTCATAATACTTTGTCGTAAGCATGCATCATTTGAAAAAATGTTCCACTTCATTGACAAAAAGATAAATACAAAACTATACTGGAGGCTGGGCGCAGTCGCTCATGCCTGTAAACTCAGCACTTTGCGAGGCCGAGGTGAGTGGATAGGTTGAGGTCAGAAGTTCGAGACCAGCCTGGCCAACATGGCGAAACCCTGTCTCTACTAAAATTACAAAAATTAGCCAGGCGTGGTGGTGATTGCCTGTGGTCCCAGCTACTCAGGAGGTTGAGGCAGGAGAATCGCTTGAACCTGGGAGGCAGAAGTTGCAGTGAGCCAAGATAGAGCCACTGAACTCCAGCCTGGGCAACAGAGTGAGACTCCGTCTCAAAAAAAAAAAAAAAAAAACTACACTTTGATAACATTTCCCACATATCGATTTAGCAAACATCTAGGAGTTTGACAATTCATTCTATTGGAGAGGCTGCAGAGAAACAGGAAATGCTGCTGGTGTGAATACAAAACTGCACAACCCCTATGAAGGGGAATTTGGCAGAATTAAACAAAATAACATGTTCTTTTACCCTTTGACCTAACAATCCCATTTATAGAAATCTATGCTAAAGACCCACTGGCAAAAGCATATTATATATGCACAAGGAAACTTTTGTATAGCAAAAGACTGGGAATAGCCAACATATCCACTAGTAAGGGCCTGGCTAAATAAACTACAGTACATCCATATATAACCAAAAAGAATAATTATGCCCAGTTCATTTAAAACACAGTATCTTGATTTTACATCCTTAGTTGGATA
The DNA here is from genome assembly GCF_000001405.40 of Homo sapiens. NCBI lineage: Eukaryota > Metazoa > Chordata > Mammalia > Primates > Hominidae > Homo > Homo sapiens. The sequence continues at coordinate 4,665,386 of NW_011332701.1, forward strand.
CAATTTTAGAAAAAAGGAAGTACATGCAAAGTTAAACTTCATTTATCTGTTAGCAATATCTCTATTGTTATTCTGTTTTTATTCTTTATCCTGTTATTGCTATTGTTGTGTTTATATACCTGTGAATATAGGTAGATGAAGCAAATAACCATTATGTTAATATTAATATTTATTAATAGTAACATTAATAATAAGGCAATGAAAAGAACCAATATTTTCATTGCCTCCTTGTGTGTAGGAAAAAAGAACCAATATTTTCATCTTAAGAGAAAGGAAGGGCCGGATGTGGTGGCTCACACCTGTAATCCCAGCACTTTGGGAGGCTGAGGCGGGTGGATCACGAGGTCAGGAGTTCAGGACCAGCCTGGCCAAAATGGTGAAACACCGTCTCTACTAAACATACAAAAATTAGCCGGGCCTGCTGGCAGACGCCTGTAATCCCAGCTGCTTGGGAGGCTGAGGCAGAGAATTGCTTGAACGTGGGAGGTGGAGTTTGCAGTGAGCCGAAATTGTGCAACTGCACTCCAGCCTGGGCGACAGAGCGAGACTCCATCACAAAAAAAAAAAAAAAAAAAGAGAAAGGAGACGAAAAACAAGAAGAGCTCAGCTTTAAAAAAGGATCACGACGTAGAAAAAGACACAACACTGAAGATTGTCATGGGTCTTTAAGAAAAGGAAATTTGAGACGGCTAAAACGCCGAACAGTGTGGAGTTTGGGGAAGAGATGTGGCTAAAGACAGCGTAAGCAATTTTTTAAAGTTATGTCTGAAGCAAGAAGAAAAGACAAGGAATAGGTTCAGTTTCATCTCTGATACACCGTTTCTTGTTAAAATTGATGTTTTTTTCTGCAGGCATTTGCTTCCTGAATGATGGTCCCACTCAGCCATCCACCTATACTTTCTACAAAGTCAATTTATACTGATTCTTCAGATCAGTTAATCACTGGTACGTTTCCCCTCCCCGGTCAAGGATCTTTTATTATACGCTATCATAGAATCATATTCCTTTCCTTAGCGCACTTCTCTCAACTGATAAGTGCCGCCATTAATGTACTTACTTGATAAATATATGCCTGCCTTTCCTCTTCCAGGGCCGAAACTGTGCCTGGTTTTGCTCATCATTCTATAGTCTATAGCACGAGTTCAATAAACAGTTGTTAAAGCAACATATTTAACTTACATTTTGTTCCCATCTCTTCACTCAGAGACTTTTCTTTGGATTGGGAAGGGTAAAATATCCGAAGATTTGAACTCCAAAAGAAACAAAATGATTCTATGCAAACGTTTCCTACTTAAAACTCATTCATTGGACAAATATTCACTTAGTCCCTGGCACTATTTGGTAATAGGAATACAGGAGTGCATATGGCAGATAAAGTTCTGTTGCTGCCCTTACCAAGTTTCGTGGGGGTGAGATGTGGTGTTAGTAAATGCATACTATTTTGTCTGTATTTAAATCGAGTCCAAATCTCTCGCTCTACAGCCCGCCTTGGGATGTTTCTTATATCCCAAGAAACAGAATATTTTGATGGGATCGCTGATGTTTCAGACTGCAAAAGCAGCTCAGGGCGTTTGCAGTCGTGCAAGTCAACAAGATAACCGTCTGGACCGGAAGCTGGGCTCCTCCCGGTCTCCTAACGCCAAATCCAACACCAAGCTTCTGCAGCTGCCACCTCCCGTAGACTTCGCATTTCTTCCGCACTCTCCTCTCACGACGGGTCTTCTTTGTTGTACTTAATTTCCTACGCAATAAGATTTCAGCATCACCATCAGTCCCCCAAAGACTAATTCCCACAGAGCCGAAGTTCCCACCAAGGGCCGAGGGTTAAGGTTACTAAAATCAGCGTTTCTGAATCCTGTCTCAAGTTGTCTCATCTGGGCTTCCGTAAGAACGGTTTCTTCATAAGAGGGCCTTCAGCGACAGCCAAGCTCGGAAAAGAACGGGAATAAGTTGTCTTTTATATTTCCTCAAATACTGTGAATGGTCTGAGGCGCAGGTCAGGTGTATTTAAAAACCTTTAAACAGTATTCCCCCGCCCCAAAAACTGGCCTTGAAGGAACAAGTGAAACTCATCCTGCTTTTCATGTTTGCTGGGTTTGCCCGTTACACCCCTTCGCCCGCACTTATCTAGACAGGCAGCTCTCGGCCACCCTCCGGGGTCCTGATTTTGAAAAGAGGAGTGGACCAATCAGATGTGGAGCGCTGTTTGGCGCTGCCATTTGAGCCTGGGCTGAAACTGCGGGTGTGACCCCCCCGTGGTGGCTCTGGGTGTCTGCGGAGGAGCTGGGGGCGGAAGCATGAGGCTAACGGCTTGGCTTCAGTGAACGCACCGGGATGTGCAGGCCGGGAGGTAGAGGCAGGCTGATGGGGGAGGGAACGAGCAGCCTGTGAGACGGGGTGACGGCGGCTACCAGCCCGGGCGGGCACCGGGACTGGAAGAGTTGCCTGAGCAGCCGGCTGGTCCGGCGGCCAGGCTAGGGCGGGGGCGAGCGCCCAGTTGAGCCTGCTGGGGCTGGAGGAGCGAGAAGGGTTTTCTTCACATTTCAGAGCGAACCAGACGGGGACAGTAAGGTTTGGAGGAAGGGGGATCGTTGGAAGTAGCAAGAAGTGGAGAGAATCTGGCAATAGACGAGAAACCGAAAGAATCAGAAAGAAGTCTATGTGAGTAGCTGAAAGCATTGGGTGACCAGAAAGAAGGTCGGTGTAAGTGAAGGAAGAGTGAGGTGTGGCTGGATCAAAGGGCTAAGAGAAGCGGGTCTGTGTAAGTGGATGTGAGTGAGGATCAAGGAAAAGCCGTGGAAGTGGCCGGGGGTCGGGGCCGCAGAAGTGCCAGACGGGGCCGGAAAGCAGCCGAGCGGAGTTCAAATTTGAGAGCGTTTGGAAATTGGAAGACTTGGTGGCGAACGAGGGTCAGGACCTGCATCCTGCCTCAGAGAGTTATCGACGTATCCGGAATGTGGGATCAGAGGCTGGTGAGGTTGGCCCTGTTGCAGCATCTGCGGGCCTTCTATGGTATTAAGGTGAAGGGTGTCCGTGGGCAGTGCGATCGCAGGAGACATGAAACAGCAGCCACGGAAATAGGGGTAAGTTCTGTGAAAAGGGATTTAGGTTTAAAAGAAAGGGCACACCCTTTATCATCACTTACTACCAGATCGTGCTAAAATGTTCACTCTGTGTATCAAAAAGAATGGTTAGGTGTGTAATTCAGTTCAGATGGTCGATTGCTGATATTTAAAAAGTGACATTCTTGTTTTTTTTCCCCCAAGGATTTTTGATCATTGAGAGAAAGTTGCAGGATTTTCCAACTTCAGCACTATTGACATTTTGGATTAGATAATTTTTGTTAGGGGAAGACGAAATGCTGTTCTGTGAATTGTGGGATGTTTAGCGGGATGTCTGTCTTTTACCCACTAGATGCTGGTAGCATCTCTCAGTTGTGACAATTAAAAATGTCTCCGGATATTGCCAGCTTACTGTATTTGGAACAGGTAGTACGTTGGGAGGGACAAAAACTCTACCCCTCCACCCTTGTTTTAGAGTAAGGTTGTAGAGGGACAAGGGAGACCAGTGCATTTTCTACATGAATCTGTAGATGAAGAAGTATGACAGAACATTAGAAATAGGCTTCAAATGATGACTGCATATTCACTAATTTGGGAAACAGATTTGCTGCTTGGCCATGTCATACTTTTGGGACAGTAAATTTTTTTTTGTATGAGTAAATTGAGAAGCCAGAGTGGAATAATTGAGAAGTTGTTGATGTTTTGGTGGTTGAAATAAAGGGATTTTGAATGAGATTTTAATAGCTCTGCCACATAATCAGGAATTCCATTGTGAAAAATAAGCTGAATGTAAAGCATTTTATTTTAAATTTATGTGCCTAATTTATATGGTACTTCCTAGTACTTGGAGACAAGCTAATAAAATTAATATACGTTGCTTTTAATAGTTTATGGTTTCTTAAAAAAAGTGCTTGGAGAAGAAAACCACTAACAAAAGTAATATGTGTGCCTCTTAATCGCTGATAAACTTTGGAGAAGTTATTTTTGTTGGTAGCAAATTAATGGCAATACATGTACTTACATTTAAAAAGCTACAGTGATTTTTTTCTGATTGTAAAACTGGCTTTCCAAGATCTCAAATGTAGCTGATTTTGTAAGTATATGGAAGAGTTTGTATATGGACTTTTTTTCACCCCTTTTCTTTTCTTTTCCTTTTTTTTTTTTTTTTTTGAGATGGAGTCTCCCTCTGTCGCCCAGGCTGGAGTGCAGTGGCGCGATCTTGGCTCACTGCAAGCTCTGCCTCCCGGGTTCACGCCATTCTCCTGCCTCAGCTTCCCGAGTAGCTGGGACTACAGGCGCCCGCCACCACACCTGGCTAATTTTTTGTATTTTTTAGTAGAGACGGGATTTCACCGTGTTAGCCAGGATGGTCTCGATCTCCTGCCCTCGTGATCCGCCCGCCTCGGCCTCCCAAAGTGGTGGGATGGCAGGCGTGAGCCACTGCACTCGGCCTTTTCACCGCTTAACAAGAAAAACTGTTGCCTGTTTTCAGAGTCAGATAGACCTGAGTTTGAGTGCTGTTCCACCCCTACTACATCTGTAAACTTGGGCTGCTTGTTTGATTTCCCTAAGCTTCAGTTTTATATATATAAAGTGGGAACGTATTTCTCCTTGGATTATTTAGGGATTTTTAAAAAGTGAAGCTCTTTATGTAGGCCTAGCACAGTGCGGGTAACATGCCACTTCTTCATCTAATGATAGTTGTCATATCATTGGTCTGCCTCCTAATTGGTAATCATGCCATATAAATTCAGCTAGAAACACTTATAAGAATATTCTAATGAAGAAATATAGAAGATCATTGTGTTAGGAGATCTAATGGGATAGTTTGTTTGAAAACAATTTCTTTAGCCGACTGGTGTTTGTTAGCTAACTGTAGTTTTAAGTTTTAAAAACATTTTATGAGATTAAATTATAGTGGTTACTTGTGAGGCCAGTTATTCTAAATAATAAGACTTAAGGAAAAAAACACGCTGAATTCTAGTTATATATAGCAGAAGTAGACTTACCAGCTTAAGTATCTGGTTTATTTTTACATTTGGTTTGGCTGCACAGTATCAAGAAAATTCTGATTTACCCAATAAAGGGGTTGCCCATACTAACATTTTTTAAAATAGTTCAGCTTAAAATGATGATCATAATATTAACAAATATTTTTTGAATGCTTACTGTGTGTCAGACACTGATACAAGTGTTTTGTATGTTTTAATTTATTTAATTCTTCCTACACCTCTATGACTTAGGATCTGTGTGAGGATACCGAGGAACAGAATGTTAATTTGATCCAGGTCACTCAGCTGTTAAGCAAGAGTTAAGATGTAAAGCCTGGCATTTTTGTGTGTGCGATGGCTCACGCCTGTAATCCCAGCATTTTGGGAGGCCGAGGCGGGTGGATAACGAGGTCAGGAGATCGAGACCATCCTAGCTAACACGGTGAAACCCCCCCCCCCCCGCCCCACGTCTCTACTAAAAATACAAAAAAATTAGCCAGGTGTGGTGGCGGGCGCCTGTAGTCCCAGCTACTCGGGAAGCTGAGGCAGGAGAATGGGTGAACCCGGGAGGCGGAGCTTGCAGTGAGCCGAGATTGCGCCACTGCACTCCAGCCTGGGCCACAAAGTGAGACTCCCTCTCAAAAAAAATACACCTGTCATTTTTGCCTTCAGGAGCCTACTCTCTTAAGCACTTACTATACTATACTGTCTTTTCAGCTTACAATATTTGTAAATTAATTGGAGCCAGGTGCTTGAAAGGGAATTAGTAAAATTTTGTTACTGTGTTGCGTCATTGACAATGCTGAGTGGTTTTTATTGTAAATATAAAGTTAAATATAATGCTCATAAAACATAAATACTTCTTGGTTGATAACTTGTGACATCAAAAAAAGTACTTCAGCATTCACAGAGCAGATGCATGTAAACTAAATTAACATGTGAGATTATGCATACCCACTTAAGTTTGAATAACCAGACATTTACAGGCTTGAATTTACCTTTCAGTGCTGTGGAAAGCGACACATTTTTAAGAGGTTCGAATGCATGCACAAAGATAGTGGCAGATTCTTTATTCTTCAGTGTGCAAAAACATTCAAGTTAACCAACACACAGCTTTACTCTTGGGATCTTCAGTGTATTAAAATTTGAATGTGAGGTTTTAAAAATGGGTTTCCAGCTAGTTAAATGAAGTTTGACTTAAATATTTGCACACTCCTGCCTTGCTTACTGCAGGGCATGGTTTGAAAAGCACTCTTCTATAGAAGGTGGAAAATGTATTAGGTATAAAAATAACTTCTTCTGATGTAATTTTAGGAAGACTCAATGAATGACAGGAATTAGTGTTTTGCTTTTCAATTGACTTAGTCTTTTGTGTAAGTATTTATAAGGTGACCAAAAGAAAGTATCTAGTAAGTATTTATAAGGTCATTAAAGCAACCTATAGTATTTTGGGGTAAATGTTAGTGTTTTGGACCAAATTCTGTTTTAAGAATTTACTGACTAACCACTAACCAAATTGACTTTATGATCAGATTGGAAACTTGAGTTTACTAGATTATTTGAGGGGAATGACATTATCTTGGCCATCTTTGTACTCCCAGCACTCAGCATACTGTCTAATATAGTAATTATTTGTTATCAAATGCACTTGAAATGATTATTTTTGTCTTGATAGATAGTTTATCATTTATTTCTGATTTTTTTTTAATTTCCTGAGTTCTTTAATTTGCCTAAAGTTTAAGAAAACTGATATTATGCCTAATATTTGTGTTAGAGTAACTGAATTTGTCATTTTAGGGTAAAATATTTGGAGTACCTTTTAATGCACTGCCCCATTCTGCTGTACCAGAATATGGACACATTCCAAGGTAAGCAGAGTTTGAAATGAAGAAGGCCGGGTGCAGTGGCATATGCCTGTAACCCCAGCATTTTGAGAGGCCGAGGTGGGCAAATCACTTGAGTCCAGGAGCTTAAGACCAGCCTGGGCAACATGGTGAGAACTTGTCGCAAAAGATAGAAAAATTAGCTTGGCGGAGCACACTTGTAGTCCCAGCTACTCAGGGGCCTGGGGTGGGAGGATTGCTTGAGCCCAGGAGGTGGAGGCTGCAGTGAGCCTTCTAGCCAGGGAAATGAAGAAGAAGAGAGTAAGCATTTCAAACTGGTTTTAGAGAGTTTAAAAGAAATAGTTGATTAAAACATAATTGTTTCAAACCAGCAAATGATTTAATCTCTCATAATGTTAAAAATATTTTTTTAACTTTTACATATTTTAAATTTATAATTTGTACTCATTCCCAGGATTGAATTTTAAAGTCCAGTAATGAGTAAATGTTAGAAATCACAAAAAATTTTTGTTCTGTTAAGTCAGTTTTCAGTTCTATGTGAATTCTTTTGCCACAACTCAGATTAAGTAATATACTGACTTACCAATTCAGTAATAATTTTGACTTTTTTTTGTTTGTTAAAAAAATATTGGCCAGGCACAGTAGCTCATGCCTATAATCCCAGCATTTTGAGGGCCGAGGCAGGAGGATCGCTTGAGCCCAGGATTTTGAGACCAGTCTGGGCAACAAAGCAAGACTCCATGTATAAAAAAAATTTTAAAGAAAAATCAGCTGGGCAAGGTGGTGTGCACCTGTAGTCCCAGCTACCTCTGAAGCTGAGGCAGAGGATTGTTTGACCCTAGGAGTTTGAGGCTGCAGTGAGCTATGCTCATTGCCACTGCACTCCAGCATTGGCAACAGAGTGAGACCATGTCTCTTGAAAACAAATATTGGATAAAAGAATATTTAAGCTAAGATATTAGAGTGTTTGTGAAAATGTATCACTTAGCTTTTCTATGCCACTTACTATTTATAAATAACCTTTTATTCTTTTTTTTTTTTTTTTTTTTTTTGAGACAAGAGTTTCACTCTTGTCGCCCAGGCTGGAGTGCAATGGCGTGAGCTCGGCTCACCGCAACCTTCACCTCCTGGGTTCAAGTGATTCTCCTGCCTCAGCCTCCGGAGTAGCTGGGATTACAGGTGTCCACCACCACACTTAGCTAATTTTTGTATTTTAGTAGAGATGGGGTGTATCACCATGTGGTCCAGTCTGGTCTCAAACTCCTGACCATCAGGTGATCTACTCGCTTCAGCCTCCCAAAGTGCTAGGATTACAGGCGTGAGCCACTGTGCTGGCCTATTCTAACTGCATCAGAACTTACTAGGAAAGTTTATGTTTTAAGAATATAATTTAGCCGGGCGCCGGGGCTCACGCCTGTAATCCCAGCACTTTGGGAGGCCGAGGCGGGCAGATTACGAGGTCAGGAGATCCAGACCTTCCTGGCTAACACAGTGAAACCCCGTCTCTACTAAAAATACAAAACATTAGCTGAGTGTGGTAGCACGCACCTGTAGTTCCAGCTACTCGGGAGGCTGAGGCAGGGGAATGGCATGCCAGGAGGCGGAGCTTGCAGTGAGCCAAAATTGTACCACTGCACTCCAGCCTGGGCGACAGAGTGAGACTCCGTCTCAAAAAAAAAAAAAAAAAAGAAAAAAAAAGAATGTAATCTAAAAATGCATATGGTGAAACTTATCCTTAATTCATTTCCCCTCCATCTAAAGTAGGGTTCATTTGGGCTACTATAGACCAATAATCTAGGTTTTAATTGACATGTCATCCAAAAGCAATTATCGAACACCTGGTTGCCTTAGGACAGTTTCCCCCCATTCATCCTATAGGTGTAGATTCACTGTCTTCTTAGGTAACCGCTTAACCATTTTGCTCTTTAAATGACCTATGAAAGGCTTGATTTTCTTATAATGAACACCTATAATGATTTTCAACAGGCCGGGCACAGGAGCTCATGCCTGTTATGCCAGCACTTAGGGAGGCCCAGGTGGTGGATTGCTTGAGCCCAGGAGTTCAAGACAAGCCTGGGCAACATGGTGAAATCTTGTCTCTACAAAAAATAGAAAAATTAGCTGGGCGTAGTGATGTGTGCCTATAGTCCCAGCTAGTCGGGAGGCTGAGGTGGGAGGATCACTTGCGCCCAGGAGGCAAAGGTTGCAGTGAGCAGTGATCGCACCACTCCAGCCTGGGTGACAGAGCGAGACCCTGTCTCAAAATAAAAACTAAAAGAAAAAAAAAAGCAGATTTTCGGCGTCTGGAATTGCAAAGTCATATTCCCAGGAATCATGACTATATCTTCATTGTAATTTCATGACCTACTTTTTATTTAATTAAAAAGACTGTTTTGTCAGTTACCTTCTGTAAATAAGGCTGACATTCAGCCACTGTGCACCAATACAGCTGTATCAATTGTTGGTAGCCGATATTCATTCTAATTTGTGGGTCCCAGCTGTTCAATATCTAGGTATCTAAAGCCAACATTGAGATTTATTTGAACATTGTTCAAAATAAAGAAATTGAGCACATTCCCCTTAATATGAAAAGGCTTGTAAGGACTGGGATATATCCTACTTTTCTGAGGGATAATGTTGGGGTGAGGAAAAAAAAACCTCGCCCTGTTTTTGGGTGATGTAGGAGATGAGAAAATCACCCATGAAGAGATAGTAGATAAAAGAAGGTGGCCTTGGACAGAGCCCTGGGTTGTTCCAGCATGTAGAGGTTTCACATAAGAGGAGTGAGAAAAGGAATTTGAGAAGGAGCAGGCAGGGAGATAGCAGGAAAACTAAAAGAGTAGTGAAAAAGTATTTTTGAGATGAACAGGGAAGGGATCAGGTGTGTCAAATGGTGATAGATCGAGCAATACGAGGACAACACACTGACCATGGATTTGGCAAGGCAGAGGCTGTTAGTGAGCTTGAAGAGAGCTATTTCTTTGGAGTAATGAGGTATGAGAATGATTGGATAGGGGTGAGTAGAGACTGAGATATGAAGAAGTAGAGGCAGAAAAAAAAGACAAGTCTTACGCTCTGAAGGGAAGCAGAAATGAAGTAGGATTGAGAAAGATAAAATTTAGTGTGCACATTGGAGTTGTTAGAAGTAAAAAGATGGGCCTTGGAGAAGAATTTGGGAAGCCAGTAGACAACTAAAAGTAACATTTCATCTCAAAGACTACAGAGATTTGTGGCTTTAGAGCCTCTGAAAGGTACGTAGTGCTTGGCCTGCTCATGTATGTTAGCAGAGGAATAGGATGTGATATGTATGTCTAGCCACCTGAAAAAATCTCTCTTTCAGCTTTCTTGTCGATGCTTGCACATCTTTAGAAGACCATATTCATACCGAAGGGCTTTTTCGGAAATCAGGATCTGTGATTCGCCTAAAAGCACTAAAGGTGAGCATATTGTTGAACTATTAATTTTTCATTTGAGCCATTTTCTGATTTGGTTTTTAAAACTGAAATATTTAGAACTATTAATATGAATAGTTGACAGAAATTGAATTTGCATTTTTTTCATGGCAGAAGATTTTTTTTTTCCAAAAGAAATGGTATATTATTTCTATCATGCTTTAAAAATTTAATAGGGTACTTTTAAATTCATGGTCCTTATTTCTATCAAGTATTATGTAAAATGAAAAAAATGTGTTAAGTTATATTGTTGTTAGCCTTCTAGAAGGAGTGATAGAGCTGAGTGTGGTGGCACATGCTTGTAGTCCCAGCTACTTGGGAGGCTAAGGCAGGAAGATTGCTTGAGCCTGGGAGTTTGAAGCCAGCCCAGGCCACATAGTCTGTGCCACATTTCTATAAAAATAAAAATAAATTCAAAAATCATTAAAAATAAAGTAGTGACATATATTAAAATAAGAGTTAAGAGAAATTTATTAAAGAAAAGTGTAATTAGAGTATAACAAAAGATACTTTATTTGCAATAAACTCTTAAGTTGCCAAAATACTCAAGATTATTATATTTATTTCAGAATAAAGTGGATCATGGTGAAGGTTGCCTATCTTCTGCACCTCCTTGTGATATTGCGGGACTTCTTAAGCAGTTTTTTAGGGAACTGCCAGAGCCCATTCTCCCAGCTGATTTGCATGAAGCACTTTTGAAAGCTCAACAGTTAGGCACAGAGGAAAAGAATAAAGCTACACTGTTGCTCTCCTGTCTTCTGGCTGACCACACAGTTCATGTATTAAGATACTTCTTTAACTTTCTCAGGAATGTTTCTCTTAGGTAAGTGGTAATTAAAACTCTTGGCAAATAATAGTTGAATTTTTCAACTAACGTTTTATGCTTGTAGATATGTACAATTTCATTTGGAATGGAAATTTTTCTTTAAAAATTCCATATTTCATTACTATGAGGAGTATACTCCAATTTAAGAAACAGCATACCAAATGATTTAATATTTCCTTATCTTAAAGTCATCATCATGAATGCCTTAATGGTTCATTGGTGTTTATAAGATTCATTGTCCACTGAAAGCCTTTGTTTACTGGGTTTTTAAAATATTTCTGTTTTGCTTTTCAAAATTTCCCTCTCCCTGCTGTCAGTGAGCCTGCTTATTCTAGACATACTTGCTGCCTTCTGATACTTCCAACTTTTTATGTGTAGGTCTGAAAATCAGATAAAGATGTTCAATTTGTGTGGAAAAGCAAAGTATGAACTCTAAGATTAGCATGGTTTTTAGAATACATATTTAAATATAGAGAGGCTATATATTTCTGGTTCTTTCTTGTGTTCAAGCCAATCATGTAGATGAAGGGTAACTATTTTGACTTGTGTATGACTGATAATAAGGTCTTCAAAATGTACTACATACGTTATTTTAACTCTTCTGTATTTTCACGTTTGGCTCCATCTAATAAAGCGTTTATTCACTTAAGATCCAGTGAGAATAAGATGGACAGCAGCAATCTTGCAGTAATATTTGCACCGAATCTTCTTCAGACAAGTGAAGGACATGAAAAGATGTCTTCTAACACAGAAAAGAAGCTACGATTACAGGCTGCAGTAGTACAGACTCTTATCGATTATGCATCAGATATTGGTAAGATGTAGTTGCATTATTAACAGAATTTGTTTAAATGAGGAAAATCTCTGTTTCTTTCAAAGGAACTATGAAGGCAACTGTTAGAAAGTTGGTATATTACTGACCTCACCCCCACCCTACAGTACCGGCCCCTCCTGCAAAGAAAAAAAGAAAAGAAATTGGTATATTAGTATCTAAACATTTTTGGGGAAGAGTGGAGGAAGGATAATAATTGTCTTACTTGTGAACATTTTCATTTAGGGCGTGTACCAGATTTTATCCTGGAAAAGATACCAGCCATGTTGGGTATTGATGGTCTCTGTGCTACTCCATCACTGGAAGGCTTTGAAGAAGGTGAATATGAAACTCCTGGTGAATATAAGAGAAAGAGAAGACAAAGTGTAGGAGGTAAGTGGCGGTCCCATTTTATGGAGGTACAGTGATTTGCTTTAATCGAAAGTACATTTCACATAAAGAAGCATGAACTGTGGTATGTGCCTTTTTGGTGCTTAAAGCACAGCTGGAAAGATAGGACGTATGCGTGTAAAAAGTTAAAGCGATAGTACAATCTAATGTTAAGTGCTACATCTTTAGCACAAACATAAAATGTGTTAAAAGGAGAAAAGTTCCCTGGATTGTAATTATCAGGGACTTGTCAAAGAGGAGCCAAACTGAACCTTCTTGAATAATGGATAGAATTTAGTGGGATTGGGTGGAGGATCAGAATACTTGTATCCTATTCTAGATGAGAAGGATGCTATGAAGAAAGGTTTGTGTAGGGAAGAAGTAACCTATGTCTAATGTAGATAGTGCAGTATGACTTGAGTGAAGTGTTCAGCATAAGGATAAAGGATGGTATTATGGTAAACTTAATGCCAGGCTAAAGAATTAGAATATTAACCTGGGTGTTGGTGAATCATTGAAGATTTATGATGTGAGGCATGATATGATTTAAAAATTTTAGAAAATTACCTGATTTGAAGAATTGAGACTTGGAAGTAGGGAGAATGGTCAGCAATGTGTGTCAGTAGTCCAGGCATCAGATTATTGTTTGAACTTGTTAGTGACATGGATTAGTTAGGAGTACGAACTAAATAATGAAGGAAATATTATCAAGGAAGAATCAGAAAGACCAAAAGACCATCATAAGATGGTAGAGTTGGTAATAAAACTTGCAATCTCCTTGATCAAGAAGTCAGAGGCCATTATTCTTCCAATTACTTTAGGAAATTTATTATCTTTTGAATATCAGAACCAAATGTTACTAACTATCCCAATCCCTTTTTCATCTTTTGGTTTATTTGTTATTGCATACTTGTGTTTCTTCTTTACCTCCTTTGTAGATAGGATAATACTGATGACTTATGTATGATTTTCCTAGGGCTACTGTAGCAAAGTACTACAAACTAGGTGGCTTAAATCAACAGAAATTTGTCTCACCGTTCTGGAGGCTAGAAGTCTGAAATCAAGGTGTTGGCAGAATGCCTGAAACCTGCAGGGGAGAATCCTTTCTTGCCTCTTCCTGGCTCCTGGTAGTGGCTGTCAGTCCTTAGCATTCCTTGGCTTGCAGCCGCGTCACTCCAATCCCTGCCTATGTCATCCTATGATGTTGCTCTGTGTCAGAACTTCCCTCTTACAGGGCACATTGGATTAGGGCCCACCCAAATGACCTCATTTTAACTCGAGTACATCTGTAAAGACACGAATTCCAAGTATGGTCACCTTCATAGGAACTGGGGGTTAGGACTTAAACATAGGTTTTTTGGAGAACACAATGCAACCCATAAAACTTCCTATCCCCAATGGAGATATTTCTCAGATGCAGATCATCTTTATTGCCCTCTTTCCCAGTCCTGTAGTTTCAGTTATCACCAGTCCTGTAGTTTCAGTTATCACATCTAAATAGATAACCACCACATCTGTACCACCGTTATCTTGAAAATGTCAGTTCCACTTTACTAATGGCTTGCTAGGGAGACCTCATCACATCTGCTTTTCATTGGTGCTTTAAGCTTAACGTTTTGAAATGACCATCTTTATCCTCTTTATCCTGGTTCTGTGTGAATTCCATTTTCTTCTAACAGCACCACTATTCCCTAGATACTCAGGCTTTAACCATGGGTTCTACCTCTTCCTCTACCATCTATAATCAGACAGTTTTCATGTCATATAAGATTCTATCTCCGTAGTGTTTATTGCATTGTTACTGTAAGAATCTTCTTGGCCGGGCGCGATGGCTTACGCCTGTAATTCCAGCACTTTGGGAGGCCAAGGTGGGCGGATCATGAGGTCAGGAGATCGAGACCATCCTAGCTAACACAGTGAAACCCCGTCTCTACTAAGAATATAAAAAATTAGCTGGGCGTGGTGGCGGGCGCCTGTAGTCCCAGCTACTTGGGAGGCTGAGGCAGGAGAATGGTGTGAACCTGGGAGGCGGAGGTTGTAGTTGGCTGAGATCGGGCCACTGCACTCCAGCCTGGGCAACATAGCGAGACTCCGTCTCAAAAATAAAAATTAAAAAAAGAATCTTCTTGGTCTTTATGCCTCCTCCTTGAATCTACCCTACATATTGCTATTAAGGCTCACTTTTTTTTTTTTTTTTTGAGATGGAGTCTGTCTTTGTCACCCAGGCTGGGGTGCAGTGATGCTACCTTGGTTCACTGCAATCTCCACCTCCTGGGTTCAAGCGATTCTCTTGCCTCAGTCTCCCAAGTAGCTGGGATTACAGGTGCACGCTACCACGCCTGGCTAATTTTTGTATATTTAGTAGAAAGGGGGTTTCACTGTGTTGGCCAGGCTGGTCTCTAACTCCTGACATCAAGTAATCTGCTTGCCTTGGCCTCCCAAAATGCTAGGATTACAGGTGTGAGCCACTGCACCTGGCCAAGGCTTACATTTTAAATGTATAACTCTACTCAAGTATCTCACACACATACCCTTCAGAAATTTTAATTGGTAATAGGGATATTTATAGCTTGGCATTAAAGGTCTTTCATAGGATTGCTCTAGCATACCTGTCTACTATTTCCTGTCTTTGAGCAACTTTAGTCAAACTATGTTATTTATTTTCCAGACACTTTTATTCATTTGCTTACACTATTTATTGATATAATGTTTTTACTTCCATCTCTACTGATCTTTTAAATACTTTTATTCGTGCCTCCATTTCCATGGTTCTTGCCTCAGTTCAGACCTTCATCTTTTGCCTTAACATGTAATGATTTCTTTTTCCCTACCCTTACTGTACATTATATGTATTTGTATTACATTTCTTTCTGTATTGTGTCTTTTTTATTTTAGGGATATGGAAGTATAAGTGGGGAATGGAATAAAAATATATCCTTTAGTATTTTTCCTATTTTGAAATAATTCCTCTTAAATAACTTAAAATTTATAAGCCGATGTAAAGTTACATGTTGAAAGAAGACTGCAAATATTAATATGAATTATTGGTGAAAGACAAGTAAATGTGAAGTTGTAATTGCTTATGCCTTGCATTTCAGATTTTGTTAGTGGAGCACTAAATAAATTTAAACCTAACAGAACACCTTCTATTACACCTCAAGAAGAAAGAATTGGTAGGTATTTATTATATGCATTTATTTAAATTAAAATTTGTATAGTATTCTATAAAATACAATTACAATAATAATTACCTAACTTAGTAATCAAATTTAGTTTAATCAAATCAAATATTATTTTTAATAGTCATACTGTACTATACACACTATGTTGTGACATTGCTAATTACATAGGCTATAATGAACCCAAAATTGTAGGCAAAAATTTTTTTAGTCTCCTGTCTTTAATCTTCTTAATCATGCTTTTCTGTTTGTAATTTAGATGCTATTAAGCGTGTGAAAATAGTTCAACCTCATTTTTATCTTAGGACTAGAAGTTCATTATTGTATATTTCAATTTTTTATTCTAATTTGCTTGTGGCTGAAATTATTCAGCCAGTAAGAGTCAACATGATCTTCTGTTTTCTAGAGTGAAGAAATGAACTGGTTAATACTCACTTATGATGAAAAGCAAAAATAATATTTAGATTAGTTTTTGTTTCAACTCCTTGATTGTAATTTCTTCCTTACATTAATATTCTTTAATGTATATCATATGCATCTTTTAGTCTGTTAGATTTAAGTAACTGCTGTCTCTTAAGAGTCTTGCCTCTGCGACTTCCTTATTTTCATTTAAGTAATTGCAGAGTGTTTTAGTTAAACAACATCTACTTAACTGATGATGTAAATATATTCTCATTTTTTGTTTAGCTCTAAGTAATAGCTTTATAAGAAGAAATTATGTAAAGCTTTTATATGTTGTCAACTCTGCAGTAGAAACAAGTTGGTTTTGTTTTGATATTTTTTCAGCCCAGCTATCTGAATCACCAGTGATTCTTACACCAAATGCTAAGCGTACATTGCCAGTAGATTCTTCTCATGGTTTCTCAAGTAAGAAAAGGAAGTCCATCAAGCACAATTTTAACTTTGAGCTGTTGCCAAGTAATCTCTTCAATAGCAGTTCTACACCGGTATCAGGTAGCAAATAGAATTTATATAAATGGATTGTAAAGATTAAAATGAGTGCCTATTCTGGGCACAGTGCAATTTCATATTAATAATACCACCCTTAGGAACTAGAACTTTATTCTGTTTTATCCAACCTATGAATTTTTATAAAACCCCCTGCCTTTTAAAATAGACACTGTTTCAATATAGTGTGTGTGTGTGTGTGTGTGTGTGTGTGTGTGTTATGACAACATCTATTGAAAGTTGTGATAACCCAGAGTAGTAGTTTGGGCTTCTGGTGATAGCATTGATGCTTAGGTTTTATGTGATTAGACATCCTGAATCCTGCTATAGTTACATCTGGGTCTATAGCTGTGGCTTTATTGCTGTCATTTGTTGAATTGAGGTTGCCAGATGTTTGATCATGTCTGATTCCCAAGTGGGAGCGTTACTATTGCAGGTTATGGTTTGAAAATGAGGGTATTTTTAAAGTTTTAGACTCAAGTACCTTTTGTAAAAGCTTTAGAACTTTGTTGACGCTGTTCCTTGTGCCATGGCTTCCAGATCCCTTACCAGCCCAGCCATTTTCTTCCATATTAACTACAAGTTCTAATGTGGCCAACCAGAGCCTTCAGAGAGTAATAGAGTATGATCATGCTAATCCGGAGATTAGTCTGGGTCTTAGATTCAATTGGCTCTTTTAGCATATACAGAATTCAAGTTGGCTCATATTAACCTTACGATCAACCAAAAATGAAATGAAACTCTAAGCCCAGGGTCCTCCATCTCATTTATCTTACATTTAGTCAAAATGTGAGTGATCTCTGATTATTTTAGATTTTTTATTTTGTTGGTTTCAGACAATGTTAAGTTTCATTTTTGATTCATTATCTGAGTTATATGAGTTCCTTCCCAAAGCCTGTCTCTTTTTTCTGTTGTCCAAAAGGGTTCTTATTTGTTTTATTGAGAAGTTGAACAGAATAGCAACTTGAGGTTTTCCAGAAAAAAACACTTCTTCACAGGTTCTCTAGGGCTCATTGAAATGTGATGATAGTAACTCTGAAGCTTATGTCTGTAGCTTTTGCAGTGTTCACAGGTTGGAGACTTAAACTTTTTTAAGTAACATAGTTCAGTTGTTTTTTTTTTTGAATATATCCTTTGCAGTTTGGAGGACTTTTTCCAAATGGCAAATGGGAGTTGTAGTTCTACCTGCCTTTGCTTATTAGCATTACATTTTCCCCAAGGAATGAACATACTGATTCCTTCTTCTCCTCCTCCAAGCTCCCAAAACAGAGGTTAAACAGTCTTGTGCTATTTTTAGTTTGAGCTTGCCTAATCAATGAATTTTTTTATAAAAAAATTTAAAAGTTCAACAATAGTAATCGTATTATTTTTACACCACTTTTCTTTGACCCTACTTTCTCAGCCACAATTCAACAAATTCCATTTGCAAAATTGAAAATAGATTGATTTCTAAGTTTAGATTATAACAAATATGATGCTTTTAAAAATATATAAAGGCAACATTAGTCTGTAGTCCATAGAGTATCTATTCATAATTGTCTCTTTTTTTTTTTTTTGAGACAGAGTTTTGCTCTTGTTGCCCAGGCTAGAGTGCAATGGCACAATCTCGGCTCACTGCAGCCACCACCTCTCAGGTTCAAGCGATTTTCCTGCCTCAGCCTCCCAGGTAGCTGGGATTATAGGTGGCCACCACCACACCTGGCTAATTTTCTTTTGCATTTTTAGTAGAGACGGGGTTTCACCACGTTGGCCAGGCTGGTCTTGAACTCCCGACATTAGCTGATCAACCTGCCTTGGTCTTCCAAAGTGCTGGGATTACAGGTGTGAGCCACCATGCCTGGCCATAATTTTCTTACAGATGTGATAAATTTGCATTGTTCCATATATTCTGACTGTGCCTCCTGCGACCATTGACACATTTTTTATTTTTATTTTTTGAGACGGAGTCTCGCTCTGTCTCCCAGGCTGGAGTACAGTGGCATGATCTTGGCTCACTACAACATCCACCTCCGATGTTCAAGTGATTCTTGTGCCTCAGCCTCCTGAGTAGTTGGGATTACAGGCATGCACCACCACACCCAGCTAATTTTTGTATTTTTAGTAGAGATGGGATTTCACCATGTTGGCCAGGCTGGTTTGAACTCCTGGCCTCAAGCAATCCGCCCACCTCAGCCTCCCAAAATACTGGGATTACAGACGTGAGTCACGGTGCCTGGCCGGACACATTTTTAAAGTGACTAGACTGCAGCCCTAGAATAAAGCTACTTATGTCACTTTAGATGTATAATATTGGCTTCCAAAATTTTCTTTAGCTAAATGCACCCAAAAGTTTCTAAGGTGGTTGTATTTTTTCCGTTTTCATAATTGAAAAAATGTGAATGTCTCTGGGAAACTTTGTGAATTCTTTATTAATAACTCAGATGAATTGAGAGGGTTCATGTTTGTTGAATGTGTCCTGGGCGTGATTCAAACATAAATGTATATGGAGCCTTTGTTCATAACTATTTTACTTCTTTCGTAATTGTTTACTATAGTTGATTTCATAATATAAATGGTGTTAAATAATTGAGCTTCTGTTGTACCAGTAATTATTTGCATGGAACACAGCAGCAGCCAAGGGATTAGGAATGTGTTATAGAATAATTAGTTTTTGTTTACTTGCCAAAAATATTGAACAAATTACATTCCGGAGTCAGGTGGGTAGCAGTTGGCCAGCAGGTATATCTCAAATACTCAGATTCCAACTTGTTTGCCAATAGCTTATTTTTTATAATACCATTAATTGGTATTATGTACTAGATACTGACTAAATATTTTATATAGATAACAGTAATATTCATCATAGAAGTCCGTTTTCAGAGCCTAAAGCCATTTAGTAAGTGATGGAGCAAACTCAAGCCTGTCTCCAAATCTTGTTCTTTTTCCAGTCTGCAATGGTGCCTATCCCTGCCTTGTATTATTAACAGAGTTTAAAGAAAAGCTCTAATATAAAAGTAATGCTTAAGCTGACCTTTAATTGGCAAGTCAAAAGTAAAAAATGAATGCTTTTTCTTAGCTGAGTTGGGTTATTTGACACTTGAAGTTTCTAACCAGAAATTAAGTGATTTCGGTTGTTGCTTGGGATAGAAATTAAGGCTTTGAATCTAATTGCTGCTATTACTATTTTATACTTTAAAAGGAAAATAGATATGTGTGGTATATTACATGTGGTTATTTTTGTAGTTCACATCGATACAAGCTCAGAAGGGTCATCTCAGAGTTCACTCTCTCCTGTACTCATTGGTGGAAACCATTTGATCACTGCAGGTGTGCCAAGGCGAAGTAAAAGAATTGCAGGCAAAAAAGTTTGCAGGTACTTTATCCAGGACATTTTGTTTTCATCGGATAAATATTTGGTGTACACATAATTAATAAAATGTTTTGTCTTTCTGTCAAGCATCATATTTGAGTCATAATTTTTTAAAATCCCTTCTGCCTTTATAGTCTTATTAATCAATTGCCTTTTCAATACCCACCAGAGAAAAATTACTAATTTGAGTCCGCTTTGCTTGCTTAAAATCCTATTTTATGTTGATGGTGTAATTTTAAAATTTCCTGTTAGAGGCTGGGCACGGTGGCTTATGCCTGTAATCCTAGCACTTAGGGAGGCTGAGGTGGGTGGAGCACTTGAGCTCAGGAGTTCAAGACCAGCCTGGGCAACATGGCAAAACCTCATCTCTACTAAAAAGTACAAAAATTAGCCAGGCATGGTGCCACATGCCTGTAGTCCCAGCTACCTGGGAGGCTGAGGTGAGAGGATCATCTGAGCCCAGGGATGTCAAGGCTACAGTGAGCAGTGATTATGCCATTATACTCCAGCCTGGGCCGCAGAGTGAGACCCTGTCTCAAAAAATAAAAAACAAAGAAAAAAATTCCTGTTAGGTTAAAAAGCTAGCCTATTCTAACAATTCTGAGTTATAACTGACTGACTAACTTTTAAGATTAGCAGATCATTTTTTATGCAAATGCAGTGTGTTCATGTATGGTATCTTAAAGTTGAACTGTTTTTAAAGAATTATTAATCCATCCAATTATTATCAATATGATTTGCTGTGGACTTTATTTCAAATTTCGTATTTCAAGTATTTCTCTGGTGTTTATACTATAAACTGACATTTTTAATTCCACTTCTTCTAGAGTGGAATCAGGAAAAGCAGGCTGCTTTTCTCCTAAAATCAGCCATAAAGAAAAGGTTCGAAGATCTCTGCGTTTGAAATTCAATCTAGGGAAAAATGGCAGAGAAGTAGTAAGTTTCTTACCATTTTATTGATCTTTATATTAGCATAACGCTATAAACTTGATACTAAAAAACACTCATAGCCCTACCTTCCTTCCAGTGACTGTCTCATTCTGTTCTTTTTATCCAAAACTCTTATACTTGAGTTGATATCAAATTTCCTTGCATTGGAGTACCCAAAGCTTAGTCCTTGGACTTCTCTTTTTTCTCTCCACTCACTCAAGGTGATCATCAGTTTTAAACATTATATACAGGTTGAGTAGCACTTATCCAGAATGCTTGAGACCAGAAGTATTTCAGATTCCCCATTTTTGGGGGGGATTTTGGAATATTTACATTATTTTTACTAGTTCAGCATCCCTAATCTGAAAGTCTGGAATGCTCCAGTGAGCATTTTCTTTGAACATCATGTCAAATACTTAAAAGCTTTGGATTTTTGGAGCATCCAGAACTTTGGCTTTTCAGATTTGGAATGCCCAACCTGTATTTACTTAAAACTTCCAAGTTTATGTTCTCTAGTCCCAAATGCTCTTCTGAATGACTCCGCTGTCTCTTAACATCTGCTTTTTTGACTCTCCTACTTGGATATCTAATCCAATAGGCATTTCAAATGTAACCTGTCCCAAGCAGATGGATTTCTTTGCTGCTGCTATGCCCTGCACCAAACAACACTTTTACCTGTGGTTTTCCCTATCTCAGTTATGGCAAATCGTTCTTCCAGTCACTTAAGCCAAAAACCATGGTCAAATCCTTGATTCCTCACTTTCTCTGAGACACCATGTCTAATCCATTAGAGAATCTTGTCTAACTTCTGCTTTTAGAGTATCTCCAAACTGACCAGTTCTCACTATTACTACTTTTCCCACTTTCTCTAAGTTCTGTCATCTCTCAGCTGGATTACTCTAGTAAACTCCTGTTAATAGTTCTTCCTTCTCCTACCCTTGCTGCAGTTCTGTAGTTGAAATTTATCTTTTAAAATCTGTTAGGTTATGTAGTTTTCTGCTCAGAACTCTCCAGTGACTCCTCGTTTCACTCTGAATAAAAGCCAGAGTTCTCATGTTGACCTGCAAAGGCCTCACGTGATCTGTTCTCAGGCTGCATTTCTGAGCTCTCCTCCAGTCCCCCTTGCTCACTCTGCTCCAGTCTCAGAGACTGCACTGGCATTCTGCTCTTTCTGTAGTGTTCTTCCCCCTTAAATCTTCATGGCTCTCACCTTTGTTTTGTTTTACTCACAAATTATCTCCTCATCACCCTATTTTAAACTAAACCTCCATTCTTCACCACTCCATATCCTTTTTACTCTGTTTTACTTTTCTCCGTAGCACTTTTCACCTTGTATATTGTATTTATGCAATATAATTTACTGTTTATCTTAAGTCTAAATTTCCCCATCTAAATAGAATGTAAATTACATAAGGATAAGATTTTGGTCTAGGTACCCCACTGCCCCAACTATTTGTGAACAGGCCCTAGCACAGAGTCAGAGCACACACAGAAATTATTTTAATTAATATGTGAGACTGTTTTAAAAATAGATCATAAAATATCAACTAATAGCAAAATCAAATGATTACAGTTTTCATTAGCAGGCAAGAATGTTTGTCATTGTTAAGAATTGTTTCTCAATTATATATCCCTTTTTAAATCAGCTAAAGATTTTGATAACTACAAAAAATTATTCTGTCTTTATATTTTGAATTAACTAGGCTTATTTCTTAACTAAAACTTTTTTTTTTCTGTACAGAATGGATGTTCTGGTGTCAATAGATATGAAAGTGTTGGTTGGCGACTTGCAAATCAACAAAGTTTAAAAAATCGAATTGAATCTGTAAAAACAGGTTTGCTTTTTAGCCCAGATGTTGATGAAAAGTTACCAAAGAAAGGTACATTTACATACTACTGTTAGAGTTTTACCTAAAAATCCTGCTTTAGTTGCTTTTTTAATGGCAAAACATATTAATTAATTTACTGTTCTAGAGATTAAAAGTTCATGTTTGAATAGTGAAAATATTAGAATTGGCAATGTATTTTTCTATCAACAATTGGGAAATGCTTATACATGTAAATATGAAAATGTTTGACATTCTTATGTTAAAAATTATTTCTTGTAACACAAATACTTTATTAGAATTAAATGCTTAGTGACTTATTTGCCATGTGCTTGGGTATTATTTCAAAACAAGGTTAAATACAAAGGATTAAGCACTGAACTGCTTTATTTTAGGTTCAGAAAAGATCAGTAAGTCTGAGGAAACCTTACTAACTCCAGAGCGACTAGTTGGAACAAATTACCGGATGTCTTGGACAGGACCTAATAATTCAAGTTTTCAAGAAGTAGATGCAAATGAAGCTTCTTCAATGGTGGAAAATCTTGAGGTAGAAAACTCTTTGGAGCCTGATATTATGGTAGAAAAGTCACCTGCTACTTCATGTGAACTCACCCCTTCCAATTTAAACAATAAGCATAATAGCAACATAACAAGTAGCCCTCTTAGCGGGGATGAAAATAACATGACCAAAGAGACTTTGGTGAAAGTTCAAAAAGCGTTTTCTGAATCTGGAAGTAATCTTCACGCATTGATGAATCAGAGGCAGTCATCAGTAACTAATGTGGGGAAAGTAAAATTAACTGAACCATCTTATTTAGAAGATAGCCCAGAGGAAAATCTATTTGAAACTAATGATTTGACTATAGTAGAATCAAAGGAGAAATATGAACACCACACTGGTAAAGGTGAAAAATGTTTTTCAGAGAGGGACTTTTCACCCCTTCAAACTCAAACATTTAATAGAGAAACAACTATAAAATGTTATTCAACTCAGATGAAGATGGAACATGAAAAAGACATTCATTCAAATATGCCAAAAGATTATTTAAGCAAGCAAGAATTCTCCAGTGATGAAGAAATAAAGAAACAGCAGTCCCCAAAGGATAAACTAAATAATAAATTAAAAGAGAATGAGAATATGATGGAAGGTAACTTACCGAAGTGTGCAGCACATAGCAAGGACGAGGCTAGATCCTCTTTCTCACAGCAGAGTACATGTGTTGTAACAAACTTGTCAAAACCTAGGCCTATGAGAATTGCTAAACAGCAGTCATTGGAAACATGTGAGAAAACAGTTTCTGAAAGTTCACAAATGACAGAACATAGAAAGGTTTCTGATCACATACAGTGGTTTAACAAGCTTTCTTTAAATGAACCAAATAGAATAAAAGTCAAGTCACCTCTTAAGTTTCAGCGTACTCCTGTTCGTCAGTCCGTCAGAAGAATTAATTCTTTGTTGGAGTATAGCAGACAACCTACAGGGCATAAGTTGGCGAGTCTTGGTGATACAGCTTCTCCTTTGGTCAAATCAGTGAGCTGTGACGGTGCTCTTTCCTCTTGTATAGAAAGTGCATCAAAAGATTCCTCTGTTTCATGTATCAAATCAGGTCCTAAAGAACAGAAGTCCATGTCATGTGAAGAGTCAAATATTGGTGCAATTTCAAAGTCAAGCATGGAGTTACCCTCGAAATCTTTCTTAAAGATGAGGAAGCACCCAGATTCAGTGAATGCTTCTCTTAGGTCTACTACAGTTTATAAACAGAAGATCTTATCTGATGGCCAAGTTAAGGTTCCCTTGGATGATCTGACTAATCATGATATAGTAAAACCAGTTGTAAATAACAACATGGGCATTTCTTCTGGGATAAATAACAGGGTCCTTAGGAGACCATCAGAAAGAGGAAGGGCCTGGTACAAAGGTTCTCCAAAACATCCTATCGGAAAAACTCAATTACTACCAACAAGTAAACCTGTAGATTTGTAATTGGTAAATGTTATACTTGTCATTAATGTAAATAAAGTGAGTAATTGGTATGACTTGCAGGATGATGTACATGTTAGTTTGTAGCTCAGGATGATTGTTAAGCAATAGATTTGCTCTATTGAAAATGTTTCATTTTTTTCACTGTACAAGCAACTTAGATTTTTATTTGTACAAATTACTTCTTTGTTTTTCTTAATGATGGCAATTTTTAAACTTTAATTTTATTGTGATCTCTTAAAGCAGAGGTTAGACTTTACCTTTCTGACTCTGTCGTCCAGGCTGGAGTGCAGTGGCGCAATCTCACCGCAAGCTCCACTTCCTGGGTTCATGCCATTTTCCTGCCTCAGCCTCCCGAGTAGCTGGGACTACAGGTGCCCGCCACCACGCCCAGCTAATTTTTTGTATTTTTAGTAGAGACGGTTTCACCGTGTTAGCCAGGATGGTCTCGATCTCCTGACGTTGTGATCCGCCCGCCTCAGCCTCCCAAAGTGCTGGGATTACAGGCATGAGCCACCACGCCCGGCTAGACTTTACCTTTCTAAAGAAATTGTTTACTGGATTTATAAGAAGTTAATTTTTGAAAATGACATATTTTTGTGTGATAGAAAGAATGGAGCAAGTTGTGCCTATTTCCTCCAAGTCAGATAAGGTTTCTAAAATAAATAAATTTCTAGCATATAAAGGGTAGAGATAAACTCTGCAAATCTTATGTCTGGAATTATATTAATGTTTATTGTCCTTGCCAAAATTCCTAGAAATTAATTTCCTTCAATAGCATCCTAAAACTCTATTTTTATTTGGGGCAGAGTAATTTCATTTATAGTGCCAGTAGGTGTACCTTGTGTTCACTCGAACTAAGAACAATGGTTAAGGCAGAATAATGACTAAAATATGTTCATATATTATGATGTGGAAATAATTGATAACTTTTAAGCCATACTATGTTTTTAAAGATAATTTGCACAAACACGTTTGTGTCTGTTCTGTCCAATATAGATTTGGCAATTATTTAAAGAGGGATAATCTTGAAAAAAATTAACCAAGGTGATTTCTTATATGTAGATGCTCGATTTTGGAATTTGAAATAGTAGATGCACCTCTTTACCTTTTTTACTTGGATAAAAACCTATGATGATTTTGTCCTGTGTGTAAATGTTATTTATTTAGCATAGACATTAAAGATAACTCTCTGGAAAATGACTTGACTAAGGCTCTCATGAAATTCAAAGTGCCATTTAGAACATGCACCAAATTGTCAAGTAAATCTGTCTAAATTTATATTTTAAATTATTACAAATTACACATCTTTGAGGAAAGAGTATTATGAACAATAGAACATATTCTCTAGGTTGTAGAGGAAGGAATAAGCAGACAGAATCAACCACTAAAGGTAGTTTTTCAGATTGGTTGTTAGAATGTCATGTTTAGATGTTGGAGCAGATTAGAGCAGCATTCATGCCACTCGGAGCAACCAGACTTACAGCATAAGTATGTACGAGGAATTTCAAATCATCAGATGTTTGCTTGGCTAGGTTCTACTTTGTTTATTTGATATCAAATAGGTTTGTAGATGTTTATGGCATTTCTAATTGTAAGTAGAGACAAAATATTCATATAGTCAGATATATGTTGTCTGCTTTAAACAATTTTTAAATTTTAAAAATGCATTAACGTCTTTTTATATCCATCAAGGGAAGGATGAAATGTTGAATTTGAAGACTAATTCAGTAAGAAGTCCTAGGGGTTTAACTGTACATACTACCTGAACTGGCTTTTCTGAGAGATGAATCAATAATGAAACATGTCTGTTTTAAAAACTACCACATGTGACTCCTATTTTTGTTAGCTGAAAGCTGCTATACGGAGTATTACAGGAATGTGAAGGTGACTAGCTTGAAGGTAGGGTAACTAGAGAGCCAGAAAAGTTTTGTTTTAAACTTGATTTAATGCGTTTTTATTTTTTCTTATACAAAATAGAGATAATGTTGCTAACTTCATGGAATATTTGAGGAAATGATATGAAAGTGTCTGGACGTGCAGTAACCTCATGGGTTCTTCTCACTGTCTTATAAATGTAAATAAAGATCTAATATTAATTTGGTTATCTAATAACAACTTAATACATAGAACTTAGTAGACTGCATGGCCACATTCTATAATATGATCACTAAGAACTTAATGTAGGATTTTAATAGTCATGTTTTTCTTAATTGTGGCAGAATTTAAACCTTAATTTTGTGATCTTTTTTAGTTAGTTTGTTTTTTGTTTTCTTTTCTTTTTTTTTTTTTTTTTTTTTTGAGGCGGAGTCTCACTCTGTCGTCCAGGCTGGAGTGCAGTGGCACAATCTCAGCTCACCGCAACCTCCATCTCCCGAGTTCAAGCGATTCTTCTGCCTCAGCCTCCCAAGTAGTTGGGACTACAGGCATGCACCACCACGCCCAGCTAATTTTTGTAGTTTTAGTAGATACGGGATTTCACCATATTGGCCAGGCTGATCTCGAACTCCTGACCTTGTGATCCTCCCACCTTGGCCTCCCAAAGTGTTGGGATTATGGGCGTGAGCCACTGCACCTAACCTCTGTGATCTCTTAAATATATATGAAGTTTTATTTTTGAAACACCAAATTTCAAATGAAGCATAGGCATTTTGATCTATTTCAGTTAAATTTAACACAAAAGCAGTAAATTGTAGTGACTTCATTTTTTTCAACCACAAAATGAAGATAACAATGAACAAAGCTAAAGTAAAACTCAGAATTGAAAAAAGTCTCTGTGCATCAATAATAAATACTAACTCCAGCATGGCCAGTGAGCCTAGAGCCATTTAATGGATAGTGTTTGTCCTGTTGATTTAGCATGCATTGAAACAAGAAGCAAGAAGCAGATGAGCATCCGTGAAAGAAAAAGTACTGGGAAAGAGGCTTGGCTTCAAAATGAAAGGCCATGTGTCTCATAAATGAATTTTGCCAGCCTCTATTTATTGCATAAAAATTGCTGTAGATGATAATGGATTTGCTCTCTAGAGCTAAGATAAATAGATCTGGATTCTAACCTCATCAGGTTACTTGTTTTGAGACCCCCAGGTTCTTTACTCATCCTCCATCTTGATCAAATTTGTAGTGCCATATTTATTGTATGGCTTTACATTTTGATTTTAGTATTTGAACAAATTTCAGTGTTCAAGATTGCACATAGTAGGTGCTCCATAAACCCTTATTTAAGAA
Organism: Homo sapiens; assembly: GCF_000001405.40. Lineage (NCBI taxonomy): Eukaryota > Metazoa > Chordata > Mammalia > Primates > Hominidae > Homo > Homo sapiens. The sequence continues at coordinate 4,693,203 of NW_011332701.1, forward strand.
TCTGGGACTACCTGGACATACTTCTACAGTATGCTGGGAGTATGGTTTCTCTTCAGGCCAAAGTGGAATTTTACTTGATGGTTTGTGTGGACGTTTAGAAATAACACTCAGAGCTGATATTTCTACAGATTTTCAAGTTTATCACTTTAATGGAAGTTTCTGGCTTCTTGTATTAAATATCCCCATAGTTTTCCTGATTAGTAAGAGGCCCCTCAGAGCAGGGTATACCTTATCATAGCCACCATTAAAAGTTCTTAGGACTTCATCTTTTGTCTCTCTACCATTCATTGCCTCTTCCCTCTTGAAGCTGAAAGGCTTTAGACACAAAAACAAAAAACATATTCTAGAAGTTGACAAAATTAAAGGTGTGCTGTAGTGGTGATCTGGCACGTTGTAATTGAGACTGAGGAGGTGAATGACTTACATGGAGGTCGATGGAGCTGAAGAGGGTCTCTAGGAAATGTCATAGTCAAGAGGTTTGTATGCAGAATGTGGGGGTTGAAGAGCTGTGCGGCTCCTGGTGAGAGGCACACTTATCTGGGATGCAGTCTGGGGAGTCCTGGCGAGGCAGCTTCCACCTGCTGGAGGAGGGGCCGGGGCGGAGCTAAGATGCGGAGGAGGGTGACGCACTAGCTCTCCAGTTCGCCCGTTCCTGGCCTGACCCCCACCAAGGCCCATACCGCAGTAGGCTCCTCGGGCTGCCCCTCGGTGAGTACAGTTTTGATGTCGGCTCGGCCGCCTGCCGCCAACCCGAGATTTGGTATTGCCAGTTGTGGGAGGGCGTCCTGCTAAAATCCTTGAGGTGGAGGCTGGGGTCAGACAAAGGATGCGTAGGGGATTAGAATGTTTGGCTATCAGTAAGGGGAAGGGAGTACTGAGGGAGGAGATTGTGTAGTTCATCAAATCAGAGCGGCGTTTGCTGGGATGACATCCTGCATTCAGAGTGGACAAGGGAAAGATGGAGATGGAGAGCCTCGTGTCTGCCTCCAGCCTTTTCCATCAGAATTGCAGATTTTGCTGTTAAACAGCTACTCTCAGCTCTTTGGAGAGCAAGGTTTTATATCTAGTGGCTAGAAAAGGCCTTTTCTTTGCAGAAAAAGAAATTGGAGGGTATAAAAATTTTTGTTTCAGTAAAGGAAATGCACGATTTTGCCTCCTCCCACCTCTCCATCCCCCATCCTCAGTAGAAGAATGATTAGAAGGAGGGTTTGCGCCGGTCCTGGTGGCTCACGCCTGTAATCCTAGCGCTTTGGGAGGCTGAGGGGAGGGGGTGGATCACCTGAGGTCAGGAGTTCGAGACCAGCCTGACCAATATGGTGAAACCCTGCCTCTATTAAAAATACAAAAATTAGCCGGGTTTGGTTGTGGGCGCCTGTAATTCCAGCTACTCGGGAGGCTGAGGCAGGAGAATCACTTGAACCTGGGAGGTGGAGGTTGCAGTGAGTCGAGATGGCGCCACTGCACTCCAGCCTGGGCAACAAGAGTGAAACTCCGTCTCAAAAAAAAAAAAAAAAAAAAAAAAAAGGGTTTGCAAGGCCGCTGCCTGAAGCATGCATCCAAACACGTTAAGCAGCTGTGGGGTAAGCTGCAAGGATAATGTTCACTTGTTTTGCAGACATACCCATAGAAACCAACATTTTGGACAGGTTGACCCTCCCACCCCCAGGCTAGTTAACTCCCTCTCACCACCACTGCCTCCCCATATTCTAACCTCCAGAACTGTTAAGGCAATGTTAGCAACATAATAATAGCAATATAGGGGCTCATTCTGTGCCTGGCATTGTCCTAAACACTCTTAACATGTATTTGCACACACCCTCACAACAACCCTAAAAGGTAAATGCTTTAATTATCTCCGTTTTGCAGAGGAGGAAACTGAGGGACTTGCCTACGATCACTCAGCATGTGGCTGAGCAAACAAACCTCAAACTACCCCAGCAGATTGCAGGGCTGGATCTAAGGAACATTTTCCTTCCTTTCAGGATCGCAAACGTATTGGATGTTTGCTAAACTGAAATGTTTCCCTGCCACCACTCCCAACCTTCCTGAGCTTCTTGATTTGTGTCTTCCTGACTCCCTCCTGTTAGACTTTTATTCCCAGAGACTGGGAAAACCCAAGATGCCACTATCTCTTTCTCAAAATGTAAGCAAGTTTGGTTTATTTGTTTTAGTAAGAGAGGGAGAGAGTGATGAAGTTAGGAGTAATGCAGAACTTTCAGGGAGCTACAAGGAGGATAAAAATTATGAGTGAGAACCGCCATTCCAGCCTAGCTTTCTCAAGAATGCAAACAGAGGGAATTGGATACCTGCAACTGTTTTGTTTAATACCTTTCTGCAATGATGCTCTGCCTAGCATGGAAACTTAAGACAAAAGCAACCTCCTAAGGATTCTTTGTTACAACCCCTTTCTGGGTGGTCCTCGAACCACAACCTGGAGTGGTTGCATCATTATAATTGTATTATCACAATTGCCGATTGTAGCCTATCAGTATACATTTGGTCTTTTATCTGCAGGTTGACAATGGTCTCCAGGATGGTCTCTACCATGCTATCTGGCCTACTGTTTTGGCTGGCATCTGGATGGACTCCAGCATTTGCTTACAGCCCCCGGACCCCTGACCGGGTCTCAGAAGCAGATATCCAGAGGCTGCTTCATGGTGTTATGGAGCAATTGGGCATTGCCAGGCCCCGAGTGGAATATCCAGCTCACCAGGCCATGAATCTTGTGGGCCCCCAGAGCATTGAAGGTATTTACTGTGTTCTGATGGTTTGAAGTTTCCGTTAGCATTTTAAATAATATATTTGCACACTTCTCACAACAACCTTATAAGTAGATGCCTTTATTATCCTATTTTTTTCAGAGGAGGAAGCTAATTTTTAAGAGACTCTACTTTCTCATGGTTTTCCCTTTCTTCTTCTACACAGTGTCTACATACTTACATATACACACCCACATGAGACTATAAGTCCTGTGAGAGCAGGGACCTTATCTATCTAATTCATAGCTGTAGCCCTAGCACCTAGCACAATGTCTGGTACATAATAGGTGCTCAATTAATGTTTGTTGAATGAATGAAGGAGCATCTAGTGTTATCACTAAAGAAAGATTAGAACCCAGACATGATGTTTTCTCCTCACTGCTGATCTTCAGGAAATTGTGTCATCAGATAGCTGCCTTTTGAGTCAATGCCAGCCAGTACTTGTAAAAGAGCTTCAAAATGTAGAACCTACAGGATCTGACTTGATTCCTAGGAATGACTCCAGTATACCCAAGAGGAGACAAAAGAGGTACTGACATTAAGAGTTTACGTGAAAGCTTTTGAAAATATTTAAAAATATAACAATTTTATTAAATAATAAATTAAGAATAATTAAATCGTTTTAAGGTGGCAAGACCATTTTCCCCCTGAAGTTTTCCAAGTTTCTGGCAATGTGGTCATAATACTTGTATTAGAAAGCAGTACTTCATTTGTTTGTTGTTTAATGATTTGTTTATAAAGAGAATCTAGCTTCTATGAGCTGGTGATGCAGCGTTAGACAGATTCCTTATTTCCATGCTTTGCTTTTTATCCTCTGATTCTAATGATCTCCTTCTCCACTAAGGCAGAATCCTAAAGAAGTAGCATGGTTAATTTCAGTTAAATGCAAGGGAGCATTTCCTTATAGTTCAAGGATTTGCCCATGGAGTGGGTCCGAAGGAAAATGAGAATTATCTCTAAAAGCATACCAACCAAATGCTGTTTGTTCCCTACAGATTGATTATGCACTATTTTGCCAGAGTCTGTGATTTTCTAAAAATGCTATCTGCCCTAGGGTTCTGTGAATGCCATGAATATTGTTGATAGATGATTCTTATTTCTGTTTTGTTACCCATAGTTTTAAGCCATTGAGTAAAACTAATTCGGTGAGATTGTAGTCTGTTTAGGTTGACATTTGATTTCAGGAGTGGATTAACACAAATGCGTTGAATCGGCAAGCATGCAAACCTAGCACATGGCTTGAATTAGAACAAATCCGACAGAGCTTCCTGTCATCCCTTTTAGGGAGAATCTCAGTCCTTCTCAGCATCTGTCACCGTTACTTCAAGCACACCTATATATTTCAGGCCAGCTCTTTTGAGACAAACAATAAATATCTACCTTTTTAAGGCAGGAAGTGCTTGGTTATTCACCTAAGCTGTTGTCATGGAGCTCTCTGAGTTTCCACTAATACCTGAGGCCTGATCAGCTGTGCTGGAAAAGAAACAGCCACTCCCGGGGCATCAAAAGCCTCTTTATCCAGAGACTCCATTCCCTCCAGTATCCAACTATTTAGTACCCACTATATACCAGGCACTAGGCAGGAGACTGGTGCAGCTCTGCCCTAAAGATTCACAGTCTGAGTGGAGAGGGAAGTGGGGACACACATCAAAAGTTATGACAGTGCATCCCAGCAGGTGTTTTGATAGATGTACACACAAGCTGCCGCCGTGGAAGCAAACAGGAGTAATTTAGTCTGCTTAGGAGTGGATGGGGTGGCTATAAGGAAATGCTGCTTTGAAGAAGCAACATTTGACCTGGGTTTTGAAGTTTGAGTAAGAGTTCATCAGGGAACCATAAGTGTAAAGGCATGGAGGTACAACTATTATGTACCCACAAAAACTAAAAAAATAAAAGGCATGGAGACATGAAAGATCATGGATTAGGACAATTCAGAATTAAAAACTCTGTTTCCCTTATTACCCTTGGAATAATGTGCTTAACATAGCAATTTTTTTTTCTTCTTTTTGAGACAGAGTCTCACTCCGTCACCCAGGCTGGAGTGCAGTGGTGCAATCTTGGCTCACTGCAAGCTCTGCCTCCCGGGTTCACACCATTCTCCTGCCTCAGCCTCCTGAGTAGCTGTTTACAGGCGCCCGCCACCACGCCCGGCTAATTTTTTGTATTTTTAGTAGAGATGGGGTTTCACCGTGTTAGCCAGGATGGTCTCCATCTGACCTCATGATCCGCCTGCCTCGGCCTCCCAGAGTGCTGGGATCACAGGCGTGAGCCACCACACCCGGCCTAACATAGCAATCTTAAGTCTCCCCTATCAGTATCTGTGGAAGGGATGAATACTGACTTGAATTTTAGTTTTCTATTACTGTATAACAAATTACCACAAATTTAGCAGTTTCACACAGCATTCATTTATTATTTGAGTTTTCCACTGCTCAGGAGTTTGGTGCGGATTAGTGTTCAGGTGCTGACCAGAGGTGTCGTCTTGGCTGCAGCTTGCGTCCTCTTCCAAGCTCGTTAAGGCTGTTGGCAGAATTCCATTTGAATTATATTGTAGGACTGAGTTCCCTTTCTCTTGCTGGCTGTCAGCCAACCAAAGCCCCTCTCAGCTCTTAGAGGCCGCCTCAGGTTGTAAGCCACATGCCTTCTCATAGCTGGAAGGAGAATATCTCTTTAGTCTTCTAATTATAATGTAATATGATCCTGGGAGTGACTATCCCATGACCTTTTTCAGATAACAAGGGACTGATATCTCATTATATTCCCAGCAGGTGGGAATCTTGGGAGTCTTCCTAGAATTGTATACTATAGCTAGGATGAAAACTAACAAAGAAAATAGTCCAAAGATACTTGGGGCAAAAACAACAAAATAAAAAGCCTGGGTTTTTCCCAGTCTGGGACCTTGGCATTGAATTTGTTGGGTGGTCTGATCATTTATTCATGTGAGTTAGTTATTGTTTCACCTCATCCATTTATTTGCATTATCTTTGCTCACACTCCCTGATGCTAATTCCCTCTGACAGACACATGGAGTATCTTCCATACCCTTCCAACATTGATTTTAGGATTTTATTGTGAAGAACCAAGTTGGGAAAGTTTATTTTTAATTGTTACAGAAAGAATATACATAATATATTATCATATTTTATAGTAATACTGTATTCTGGTGTGAATTTCAAATACACTTAACATGGTGCTTATGAGCACAAACCATTGTCAGAGACACCCGAATTTGAATGCCAGCTTCATCATTTATTACTAATATGACCTTGGGCAAGTTACTTAACTCCTATAACCTTCTGTTTAGCTTAGGGGTAGGATTTAAATTCACTTACTTGTAAGCAGGTAATGTTCCAGTCCACAGAAGCAAAAATAAAGTTTTAGCATGGATAACTGTGCTACGATGAAATAATTTCTAAACAAATCATCATCATCATCACTTTAGATAATTACTGGATGTTAAGTTCCTTGCAGGCAGAGTTGTTCACTGCCCAACACATGGTACATAGAAGACAAATATCTATCTTGTCTACTTAAATAAATTAATTGTATGATCAATGGATCTTAACAAATGTGTATATTTGCTCTCAAATATAGAATTATAAATTGGCCTTTTAGTATAGGAATATAGTATCAGTATAAATTAATGTTAGGTCAGTGAGGTATCATATATCCCATTAAAAAAAACATATCTTCTTTGATTCCATATCCCTTCTAGTTACTGTTCCAATTTTCTGCTGCCTTTCACAGCAACCTTTCACAGCTGCCTTTCACAGCCTTTCCTCACATGCCAATTGTACTTCTTCAACTCTCATTCTCTCCTGGTCCATTGTAGCCCACTGTTCTCACCGCTCATTCATTAAACCTACTAGTATTTATTGAGTGCCAGGCACTGTTTTAGGTACTGAGGAAATAAACGTGAACAGCAAAGTAGCAGGGCGAGGAAATGTAGTCCTTAAATAAACAAATAAGTATTGGGCTTTCCTTTTTTCCTTTTTTTCTTTACCCATTTGTTAGTTTCGTTTACAGGTTTCTCTGGCGGCCTTTAAAAGTTAAGTTCTCCAGGGCTCAGTGCTGGGTCCACTTCTCTTATTTCCCTCAATTCTCTATCTACTTGATCTCATTCATTCTCTTGACTCTCAATCCATTTCTTGGCTGGTGACTCCGGTGTTTGTATTTCAGCCCACATTTCTTTCTTGCATATCCATAGGCTTACACTAATTGCTAAATTGCCAGGTTTCGATCCTGATTTCTCAAACCACCACCTTCCCCAGCCTGTTTATATCAGTCTTTTCTGTCTAAATGAGTAGTGCCCCTGCTTAGCCATATATGCAAACTAAATACCTACAGTAGCCCTTGATTTTCTCCATCACACTTCATGCCTCAATTTTAAGTAATTTATTTCATTTTTATCTCTAAAATCCATGTGCAATTTCCTGTCTGCTTCTCTCTAGCTCTACTCCAAACACCCTGGTCCAAGATACCATCATGTCTGGCATGGAGTTTTGAAATCGCCTCCTAACTCATCTTCCTGCTTCTATTCTTGATCCCTTTTCGATTGTTCTTCACAGGAAGAACAGGAGTTAAACTTTTTTCAGGAGTTAAACTTGAAAAGTTTAAACCATATTAGTGTCATCTCCGTAGTTACAATTCCATTGGTGGCTTCCCATCGTACCCTGAATAAAAATAACCCTTCTTGCCATGACCTACGAGGATCCACAGCTCCAGTCAATCGTACTCCCTACTTTGTTCCACGCATTCTGGCCCTGAGTCACACCGGCCTCTTCCCACCTCAAGGCTATCAACACATTGGATGGGATCAACAATGGGAGGCTATCAACCTCCCATTCCTTGTGTAGCGAGTTTCAAAGTCACCCACTCAGAGAGGGCTGCCTGACTGCCCTGTCTGAGTAGCACCCCCCTACATTCTCTGTTGCAGTCTCCTTTTTTTTTTTAAAAAAAAAACAGAGTCTCACTCTGTCCCCCAGGCTGGAGTGCAATGGTGCGATCTCGGCTCACTGCAAGCTCCGCCTCCCGGGTTCTCGCCATTCTCCTGCCTCAGCCTCCCCAGTAGCTGGGACTACAGGCGCCCGCCACCACGCCCGGCTAATTTTTTGTGTTTTTAGTAGAGACGGGGTTTCACCGTGTTAGCCTCCTGACCTCGTGATCCTCCCGCCTTGGCCTCCCAAAGTGCTGGGATTACAGGCGTGAGCCGCCATGTCCAGCCTTTTTTTTTAAAGCTCCATAGCATTTTTTGTCATTTATAATCATTGTTTGTTTTCTTGCTTATTGTTTATCTCTCCACTGGAATGTAAGCTCCATGAGGCTATATCTGCTTATTAACTGCATTATATTCCAGGCACATAGTAAGCATTCAGTAAATATTTGAGGAATTAATGTATAATATCAGGGGGAAATAAATATACCTAATGGCAATAAGTATGTAAATACTGTTTTACATCTGGATCTGTCAAGACTTTCTGCCTTTTAGTTCAAGGAAAATATTCCATTTCTATTCTGTTTTTAAAAATCTCTGCCTAGAGGTTCTTGCCATGAGCTTAGTGATAATGTGGTGAGCAAAAATGTCTGTTATCTAGAATTGACTATGACTGTGATCACCATGGTGCAAGGTTTGTGCCCTTTGTACAGCGCCTACCAAGGAGCTAGAAGGACTTTTTGCAGTCCTGGGACTAAACCAGCAGAGGGCCAACTAGACTAGAAGTTTATTTTGGAAGATTCCTGAACCCTGGTAGCCAGCCTCCTGGTCGTTAATAGCTTTAAGTGGTCGCTGGGGTAGAAGCATTTGCCAAAACATCCAGAGAGGATTGGGGGTTATGTTTAACTTCTCCGTGGGCGCCTTAAAAACAGCTTGGTAAGGAGCATCTTTCAAATGTGTAAATTCTTAGTCCAAAGCAAATAAAAACACAAAGACAAACAGGGACCTACTTGGCATTACATGAAAAAAAAGAGTGTGTATGTTTATGGCAGAGAACTCGGGTTAACCCGTAGCCGTACTATTTTCTAGCTATGTGTAATCCTGGCAACTTTCTAAGCCTAGTTCTCTCAAATAAAATCGGCCCAAATAAAATGGGCTTGTCTGGTTCGAGTTGGTGTTTGAAAAATAAAAATAAAATAAAATGGGGTTTCCAGCCCACTCTTACATGCAATCAGTGGGTGCCATTAGTAACTGAATTGCAGGCCTTCCTCCTCTCACTTTGTGGATTATCAACAACATGTTTTCAGTCTTTAATGGCTTACCCCAATCTTATTTATTTATTTATTTTTTGAGACGGAGTCTTGCTCTTTCGCCCAGGCTGGAGTGCAGTGGCGGGATCTCAGCTCACTGCAAGCTCTGCCCTCCCAGGTTCATGCCATTCTCCTGCCTCAGCCTCGCGAGTAGCTGGGACTACAGGTGCCCGCCACCACACCTGGCTAATTTTTTTTTCGTATTTTTAGTAGAGACGGGGTTTCACCATGTTAGCCAGGATGGTCTCGATCTCCTGACCTCGTGATCCGCCCATCTCGGCCTCCCAAAGTGCTGGGATTACAGGCGTGAGCCACCACGCCCGGCGCCCCAGTCTTATTTTTGATTACTCATCAGTTAGCAATACAGTTCAGATATGCTTCAGTGCACCATATATTTCAGCAGTAACCATCTTCTCCCAAGCCCACGGTTGCTCACTGGTCTCCAAGACATAGCTAAATGGCTACTGTTGTATTATCCCCAGAAACAAATAAAGCCACCAACTGTCCAGGGGACTGATTCGGAGAACCATGTGCTGTGAGATGGGAGCTCTTGGGAGTTAGAACTGGTTGTGCCAGCTGACACTGATGATGGCCTTGGATGGCCTTGGATGAATCCAACCAGAAAATGTGCTTTCGTTTTCAGAACATTAACAGCTTCAGGTAAAAGATAGGCTGCTCAGTGCCAGCTGTTCATTTTCCCCACAGTTCTAGGCCACCAGCTATCTAGCACTGTGATAACACCAGTTATCTAGCCATTAAGATAGAAATGTATAAACATTAGCATTTGATGGCTCTGAGTAATTTTAAATCCATATTGCCAAACATTAAAATACCCACGTTCTGCCGGGCGCGATGGCTCACGCCTGTAATCCCAGCACTTTGGGAGGCCGAGGCGGGCGGATCACCTGAGGTCAGAAGTTCGAGACCAGCCTGGCTAACATGGTGAAACCCCGTTTCTACTAAAAATACAAAAAATTAGCTGGGCATGGTGGCACGTGCCTGTAATCCCAGCTACTCGGGAGGCTGAGGCAGGAGAATCGCTTGAACCCTAAAGGCAGAGATTGCAGTGAGCCAAGATCGCCCATTGCACTCCAGCGTGGGCAACAAGAGCGAAACTCTGTCTCAGAAAAATAAAATAAAATAAAATACGTTCTTTTTTATAACACTGACTGTTGGACTTCAAATTTTTCACTTAGAAATAGAGACCCAAGGTTATTTTCTTAATAAATATCAAGTGGAGAAAGAGTCCTGTGGATGATAGGCTACTTGAAGAGGCAGATCCTAGGAGCCTCTACTCTGCCAAGCTTTGGCCTTGGTAAAGGAGCTGCAGTGCCTCCGCTTTGCCACAGGGTGGCAACAGTTGCTTCCCATTTGAGGATGGCGGGGTGAAGCAAACCTTGAACTGTAGGGGACACTCCGTTTCTGGCTAGTCTCTCTCTGCAGTTGGAGAAAGCAGTGCAGCTGACTCTTATGTGTCTTGACTAAAATCTGTTTCTAGGTTATCCTCACCCTGGAGGAACCAATGAGAACATTGGGCTTGTAGGCCATCTATGAATGGACTGGGACCCCCCAATGGGCCCATGCCTTTGGGGTTGCATTTTGTCCACCTTGAACTTCAATCCTTAAAGTCTCTGGATGATTTTCAGTTTTTCTCTGTTGAGCAATTGCATGGATAGTAATGAGAAATTCAAAAGAAACGGGGAGGTTCTTTTTGGGAGGGGAAAAGGATAGGAAAGATGAACACGATGACATGTTTGTGTATGTTTACAGTGTCCTGGGTATCCAGAAGGCACTTAGATGTATATGGCACAGGAGAGAAGTCTGGGAGAAGGAAGGGTTTCAGAGTCATCCCCGTGTTAGTGGTGGCTGATACTGTAGGGGTGGATGGGGTCACCCTGGGTGGGTATTGAGAACAACAGGGCACCTAAGACAAAGGCCAGGTAGATGAAGAAGAATCCACAAAGGAAACTGGGATAAATCGGCCAGAAAGGAGAAGAACCAGAAAGATAGAGTGTAATGAAAACAAGGAAATAGTGTTCTGAGAAGGGGCAGTGGTTACCACTGTCAGGATCAGCAGAGAGGTCACATGAAATAGTAAAAACCACTGGGTGTCAAGTGTTCACTGGGGGTAGCAACACAGAAGTTACTGCTTTGTGGGGGCTTTGGGCAGAGCCGGCTCTGGGGAGTAGTGGGGGCCCACCATACCTGCAGGGCATTGAGGGGATAAACAAGGAAGAAATGCAACGTATAAATGTGTTCCCAGAATGTCAGGTAAAGGGGAGATGAGTAATAGCTGTGGAAGGATTGGGGGAAGGGTGAATGATTTAGAGCTGAGGACGGTTTCTGTTAAGGTTGTTTTAGGATGTGAGAAATTGAACTTGCTGAAGTGCTAATTGCTAAGAACCAGCAGAGAGGGAGAGTTGAAGATGTGGGATGGGGAGCAGCAACTGAGGAGGTGGGAGAGGATGAGGACTGGAGCACAGGTGTTGGCCTGTGTCTTAGGTCTTTCCTTCCTCCATTGGGGAAAAAGGAAAGTGGCAAAGGTGTGCTGGGATACAGAGCTTTGGAGGTTTTGGCCTCAGGTGTTTGCAAGCGCTGTACTAATTCTAGCCACCTTCTCAATTAAAATAAGAATACAAGAATGAAATGCAGTCTCCCAAATCTCTTTTCTTTGCCAGCTTATACATTTATACACCTCACTGATATGTCTTTTGATGTTTTAAAATTTTGGACAGCACTATTTTTAACTTTTACAACTATAACTATTAGTTATTTACTAGTTATAGTATAAACTTTTAATATTTACTTTTTATAACTCCTAGATGTCTTGTAGATCAAAAGATCTAAAGTGTCATCTTTGTCTATTTTATATCTTGTTTAATAGTAATAAATGTTTTAGTGAAGCATAAACCTAGAACAAAAATAGAAAATAATCTTAATAGGGTGTTGGGGAATTTTATGTGAACACTTCATGTGTCTTTGGAACAGTACAATGTAAAAAATTAGCACAGCCTTATTGCATGCACAAAATGTGAAATAATGTGAATCTTCCCCAAATAACAATTTGTCAAGAATCACAATTTCAAAGTAGTAGGCTTAGTAATTCTAAACAGTGATCGGTAGAATCTGTCATCATCCTCAATTAGGATTGTTCTTGAATTTTGTGAATTTTCAATCACGAGTGAGATCTTTAGTCCATTCCTTAAATAACATGTGACTATCTTAGAATGTCAAAGAGGGACACAGAAAACTAGATAACAACTCCTGAAATTAAGTTTGCTGTATGGCAACTACTAATTGCTCTGCCAGTTGTCTGACTGTAGAATAATCCTTGTGAAATATTCACTTCTATATGGGTTGGAGCCTGGGTAAGTCTGAGCCCCAGTGTATTTTCATGGAAGTCACTAGAACCAGATGTAAATCCTGGGTTCTCTAGAGAAACAGACAAACAGAACCAATAGAATGTATAGAGAGACAGACAGTTATTTTAAAGAGTTGGCTCATATAAACGTGGGGGCTGGCAAGTTGAAAATTTGTAAGACAGACTGGAGACTTGGGCAAGAGTTGATAATTTTGAGTCTGAAGACAGTCCAGAGGCCGAATTATTTCCTTTTCAGAGGACCTCAGTCTTTTCTCTTAACGTCTTCAGTGATTAGATGAAGTCCACCCGTATTATAGAGAGTAATCTGCTTTTCTTAAAGTTCACTGATTTAAATATTACTCACTTTAATACCTTCACAGAAAAATCTAGTGTTGGCTTATGATCACACAACTGGGTACTATAACTTAGGCAGTCTGACACATGAAATTAATAGGGTGTTGGGGAATAAAATTAACACAGCTGTCATCAAGCCTCCATTTCCTAAGGAAAATTATTATAATCCACATAAATATGGTATTTTGCTTTTGAATCTCTCTAACAGAGTCTGGGTCTCAAATTGTCTTCATGCACAGTGTCATGCTTACCCTCACAATCACTTACTGGAGGCAGGCAAGGAGGGTGAGTATTCCTTGCCACCTTTTACAGATGTGGAAAAAGAAACTCAGAGATGAGACTTATCTAGGGATACAGCTTGTCTTCTGGTCTGTTCAGGCTGCTATAACAAAAATTCCACAGACTAGGTGGCTTAAATAACAAAGGTTTATTTCACAGTTCTGGAGGCTGGGAAGTCAAAACCAAGGTGCTGGCAGATTCCGTGCCTGGGGAGAGACTGCTTCCTGATTCATAGGTGGCTGTCTTTCATTGTATTCACATGGCAGAAGAGATGAGAGAGCTCTCTGGGGCCTCTTTTATTACCATCACATTGGGGATTAGGCTTCAACATGTAAATTTTAAGAGGAACACAAACATTCCATCCATAGCCCAGCTAGTATTTGTGGGATCAGAGCCTGAGCTGGACCCCGGTGTTTTCCTCTTCTGTCTGTCCAGCACATCACACTGCTTCTTTGGCTAGTTGATCTAGTTAATTATAGGTACTGTACAGATGCAGAAAGGGTTAAACCTTGACCACAAGGTTTATCCTTAAGGATGATCCTCACTCCTGGGCTCATTGTTGATACTTCTTTGTATTTGCTTCTTTAGCCTCATTGTGAATTGGCATTGATGATGAGGAAGAGCTTGCCTTCCTCACTAGACTGAGATTTGCAAATGCGCACACAGTATCTGCCTCGCTTTTTGTGTCTGTAGTGCCTAGACAAGGCCAGGCAAATAACACCCACTAAATATTTGTTGAAACAACCTTGCCATATTTGCTCCCTTGAAATAGCCATTGACCTCTGAGACACCAGCAAGTGGGACTCGTGTTATTCCAGTCAAGATTATCCAGCCTTCGCAACATGTAAATATATCTGGAGCATTTTGACGGTAATAACCTAAAAGTCACCGGCATTTCTCACACTTGGTCACTTAGGACTGCAATTTCCTGGAAAGTGCTTTAAATATTTCTGGAGATTGCCGGGCATGGTAGCTCATGCCTGTAATCCCAGCACTTTGGGAGGCCGAGGCGGGCGGATCACAGGGTCAGGAGATCGAGACCATCCTGGCTAACACGGTGAAACCCCGTCTCTACTAACAATACAAAAAATTAGCTGGACGTGGTGGCGGGCACCTGTAGTCCCAGCTACTCAGGAGGCTGAGGCAGGAGAATGGCATGAACCCAGGAGGCGGAGCTTGCAGTGAGCCGAGATCGTGCCACTGCACTCCAGCCTGGGCAACAGAGCGAGACTCTGTCTGAACAACAAAAAAAAAAATTCTGGAGATCATAGAGCAAACACCATATATGATCCTAAGCAAAATGAATTGGTCCACTTCCGTGGGACAGTTACCCATTTTCCCCTTTTCCTCCCGTTGTCCCCTTAAGTTCAGCACCACCATGCCCTTCAGCTATGATTGTCTCCCATTACAGCTGGTGGGTGCCCCCAAGCTATGCAGCCTCAGGGTGTTCTGTTGTAGTGGGTGCTGACTTGGGAGGGCAACGGGAAATCCCCTCAGTGTATGCTATGGTCTGAATGTTTGTGTCTCCCCCAGATTCATATGTTGATGCCTAATCCCCACTGCAATAGTATTAAAAGATAGGGTCTTTGGGGGTGATTAGACCTTGAGGGCTTCACCCTTACAAATGGGATCCATGCCCTTATGAAAGAGGCCAGAGGAAGCTCATTTGCCCTTTCCACCGTGGGAGAACACAGGAGACGGAGCCACTGTGAGGAACAGGCCCTCACCAGACACAGAATCTACAGGCACTTTAATCTTGGACTTCCCAGCCCCACAACTGTGAGCAATAAATTTCAGCTGTTTGCATATCACTTGGTCTAAAGTATTTTTTACAGCAGCCTGAATGGACCAAGACAGTGTGCCTTGATATCCCTAAATACTAGAGATTTTTTAGGGAAACATAGCTTTATTTTTTTTGCCCCTCTGCCCCACAACTTTCTGTAGGATTCACATGGGGGTGTTGGACATGGAGACAAAGCTAAGCACTGGGAACCATAGGTTCTAAAAATCCCAACCTTTCCATTGACCACTAAGGCATTATTTATTGTCTGGTGCCTTGCAGTTGGCAAGCCGACTCCTCTTTCCTTCAGTCTGAGCTTTCTCCTGGAGGTTTCTAAGTTCCTCATGCAAATAGGCTTCTGGCAGATGTCCTCTCAGACATATCTGTTCAAAACTCAGAGTGTTCAAGCTGGGACCTTGTTTCACGTCATCTGGAAAAAGAGGGAGGCAACAGGAAGTGTGCTGAGTCGCCAGGGAAGCCACAATCAACAATTTCCCACAGGTAATTGACAAAGTGGATCAGGCACATGTAGGAAGTGGAATTGTGGTAACTAAATTTTATATATTTTATGGCTTGCAGAAATACTTTTCTATATTCTGTCTCATTTGATACAGCCTTTAAAAAGGTTAAAAACGTTTATCATTGCCCACAATCACACCGCTTAAGCTTTACGAGTTAAATGTCCTGTTGGCAGGACAGCTGTGTTAGGTTTAAATGTATCTCCCCATCCAGCTGTCTTCTATCCTGGTAGACTAGTACAATCCTGTGATATTTAGCTGAGAAACTATAATGTGCTGGGAGTCGTGGTAAACCACATGTGGATTTGGGTGGATGGTGTTTCAGAGATGTGCCGCTTCTGGAAGCAAATGTTCTGACAAACTGCCTTCTTGGAACCAATTGGTGCAAATACCTTGGGCACCACAGTTCGTAAAGAGAACTGTCGAAGGCGGCTGGAAGGGTTTAGCAGACCACAATTTCGCACCGCAAATATAACTGAGCATGCACTTTTGACCATGGTGTGCTGTGTGATGTTAGTAGAGGAAGGGGCACTGGCGGTGGAGGCTGGGGGGGACTTGGTTTGTACAGCATAGCAGGAAGAGCACTGAGGCAGGATGCCCAGGGGTTCTAGTCCTAGCTCAGACCAGCTGCATGGCACTGAACAAGTCCCTTCAGTTCCGCAAAGTTTAGCTTCCCAATCTAAAAATAGAGATAAACTGTCCAGTCCATCTCACAGGTTTGACAGGGCAGTCAAATTAAATAATATATATAAACGTATTTTGGAAAGTATAAAATGGTACACAGGTGCAAAGCATCATTCTCATGGTCCTTAATTCTTTCATCCTCCTGTATATATATATATATATATATATATGTATGTATGTATTTCCAGGTGTAAGTGGCTTTGGGATTGGAAGATAGTCATATCTTTCAATCTTAAGTTTCCTTCACGTGGCCTCAGAAAACTGCCCCCAGTAGTTGCATGTTAAACTTTGCCAGAATCAGTTTCCCACCTGGCCTTAAGTGCTCTGCTCTGTATTGGTGTTGACCTTAGGCGTGAGAAACATGTGACTGTAATGAGGATGGATGCTTTCTAAAAGCTCATAAATAGCAACTTTTTCATACTGAAATTTGCTCTGTTCCATTCTTGCCCTTGTGACTTTACAGATGTTGTATTCTGCCATGAAATAGGTTATAGAAGCAGGTTTAAAGTGAAGGAGACTATGATTCAGCTGCCAAACCAAAAGTGAAACCTGTCCATGTGGATATAGCAGATGTCAGTGGAAGAAAGGTGTGCAGAATTGAAAAGCTTGCTCTCCGTGGTTTGAGAACACACTGTCCTCTTGTGGGCGTCTCTGGCAGCCCATGATCGGTACACTTCCTTGAACCAAATAGCCTATCAAAATATTATCTAATACATTTCTACTTTTATTTACTCAATGAGTAATTACTGAGTGCCTACTACATGCCAGGAACTGTGGCCCTGATATGTTTCAAAACCCATAAACATGCATCTAACTTATTTATGTAGGATCTCCATCAGGCACTATCTTCTTTTAACCTTTCCAGTGAAGGTTAAACTCTGACCAGAGGAATTGAGCGTGTTTACAGAAAATCAGGAATGGAACAGAATTAGACTGCTTTTCCCCTTACTTCCCACTCCCTTACAGCATGTTCCATTGGTACTTGAGTCTAGAGGCATCCAGAGGTGTAAGAATAACCAAACACAACAAAGATTAGGAGTAACGAAGTGTTTTCATGCAGTGCCGCACCCCAGTGAGGTGGGCTGGCTAAAAGGATGTGATACAAACTGATATCCAGGGAATGGCAAAGAGGAGTAGCTGGGCCTGTCCATCATCTCTTATCATGACTCACAGCCCTTGTTTAAGGAATTTGAAGTCTAGGTGGATGAAAGGGACATCAAACTTAAAATGCATAGCTGCAACCTACTAGATAGAAGCTGAGAACCCTATATGTGGATCAGGCAGTCACTACTGGAGTTCAGGAGGGGAATAAGGCATTGGCCCCTAGAGAAGACATCACAGATCAAACTTGAGCTAGACTTCCTTGAGGACGGGTAGGATGTAGATGATAAAGATTCAGCTTCAGGCAGTAAGAAGTGAAAAGAAACATACTTTTTAACCAGTATGTGTTGAGTGGAGGGTGGTTATGGGGAAGGGAGGGTGGCAGGGAAGGCTGGATGCATTTAAGGCTGTCGCCAAGTTTTTCTGCTTAAAGAGCATCTGGGCACAGTGGCACATGGTCTATATTACTCAGGGCCCTAAGCTCACCTGAGAAGCTCCAGCCTCCCTTCTGCACCTTGCCCACAGAATGTTCTGTAACACTTCTCTGTCCTTGCAGATAAATAGGCTGCCCCAAATCTAGCGATACCCTCGATGGTGGCAGGGGTAGTAGCAGTGGCATTGGATGGGACGGTGGGTTGGATATTTCCCTTTGTATTGGTCAAATACATGCACAGATGGCACCAACACCACGGGGATCTCTGGAGATGAAGGTAGGTATTTCTTCAGTCACTCAGCACTTAACAACTGTCAGAGAGGGCCGGGCGTGGTGGCTTATGCCCGTAATCCCAGCACTTTGGGAGGCCGAGGCGGGTGGATCCCGAGGTCAGGAGATTGAGACCATCCTGGCTAACACGGTGAAACCCTGTCTCTACTAAAAATACAAAAAATTAGCTGGGCATGGTGGCGGGCACCTGTAGTCCCAGCTACTCGGGAGGCTGAGGCAGGAGAATGGCGAGAACCTGGGAGGCGGAGCTGGCAGTGAGCCGAGATGGCGCCACTGCACTCCAGCCTGGGCGACAGAGCGAGACTCTGTCTCAAAAAAAAACAAACAAAAAAAACCAAAAAAACTGTCAGAGAGATAATAGGAGAAATGTGCCCCTGCACTCGCACTGCACAGCATGTGCCGGATCATCTGTGAAATGGATCTTTCCTCTGGGAGCTCCATCTTTTCCAGGTGATTGTTCACTTGGACATATTTGATTATAAGCTCCCAGAGTGTCAGACACGGACTTCTCATGGCAAGTTAGACGATCCCAGGTGCCCAGTGGGTGGCAGTGCAGTGAGTGGCAGGAGGAAAACTTTCCTGCTGGCTTTTGGTCTGACCAAGACAGAGTGATACTTATCCAGGGCCTAAAATAACCATAGCAATAGGCCTTGCCAGAAGGGATCTGTGGCAGGCTCCTGGCACTACTGGTCAGTTCCCCCAGTGGCCTGTTCAAGTTTTTCTTTGCATGAGACAGAGGTTATGGCTGAGGAAACAGCCAGGCCAGGAGGCTAGCCTGCCCTGCAGAAGCCCAGGGGACCTTCCTGATGCCATCTTTCTGGTATGACAGCTCAGCAGGCCTGTGTCAACAAGCCCTGCACGGTTTGGACAAGATGTGAGTGACTAACGTTTTCCTCTGGAGCAGCAGGAATGGATGGGCCTGCTGGGAAGAATCCCTTTGCTGTGAGCTACCTAAGACGCCTGGCTCCTGAATTGAACCAGCAGGTCCCTTCTCTGTATCTTGCTTGCTTTCCTTTAAAAAAAAAAAAATCCTCAGCAGATGATGGGAGGAATTATTTGCTGAGTTTGTCCAGACTCTGAATAGCCCTTGGTCACTGAAGTGTGCAAAAACATGGCAACAATGCAGGTGCTATGGTCTGAAAATGTTTGCAAAGGAAGGAGAGGAAAGAGCAGTTATTCTGACAGTAAATGATACATAATACTAATATTGGAAGGATTATTTTTTCCCTGTGTGGTCAGTGAATAGAATTTTTGGCAGTCGTCTATCATTTAACTAGGTCTGTATAGAGCACACTGGAGCCTGGTAAGGACCTCTGGCTTTTTTTACAGTCAGAGTTTTGGTGCCTAGGGGTCTGGGCTGTGGACAGGCGAGATGTACCTGCAGGCAGGGAGTGGTCAGCTTGCTCTCAGCTTGCCAGATCCGTGACTCTGACGAGAGAGTTATCAGTACCTACAGAGCTTCCTCCTGCAGCCTGCCTACCCACCCAGGCCATCTTCTGACACTGCCTCAATGTGTCCATGCTCCAGGCAGGTCAGATCACCTCCCTCATTCGGTTTGGACATCAAGGAGACTGTGTGAATGACCATCAGCCTCTCTCCAGTCTACCCAAAGGTATCAGGTATCCAGCACTATTCTGATGGAGAAGCAGTAAGAGTGAGCCTACCTTAGATCTATTAATAGAGCTCATTCAGCCAAGGAAAAGGATCCAACTAACCCAGATGACTACATGAGCCTAGGTCATTCACATGTAGCTTTGGTGAGTAATGAGAGATGCACGCATGATACCCCTGCTCCTGTCCTTTGGTGCCCTGCACCCCTCTCAGGTGCTCTCCAGAGTCAGCCCTTCTGACTGCAGGGCAGACCCCAAAAGGAGATCAGCTTTTCACCTCGATTACCCCTAGTACTTAAGACATTTGCCTTCATGAGTTTTTGGTAATCAATATTGTACAGCCAGTAATTTAATTTTTTCATGGTATCAATCTGATATTAAAGCTCTAGAATCTGGGAAGAGCACAGCAAAGCTTACCTGACTGACTCCACTATTATATTTGGAATGGATAATTGAGATATAATTTAAAGGGTAGAATATATTCTTTCTATAACTGCAAAAGTTTGCTATAACTCACAAAAGGAAATACAAAATTGAGTAATAGTGTTGGAGGAGAAGGAAGCAAATATTTATTTTGTATCTACTATGTGCCAAACACTTTATGTATTGTATTTTGCCCTCAGAAATCATATGCAGATGATTCTATTTTACAAGGGAAAGTTGAGGTTTAGAGCAGGTGAGCAACATGCCAAGATGGAACAGAAGGGGCATAGAACCTGGATTCAAGTCAGAGCAGGGTTTACACCCTCGGTACCATTTAGATGTGGGTCAGATAATTCTCTGTGGTGGAGGCTGCATCCCTGGCCTCTACCCACTAGATGCCAGTGGCATTTCCCCCATTTGTGACAACAGAAAATGTCTCCAGGCCAGGTGCGGTGGCTCATGCCTGTAATCCCAGCACTTTGGGAGGCCGAGGCGGGCGGATCACCTGAGGTTGGGAGTTCAGAGACCAGCCTGACCAACAGGGAGAAACCCTGTCTCTACTAAAAATACAAAATAAGCCGGTTGTGGTGGTGCATGCCTGTAATCCCAGCTACTAGGGAGGCTGAGGCAGGAGAATCACTTGAACCCGGGAGGCAGAGGTTGCGGTGAGCCGAGATTGCACCATTACACTCCAGCCTGGGCAACGAGCGAAACTCTGTCTCAACAAAAAAAAAGAGAAGAAAGAAAACATCTCCAGACATTGTCAAATGTCCTCTGAGGGTCAAAATCAGACCCGCTGTGGAGACCCATGGCTCTAGAGGCTTTGTTTTTTCTGCCATCACACACTCGGAGGGAAATTTGGGGGTAACTTTAAGGATGCTATATGGATAACTTATGTTTCAGTATTTTTTCTTATGAAGATAATAAAAGCTGTCGTGGATCATTTCGAAAATAAAATAAAGATTGTTTAGAATCGTACCACCTAGAGATACCCACTTTCAGCATTTGGCTATGTTTTCTTCCAGTCTGTTTTCTGTGCACACATAGGTAGTTTTTAAAATCATACAGTAAATCTTTTATCTCTTTTTATACTTAATATTATATCAAGAACCTATCCCTATATTAAAATCAGTGTAATTATTTTTAGTAGCTGCATTATATCCTATTATATGTTTATGCCTCAATTTACTCAAGCATTTTTGCAAATGGCCATTTAGAGTTTTTCCAGTTTATCCCATCATAAACACAGCTTCAATGAACATATTTGTGCATAAACGTTTGTGTACAGTCTTGATAAATTCTCTGGGGTATATATTTCTATGAAAAGAAGAATAATTGGGTCAAGCTCTGTACCTATTGTTTAGGCTGCATTTCCTACATACTGTCAGGTTGCTTTCTGTAAGTGTTGGACTTATATGGCTGTGCTTTCTCTCTCACTTGTTTGTGGGTGTCTTGTCTCACTTGTTAACTATAAGTATTAACTTTTTAAAGTATTTTAATTTGATAGGCAAAAATGGCATTTCATTGTTTTATTTGTGTTTATTTGATGACCAATGAAACAGAACATCTCTTCCTATTATATAGCTTTTTGCTTTTCTTAGTCTCTGAAATATTTGTTAATACGATGCATTGCTTCTTTATTAGATCTAATTTTTGTCTATCCACTTTAAGATTTGTTTCTTTCCATTTTCACATGTAGACTTAAAACTACAGTTCTTTAAGCTATTTAGCAGCAGTAGAGGAAGACTTGAGGCAAGTTGGAGGAGAGATGAAGGGGAGTGCTTTTGTATAAATTGGAGATCACCTCAACTATAGAATTAACTGAGCCCTGAAGTTGGAAGAAGAGGGAAGAATGGCGAGAGAGGAGGTAGTGCAGAGGTGTGCGGTCAGGATTTCCTGTAATGGCCACCAGGTGGTGCCATCTGCCCGGGACGATTTGATGTCTCTGGTGCAGGAGAGCGGAGAGCTGGGGAGAGTATTAATAAGGTGGTCACAAGCGAGGTGATTGGAGTGCCATTCATACATGTGGGACATTAGTTGGGCCTCTGTAATTAACCTGTCAATGATCATGAGTTGGTGCACGTGTGTTTGTGTGTAGAGCGGGGAAGAGAAGATTAGGGCTGTTAAAAAAAAAGAATATATATATATATATATATATATATATAATATATAATATGTTATATATACACATATGTATACATATATACATATATAACATATATAATATATGAATGGCAGCTTTATTGAGATATAATTCACATACTATACAATTCAACAATTTAAAGTATACAATGTAATGGTTTTTGGTATATTCACATAGTAGTATCAATTTTAGATTTTTTATTGCCCCAAAAGAAACTCCATTCCCCTTAGCCATTCCCCCCATCTCTGCCTCCTTACTCCTTCCCTCAGTCTCCTTTCCCCAGACCCTGGAAACCACTACTCTACTTTCTATGTCTGTGAATTTGCCTCTTCTGGACATTTCATATAAATGGAATCAGAATAGGTGGTCTTTTGTGGCTGTCACTGCTTGTCCTAGCCAATGCTATACCAGCTTGACTTTGTGGCAGGAGGCATCAGGGTATCCAGATAGACTTACTGTTTTAAAAGAAACAGCATTTCCAGGCTGGCTAGGACAGAGAAAACTACCTAGAACAATACTTTTCCTACCTGGTGGATCATCAGAATTACCTGGGAAGCTTAAAATGAAAGATTCCTGGCCCCTAATCTCTCCAGGAATTCAAATATGGTAGTTCCAGGGAGTCTGAGCTGCTTGGGATTTTTTTCAGTGCCACCAGTGATTCTAATGATTGTCTAGCTGTAAGCAGTGGGACTCAAGTTTTGAACAGAGGCATGAGAAGAAAATGGCATTTCCCTGCAGATGGGCTGTACCAGCTGCAGCTTCAAGTCCAGTGCCTCTTGTGGGAAAGGAGCCACTCCCTTGTCATTCGCCACATCTACACTGCAACGCTGGTTTATGTCAGACTATCATCTTTGACTCGGCATGACAACAGTGCATATTTGAAGGCCATCAAACCAATGATATTAGCCTTGTTTACTGTTTAGCTGGAAAATATCTCCCATGTGGTATAGTAAGAAGAGCACTGAATTTGAATTCTGAAGCTCACCAGAGTGTTCCACTGACTAGTCTCAGGGCTACTGTGAGCACCCAGTGAGAGTGGCCATGAGAGGTGACACACTGCACAAGTCAGGGCACTGGAATCATGGGACAAGATGGGACCTTAGAGAATGTCTTGTCTGCCTGCCTCATTTCATAGTAGAGAAAATGAGGCCCTGAGAGGTAAAGTTCTTCACTGAAGGTCATATGCCAGCTATTAGTAGTGTAGCCAGCACCAGGGTGTCCTAGCCTTTGCCTCCTTCTGTTTCTCACTGTGCCCTCCTTCCCTACATTGCTCTCTTTTGGGATCTGAGGAATCATATTCAATCACCTTTCATTTTCAGAAATGAGGAAACCCAGGCCTCGTTTGTCCATGGCTACAAAACTAATTGATTTATATTTGCTTTGGATGACTAGGAGTTAAAATAATGACAGGTGAAAAATCCAAGATGGCGTTTGTATACCGCTTTTAAGAGCAATCCACAGCAGATTCAAGTTTTGTGAGGCCTGAAACTCATGCAATTTGAAAACTTTTTTCAAGAAAAATAACACACAATTGCAAATGAAAAGTTAGGTTCCAGGCCTTGGAAGCAGTCTGCGCCCATGAGGGGCCCTCATTCACTTCACTATAAATCCACCTCCAGGAGCAGTAATAAAGAGATCCCTACTCATGTTTGTGCTGCTAGGTTCTTCTGTTTGTATAAATAGCATGTGTCCTGCTAAGTCACCTCCACTCTTATAAAATGGAGGCCATTCTGCCAACACATGTGTATTGAACATCTCTTTATCTGTAAGGAATACAGAAGGGAACCAAGAAAGGAAACTAAGCTACCATCTCTAACTCAGGAGATGAGGCACAAAGGCAGAATGGAGGAATTCCCTCCCTGCTGTGGTCTGGGCCAGGGTGCCTATGGGAGCCCAGCCTCTAGGAGGTCTCCAGTTTTAATCTCAGATAATCTTCCTCTTGTAGTCATTCTTCTCCCTCTGCCTATCAAATGCAGATGTTGAGATGAGTAAACCCTTTGGGGTTTTTGGATGAAAAACTTTTCAAGATTTACATGACATTTTTGGGGTTGTGCCTACCCAAAAAAGTCTTATATCTCACATCACTGCCTTAGAAATGAATTAAAGGTGCATTTATCCATCAGGGCCACATTCCCCTAAAATGCACCTAATAGCACTGAAACAATTAGAATAACACAGGGATCCTGAATAATCCATGCCTCTTGTCAAGAAATTTTTTTCTATTTTTATTTTTGTAAAACAGCTTCCTTATCCAGTTGTGTTTAGTTTATTTAAACGATCACATCAGCATTAGGTTCTGGTTTGGGGTTTTTTTTTTTATTTGTTTGTTTAAGTTTCGTTTCTGACACTTTCTGAAAGATGCAACATGGAGATAGGCCAGGAGGGAAACTAGTTTTAGGGTGTTCTCATTACATTCATTTTATGTCATTTTTTATTATTAGGTTTACATTATTGAATTCCTGTGGAGAAGAGGAGTCAGAGCTGTGAATAAGTCATAAGTCCCTATAGGTAAAATCAAGTACTATTTGTCTCTGATCAAAATTGCCCTTTCCATTGATAGGAGAAATGACTGGGCCTCCTTGTCATCCAGAGTTCATTTTGTTTTTCGTGGCAGTTTCACTGTCTTTGGGAATTGAGCTTTTTGAAATGTTAAAGCACGAGAAGCATGAACACCTTGGCAGGGTTTGCAGTATCTCCTTCTAGTGCAGGATGGAGGGCTCCAGAGCTGGCAATTTGAGGAATGGCTGGTGGCTTCTGATGTCACCTGCCACTCATGTGTCCCTCCCTGTTTTGAATCATGGATCTCAAACATCCTCAAAAGCTCTTCCCTGGTAATTTCAAAACTCTGAACAAATCAATCCTAAGAAAAAATAAACAAACATGCAGAAGAGCAGAAGGATATTTAGGATATGGTTCTAATTAAAATTTTTAAGTTTTCCTTTTTCAAAATCCTGTATGAGCTATTAAATAGGGAAAAACAAACTTCTGAGTAGGAAAGAAATAAAGGCCATTACCCTTAGAGATTTTGAATCTTACAATAAACAAATAGGTCTTCTTTTCCCCGAATGTTTCTTCTTATCAACACAAGGGAGTTGAGTGATGGCTACAGCTCTAAAATACTGAACATGGCTGCCTACTGAATTCAGCATACATACGTAGGGATATGTTACATAAGATGCACATACATACTTTATTTCTATTAGCCTGTGAAACAGTGAACATGCCTGCTCTTATAAAGCTTCTAGTAAAGGAACTACAAAAGAAACACATCTACTGGGCATTCTCACACTGGCTGAGGTAGGTTGGAACCATCTGGATTCTTGCCTGTGGCATAGTTAACCTCGTGACTATCCAGTTTTCCAATTATCCAGGCCCATTTACCTCTGCTCCCACTCAGCGAGCCCTTTGGCTATTTCTCTGTTCATTGGCACCTAAAGTCAAGGAGAAAGAAACGAACATTTATTAAGTGCTATGTTTGTACCAGTTAATCTTCTCAATGAAGTATTATTATCACCCCTGTTTTACAGAGAAGGAAACTAATATTCAAAGAGGTAAGATAACTTGTTCAGGACCACATATGTTTTTAAGTATAGAGCTCATGCATTATAAAGTGACCACCCTAGCTAACATTTATTAAGCACAATATTTGCCAGAATTCTTGCAAAAAGCCTTACAAGGACTATTTTATTTTATCCTCATACCAACGGCTTAAGGATGGTATTACTTAAGTATTCTTGTTTTACAGATGAGGTCATACAGCTAAGGTGATGAGGCCAATATTCAAACTCAAGCATCTGGATTGCAGGCTGCACTTTTGATCGCCATGTCTAGCCTCCTCTATACACCTGCTCTGACCGATTTGGTATTCACCACGCCCAAGAGGCTACTGAACACCTGAAATATGGCTGGCTGGAGTTGTGATGTACTCTAAGTATAAACTACACACCCTATTTGGAAGACAGTATGCAAAAAAGAATATAAAAAGTCTCTTTGGCAATTCTTTATATCAATTACATGTTGAAATGATAATTTGGATATATTGGGATTAAAAATTATTAAATTTAATTTCACTATTTCTTTTTACTTTTTGAAGTGAGAAGACTAGACAATTTAAAATTACAAATGT
This sequence comes from Homo sapiens, assembly GCF_000001405.40. Classification (NCBI taxonomy): domain Eukaryota; kingdom Metazoa; phylum Chordata; class Mammalia; order Primates; family Hominidae; genus Homo; species Homo sapiens. The sequence goes on from NW_011332701.1 coordinate 4,719,308, forward strand.
AGTTCATATTCTATTTCTATAGAACAGCACTGCTATATACTATTTTAAAATAATATATAAAGGGGACTAGAACTGACTCAGGCCAACATTATTTTTCATCAATAGTTCTAGTTAAAAATTTGGTTGGAAGTGGGTGGATGGGAAGGTTGAAGCCCATTTTTAAAGATAAGTTTGGTGTTTTTATGAATTTGAGTTATGTGTGCTTTCTTCACCCGTTTTACCATGTGTGGGTAAGAGACTTGCCATTTTTAAGAATCAGAAGAATTCTGTGAGGTGTATTTCCAGTGTCTGTGTGTAGTGCTGCAGCTGTCTGAGCGTATTGCCGGAGGCACCTCCTTTGGACTTTAAGGCACGAATTGCTCATCACTGTCCACACAGCTTTGTGGCCGCCTTTGAGTCTATCTCTTTTAACATAACATTGAGTTCTGGCTCCAGGTCTGGCACAAAGTTGATAATAACTAGTGAATACTGTTTTGTTTGGTTTGTTGTAGTTTTATTCTTTTTTTTTTTTTTGAGACAGAGTCTCACTGTGTCGCCCAGGCTGGAGTGCAGTGGCACAGTCTCGGCTCACTGCAGCCTCCGCCTCCTGGGTGCAAGTGATTCTCCTGCCTCAGCCTTTCGAGTAACTGGGACTACAGGCACACACCAGCATGCCTGGATAACTTTTTTGTATTTTTATTACAGATGGGGTTTCACCATGTTGGCCAGGCTGGTCTCAAACTCCTGTCCTCAAGTGATCCACCCGCTTCGGCCTCCCAAACTTCTGGGATTATAGGCATGAGCCACCGGACCCACTTTATTCTTAATACCTATTGCCAGGCAGAGGTTACATGGATATAAAAGAGAGAAATTGGGAATATTTGTATGAGATGGGAAACCACAGGCCAGGAAAGCATTACCAAAGGGTTGTAGAGGATTTAGTCTGGGCCCCTCCCCAACGTACACACCACGTGCCTTCTCCTCTCGAGGCTAGAATTAACCCTCACCCCACCACCAGCTGCCAAAAAATAGTAGTAGCTGCTGGGAACTCAGAAACAGAAAAGAATTTTCTATGAGATTACTGTCTAAAACAAATGTTTATTCTAGCCATTTATAAAGAACACTTATGGATTTACAGCAGCTTAGGATAGTGAAAAAGAAGTAGAGGAATGGTAATTAATTCAGGTACGAATTTGTAAGGCCAAGTGAGAATCACGTTCCTTGTCGTGGCCCAAAAGGCCTTGTCAGACTCAGATGGAGTCTCCTCGTTTTAGTCTACAGACATATGGGTGGAAGTGACATGATGGAATAATTACATTCCCAAGCCGTGTACCCAAAATCTGTGCTAGGACCACTCCCCTGGCCAGTGCGGAACCAGGTCAGCTGGTGGAAGGGGCTCTGAATGGGCACAGCGCTGCCAGGCCCTGCCACTCCCACCTCATCCCATCCAGAATGGGTCCAACACAGTTCCTGCTAACCCTTATCCACACCTCCTCAACCATAGTCCCCAGTGACCTGCTTCCTCTGTGAAGCCCAGGCTGACTGGAAGGTGACCCTCAACAGAAACCATCAGAGAGCTTTGGGTCTGGGGCGGAGGGTCACCTCCACTCTCACGGTGGTGTCTTGGTGTTAATGTCATCTGTTGGCTCAGCCATTCATTGCTTCTCTCTTCCCTAAGCTCCTGCAGATCTCCTTTACTCGTTTCTTAAGTGTAGGAAGCTATCTCCTTGGATGCTGGGTCACTAATTATAAACTTCCTATGCATTTACCTGGCTCTGGTTTGGCCCCTAATGTCTTTATTTCTGCCTGCAGGATTGTCATTGCCATTGCCCCTTTTCCTTACCTGGGAACCCGACATACTCTGCTTATCCCTTGAGCTGGCACACCAGGGGGCCTGGAATTCCTGTTGGTGAAGTCACTACTTTAAGAGAATTATCCCAGAAATCCTCTAAGTTGCAAATCCTACAGGAGCAGAGTACTACATGTTAATTAGCACTCATTATCATGTTAGTAGAGAAGCTTACCCAAAGGAATGATACATAGGACCTGCTATGTCATTGAGAACAGAGAGGTGGGGCTCAGGTTCTGGACAAATGATGTCATAAGTAAGTGTAGTTTCAGAAAGGAAGATGAAGTGGGAGCTTTAGATAATTGGAGGCGGTAGGCCTGTATATGGAACCAGATGCTAGAGAGCCCAAGTCCATATTTTTACTTTTTCACAGTTTTGTGTCCATATCCTCACCGAATCCCAACCACCACCACCACAGTTCTATATCCCGTTATTTTTTCAATAATAACTGATACCTCAACTTAAGCTCCACTCTGATCCTCAGCTAAGCCATATAATTTCAGCAAGAATTATAAAATAAAGTTTTTAAAGGACAAACATGAGCCTTAACCTTAGTATAAAGACATGCTTAGCCTTCATACAAATTGCCAAGTTGAGACTTCATTTCAGACGGCAAATAAAAGTTACATGAAGGAGCTAAAAGTGCTATTGCAAATTACCTATTTGAAACGGCTTTTTCAAAACCTGCTAAATTCACAGCTCTCCTAAAAATGCTTCACTTCCAGATTATTTTATTTTGGGGTTTTGTGTGTATGTGTTAGAGGGGGTGGGGTTTGTGGTGACTACAGAAAAATTAGTTAAATTCATAGGATAAAATTTGAACTTTTGCAAATGAGTAAACAGCCAAAACAAACACCGCTTCAGAAAAAAAAAAAAAATACACGTTTTCTCCTTTTGAAAAGCAAGCAATGCTTAAGCAAAATACCTTAAAAGTTAACTAAAAAGCTTTTCTAAAATAAACAACTCTGCTTGTGATCCTAAATTGGGACCACATGTAGATGTGAAAGCTACAAATGCAGTGCACTCAGAATTTGCGTCTCTGCCTTCACTGTTTGCGTGCCTCTGAGTAGATGATGATAATGTTGGCTTTGGTCCCCAAGGAGCCTGAGTTTTTTAGATCCTAGTATGAGGGGGAAAAGCAGAAGAAGAAAGAGAAGGAATGAAAACAAATGCCTTTCAAGACAAAATATCCGAATGGGTTTCATTTTGCTTATCTGCCAACAGGCTCAACCCAATTTAGATCTGTCCTACAAGGACAGGATAGTGCCAGCCAGGGTGTCTGCCCTTGCCGGCTATGTGGGGCAGTCCCTGTGAGGGACCAGGCTCGAATTCAGAGCAGAAGGATCACTCTAGCAAACTGCCAGGGCCAGCCCTCTGCCCTGAGGCAAGTCAATGAATTAGCCAATTCAGCACAGATAGAATCATTCCTTTGTTTTTCTCAATTACCAAATGCTGTGTGCTTTGGGGGTCACTTGTCATGTGAGTTTAGAGAATGTGGATATTGCAACATAAACCCTCACCATTCTAAACAGCTTAAACTAAATTCTGTTACTAGGGAGGAGAGCTGAGGTGATAATATCCATCTCTAAGTATAAACTATTGTGTGTTCATTTTCCCATTATGGGAGACAAATTTCTCTTCTCCGCTAGTGCTCATGATCTCTTCCACCAGGCACAAACATCAGATGTGTGTTTATGTGGACATATTTTGTCCCCTATTATTGGAGAGCAAGCTCCTTGAGAGAAGGGATTATGCTGCCTGGATTTGTAACTTTGTTAGGCAAAGCATGACTTTATTTAGTTTTGAATTGATGAGGAGGCACTGATGTTAGTAAAAAGCTCAAATGTCCTGAGCCCTGTTGCTCAATACCTCAAACACAGGACCATGATCACCACAATGAAAAATATGCAGGATCATTAATTTCGGCTCTGTTAATTGTGCTGTTAGGAAATGTTGACTAGATAGGAAAAGCAGCTAACGTTCATGGAGTGCTTATTACATACCAGGTACTGAGGTAAGCATTTTACATACAGTATCCGATTTGTATCCTCCCACAAGCATGTTATCCCCGGGTTAAAAGGGGAGGAATTGGGGTCCAGTGAGATTGGGAGGTTATGAGAATCCCACAGTGTGTGGCAGAATGTGGACTTGAACTCAGGGCCCTAACAACAGGAAGCTATAAAAGCCTCTTTGTATAAAAAGTGCTCTCTTTCTGTGGGTCCTCAGTAAATGAAAATATTTGCTTTTCATAAATAGGTTTGAATGTTGGGACCCTCATTTCTCACCAGGAGTCAAGGCCAAAAGGTCTTATAAATAAGAGTGAATTTTGAGAAAGGATGTGTGAAAATGACTCTGTTCTTTTCTTTTATCTCACTTCAGTTACTTGGGATGGAGGAAGCAGAAACTGGGAGTCAGACATCTAAAATATGAAGTTCCACCCTCATGTTGGCCATTTCTTTCAGCCTCCTTTCCCCATTCCTAGGGGCCAATCTGTTTCTCCCTCTCCTGCTCTTTCTCTTTGCCTCTGTCTTCTTCTTTCCTGTGGAGACAGTAGCGTGTGGTGGAACTGCCTGAGTGCTTACTGAGAAGGAGAAACCAAGCGCAGATTGTACAGAAGCTGACGAATGAGTCCTCTGATTGTGGACAAGTGATGGCGCTTTTTGTAAAATTGTGTATGTGTTTACCTCAAGTAGTGAAAAAAAAAAAGAAAAAACAACTTTTGGGGCAAGTTGGACCTTAGGAAGGAGATTTCTGGGTCTCGGGGTTTCTCTTAGCCCCCAGTGCCTGGTGCCTGCGGCCGGTGTCGCCTCAGGGAGTCCCAGGCTGTTCTGTGGCCTCCAGAAGGAGCCACCCCGCCCCTTCCTCGCCCCACTCCGCTTTGCCTTCCCTTAGCCTGGGGAGCCTTGCCGCCTCTCCACCTTCTCTCCTGGTCTCCTCGGGCGCTCTCGCGCTGGCACCTTCAGCTCTGTCAGAGTCTGAGGGGAAACCAAAGGAGGCCAGGCGGTGTCTGGAATGCCCCATCCGACTGCTTCAGGCTCCCAGACCGCTGACAAAAGGAAAACTGGTCCGTCGCTTTCTGAATGATGTATCGAGACCGCAGTGTATTTTTAGCATCTGCTGTTTGTGGTAACATAAGTGAAAACTGCTGGACCCGTTCCCTTCAGCTGAATGGCTGGTATTCAGGGGCCTGTGCCCGCTCCCTGCCAGACGCTCCTCACAGAACTCCCTTTTTACGAGGTGGGCGACTGGCTCCCTGGCACCAGGCTGCCCCACCACAATTCTTTATTGCCCAGCGCCAGTGCCCAATTGCATGAATCCCCAGGGCTGCAGGCAGCGTGAGGGGTGCGAATGGGACGATGCTGGCTGCGGGCTTGTCAGGGTGTTCCCAAGTTGTGTGGCAGAGTCTGGAGGGCAGGGGTTGTCCGGATGTTCCAAACCTCCAGCGTGAGGTGGGCACTCAGGTGCGAAGGAACCATGGTGGCGAGGCCCACAGGTGGCGTCCCATCCCAGAGCCATTTTGCCGGGGCCTGGCTCTGCAGTAGTCACTGACACCGGAGATCCCCTGAGTGACCTGGAAACTATGAGAGACCCCAGGTACCCCGACAGGTCATTCTACTAACTGTGGCTGTGGAGCTCCAGCTCATCTTTGGAAGACGGAAACGCACTGGAAAGGGTATGAATGGACGCAGAAGGCCTCGTGGGGGCTCTCTCAGTGCCACTGTAGAGTGAACACAGGGCTGGAATCCAAAATAGCACCAACTTGCTGAGTGGCTTTAGGCAAGAAACCTTTCCCCAGGTCTCACTTTCTCACTTAGAATGATGAATAGTGATTCTTGTCCTACTGACCTCACTAGGACGTTTTTAATAAGGATGAAAGCACTTTGAAACTGTTGAAACCATAACATCACAAAAAAAAAAAAAAAAAAAAGAGACAGAGTGACGAAGTAACGCAGGTCCCATTTATGTTCTTAATTTCTGACCAACCTTAACTTCCATCAAAACTGCTTCCACTAGCCCCAGCCAGGAGAGCCGTTGCATCGTGGTGGGACATCATCAGGCTCTCCAACGGACATCGCTTATACTATGAGAACTCACGTTCAAGGGAGGTGTTTACCTCTAATTCCCACAGAACTAGCGTAAGTAAAAAATGGGGCAGCAGGATCCTTTCCTTGCAAAGTGTGAGCAAGTGCCTCTGTAGAGTAAAACTTTAAGTAAAAGGACTACAACGGCAGTGACAGCTCCTTTATCTGAAACTGCAGACTTTTAAGAAGGTTCTTAGCAGCCACACCGATGTCACAAATTCCATAAAGCAAGATCACCTAGGCACTCTCTCGGAGCTAATTTTATCTCATTTTATATATAATTTTAATAAGCCTGGCTCTCTCATTTTCTAGCCCCTTATTACTGAAAATGTGGCTCATGGGCCAGCAGCATCTGCACTATCTGGGAGCTTGTGAGGAATGCAGAATCTCAGGCCCCACCCTTCACCTTGAATCAGAATCCACATTTGGATAAGATCCCCGTGTGTGTGTGTGTGTGTGTGTGTGTGTGTGTGTGTGTGTTGTGCGGGGGAGGGTAAAATTAGAAGAGACTTGCAGGGCCTAGGCGCACTCTCAATTTATTGTATTTCATTATGGAAAGGATTTGGGATGACTAGAATTAATAACTTAGAAGGAGTGAGGTGACAAAGAACATTAAAAACTATTGCATCTGGGACCATTTAATATAGGTTTGTTTGTTTGTTTGTTTTGAGACGGAGTCTCACTTTGCCGCCCAGGCTGGAGTGCAGTGGCATGATCTCGGTTCACTGCAACCTCTACTCCCCAAGTTCAAGTGATTCTCCTGCCTCAGCCTCCTGAGTAGTTGGGATTACAGGCGCCTGCCTGTAATTGTATTTTTAGTAGAAATGGGGTTTCACCATCTTGGCCAGGCTGGTCTTGAACTCCTAACCTTGTGATCCACCCGCCTCTGCCTCCCAAAGTGCTGGCATTATAGGTGTGAGCCACCGCACCCGGCCCATTTAATATAGTTTTATATCCGAATGCCCTTTAATACTCTGAGAATACACTGTTACAACACTGTATAGTCATTGATATTCCCAGTAATAGTCCCAAATTATCAAGAACAGGCAAAGTCATATTCTCCTGCTGTTTAAAGTATTTACCTAATGTTCATAGTGGAAAATTCTCCTTTAAAATGGTTAAATAAATCTTGATCTTAAACCGATGCTTCAGTGATCTGAATACTACATGAAACAGCACGTTCTCTCTAAAGAGATAAGTGAGATGGTACTATAATCGGAAACCTCTGTTAATTCGGATTTTGTTTTTTATGCACATTTTAGAGAGTCAAATTATATCAAGATAAAATATGATAACAGAGATTTACTCTAAAATTAAACAATGAAAAAAACCCTACCAGTGCAACAAAAAGGCCATGGCTGTTCAGAGCCAAGTAAAACTTTGGGGGTCAGAAGGTATTTAATTTTCATATTTCTGTTTACTAGGTACTAACAACTGATCTTCAAAATCATAGAGACAGGAAAATGGATTTGAAACCCAAGGGAGTTTTTAAGTAACCAGAAAAGTTAGTGCCCTCTTCTGGACAAGCGATCATTGGAGTTGTTAGAGGTTGTCCTTGGGAGTGCTGTTGGGGGCTTTGTTAACACCGAACAAGACCATGAGTGGCAAAACTTGGAGCTGAGGTTGATCAGGTCTCCAAGGCCAGGGAGAGACTCAAACCAACCAGGTCAACTTCCCAGCTGAATTGCCAACCTCAAAGGGATACGTACAGAAGGGAGAATTGGAGGCACATAGCAGAGGGTGAGAATGCAGAGAAGAGCAGGATGCGGTCAAAAGATTGGCAGATTTTTATGGAGGGTTCCAGCACAGGCCAAGAAAGAGATTTAAGGGTTCTGACTCAAATAAGACCAACTGTCCTTCTTTCTCATTCCCTTGACAATTACATCTGAGTGCAACTTTATTGCCATGGCAATACAAAGAAAGTCTACCAATGATTTGATATCTAGAGCTTAGAAATAAACAGCTGCATGGTACCAATTTTATTATATAAAGCAAAGTTTATATAAACGCAACTGGGCTTAAAACTCATTTGGCAAGAATTAAATATTTTCCATTTATTCTAGAGACATTTTTAGAGTGCCATGGCTGTGGTGGAAACATAAATAAAGCATCATCACAGGACAGGATTAATTAATTGCCTGAAATAATTTCAAAGCTGTAAGTGAAAGATCCTATCTTTATTAATGGTATTCTTTTCTCAAATCAGATTTTGAAACCTCACAAGCTTTTGACTCATCTCTCTCCTGTGCACTGCTAGAAATCTTATTTAACTCATGTTGCAGCCACCCTAATTCCAATCCTTGTCACTTCACTCCTGAGTTTCAGCAACACTCTTAGAGAAGAACTTCTTAATTTCTCTCCAACCTAGCTTTGTACAATGGTCTGTTCTCTATACCACCATCTATTGTCTATACTACAATACATTATGTTGGGAATATATCTTATTATGTACTACTGGCTTATTGTGTTAGTCATGGGTAACCAACTAGAATGAAGAACGAACTAGAGAACAGGAACTATGTCTTTCACATTTATGTCGTCTATAGCACCTAACGTAATTATTGCTACACAGTATGTTGCTACAGGGAGTCTTCCATGGCCTAGATCTGGGCTAGATACTTCTCCTCTACACAACTGTGACACACTGCCGTATCCTGGTTACATTATCAGTGCATTACAACTGGCTGTATTACATTTGTTTCTTTTTGTTTCTCTATGAACTATGAGAGCAGAGCCTACATTTATCTGGTTCATCACTGACCCTCTAGTACCTAGCCCAGGTTTTGATTATATATTATGTGCTCAATGCATATTTTTAGATTATTTGTTGTTGGTTAGTGCAGTAAGATAGTTAAGGAGGCTGGGATGAATAGACCAAATGGCATCCATAGCATCATATTATTTTGTTTGACTTGGCTTCAGGTACAATAGATCAATATAACCTAAATATTATAATGAACCAGATAACTGCATTTGGCCCTTTGCAACTGTATAATATTAAAATTATTATATTTTCTATACCTGTTTAATTGTCTATAAAATTCTAGCTCCTGGAGTGCAAAGGACAGCATTTTTTACTTCTGCATATCTCCCTCAGTTCCTACCTCAGTGAGTGTTTCTTGATCTGACATCATTAAATGCAGTTTAAAAAGAGTCTGTGTTCTAATCTGTCTGCTTAGTGCTAAACATCTGTTGCTTCCTAACAAGTGCTGCATTCATTTTAATGGCACTGGTGCACAGAGGTAAACGGAGCTTTGGCAGGCCTTCCATAAGAGAAACTGTTTGCTTCCTTCATTAATTACTAATGGAGCATTAAGACACGCATTCTGCCTTGAGCCAAGTTGGATAATTCCTGGCACTTAATGCTAGGGTGCTTTCAAAAGTTGAGACATGTACTGACACACCAGAGAGCCTGCCCTATAGCAAGCACAGTGGTGTCTATAGTGCCAACATTATATAAAGCTTCAAATATATCAATACCAAGTGTACTGATATGTCTAACCTTTGCATCTATTGGGTTAATGTGGAATCATAGGTATCCCTACACTAGCTCTGAAGGTAGCTATCACAAATGAGCTGGATGAATCATCAGAAAGATACAGAAAGGTTAAAAATAAAAGGATAATCAAAGATTTACCCATTAAACACAAATCAACAGAGTGAGAGTGGCAAGCTAATAGAACTATAAATCAACATCTGATTTATCAATTTATATTTAGCAGCCAATTGCCAACACAATTAAAATGAAACATTTATACCCTTGGATATGCTAACTAGTACAGCATCAAAATGATAAAAACAGTAAGAAATAAGAGAATGACAGTCACTTATTGTTAGTAGTAGATTTTAACATATAGCCATCAGATTATGATAGACTAGAGATAAAATATGAATATGGATATAAAAAGAATATAATTATAAATGTTGATAAATTGGCTATATTTAGATGTTTATGGGTTATATAAAATACCTTATATTACATATTCACATGGAAATTTTACAAAAATAATATGGTAGTTTACAAAAGAAATAGCATTTTTTTTAAATGCAGATATTTTACAGTTTCTCTCATTACAAAGCAGTGACCTAGATCTGGGCTAGATACTTCTCATCATTCTCATTACAAAGCAATGAAATATAATATAAATGTAAACAAAACAAGCGAACAACCACTCGATGTTGCCTGAATGCGGGGGCTAGAGGAATCAGCAGAGGTAAGATTGTCCTTTTAAGGTTAAACTTTAATCAACACAGCACACAAAGCCAGAGTGATGCAATGTCACTTCAGAGAGAAAATATGATCCCCAGGACACTGAGATCTAGTCATGATTCTACTGAATATATTAACATTTCCAATGGGGGAAAAAAGTGTGAATCCAACGAAGAGCTGGCTCAGCCAAAACAAACAAAGGCAAGTGCTAGTGTTCATCCAGGGACAAGGGAGCCTCATTCAACTAGACTTAACTAATCCAGCCTGTGGCAGGATCCTCCTTCATGAGAAGATGGAAGCATGGTGTTGTTTTTGCCTGGTTTTGCTCAAATGTCATGCACACCAAGGCACCTTTTGATTGTAAACCAGCCTTTCCTGTATTGGTCTGCGTACACCATGATTGTCCCTTAGGGGAGCTGTGAGTGTGGGGCTCCTCTGTCCTCATGGAGTTGGTAAGTATGAAATCCTTCTAAGAAATGATCTGCTGTGGTCCTGGAAAAGGAAGCTTCATGAGCCTTATAGAATGTTAAGGCTACAAGGAAAGAAAGTCCAGAAATTAACATGCATTGGTATGTTAACTTGGTAACTTAGTAAAACAAGTTATGGAGTAGAAGTTGTTCTTATTCACTGCTGTGTTTTGGTGCTCAGAGTAGGTTTTCGTATGTATGAGACACTTAAGTATTTGGTAGAGACATGAAACAAGTAGGGAAGGACAGAATTATTTAGCAAATGCTGGTGGGATAATTGATTAACTGTTTGACATACACTAAAATAAATAACATGGATTAAAGAGTTAACTTACAAATAGAAAATTAAAAGAATGATCCAAATGTCAGTAGTACTTCTGAAGGGGCAACGATTTTGTGCATTTAGAAGGATAAGAAGAAATCACAAGGGGAATAAAAATGACAAATCTGACTACATAAATATTAAAAACGTATGTTAGCAAAATACTATAATAGTAACCAGAATTCAAACTCAGACAACATGGGAAAATATTTTCAGAAAATGCGACAGCCAAAGGCCTTGCATCTTTATTATGTAAAATGTTCATACGAATTGATAAGAAAAACACTGAAATTCCAAGAGCATAAACAAACAGCTCACATAAAAGAAATTAAAATTAGTAAATATATGGGAAGATATTTGACCCAGCTGGTAATCAAAGACATTCAAAATAAAACAGTAATTTTAAAAAATTTGAATTAGCAAAGAAAATCTAAAAATTGATTTTCATAAAACCCAATGCTTGTGAGAATGTTGCAAAAGTTGTATTTCATATTTTGCTGCTGATGGCTTATAAATTGGTACCTCGTTTTTGGAAAACAGTTTGGCAATACAATATCAAGAGTCATTAAAATGTTTTATAGCCTTTGACCTAGTAATTTGACTTCTGGGAATCTATCCTGAGGAAAATTAATCCAAAATATGGAAAACATTAAATGTCTAAAATGAATTGGGAAACACTAAATGTCTCACAATAGGGGATTGGTTAATATGTTGTAGTACAGCCATTGGACTAAAAACTACATAGCCATTTATAATTACAGGAATAGAGACCATGCAGCCAAATGGAAAGATGCTTGTGCTTCAATATTAAATAGAAATGAATATATACTTAGTATAAAAAGATACGTAGCAACAATTGGAGTCAGTACACCAAATTTTAAGTGGTTGAGCTAAAATAGCAGGATAACAGTGACCTTATCTTTTTTCATAATGTGCTTTCAGCCTGTATTTCTGGATGGCAATTGCCTTCCTTTCTTGACCCAAGTCCTGCCCAAGCTCCACGCCCAGCTTCCAGAGCCCTACCCATCTGTGTTGATGCCACTTAGTTTCCAGCTTTTCCAAGAAGCCCTCCCATCCCATCAGCCAAATGGAACTCTCCCTTTCCCATGCTCTTTTTTTTTTTCTTTTTTTGAGACAGAGTTTTGCTCTGTCACTCAGGCTGGAGTGCAGTGGCATGATCTTGGCTCACTGCAACCTCCACTTCTCGGGTTCAAGTGATTCTCCTGCCTCAGCCTCTTGAGTAGCTGGGATTACAGGCACCTGCCACCATGCCTGGCTAGTTTTTGTATTTTTGTTTTTTAGTAGAGCCGGGGTTTCATTATGTTGGCCAGGCTGGTCTTGCACTTAGACCTCAGGTGATTCGCCTACCTCGGCTTCGCAAAGTGCTGCAATGACAGGCATGAGCCACCAGGCCTGGCCCCTTTCCCATGCTCTTGTGATGCTGTATTAACATTTCTTTTACAGGATAATATACAGTTTGCCTTGTATGGAAATAATATGTGTACAGTATGTGTCTGTTTCTGCAACTAAATTTCTAAACCCCTAGAGGGCAAGAACCATTTCATTTATTTTTCTCTCCCCACAGCAGAAGGCACAGGGCTTTTCCTGTGTGATATGCCTGAATAAATATTGGTTGAAATTAATTGAATTGTACTGCAATGAACTACTTCTGATTCCCTCGCAGGTGGAGCTCATGAAGGACTTCAGCATTTGGGTCCTTTTGGCAACATCCCCAACATCGTGGCAGAGTTGACTGGAGACAACATTCCTAAGGACTTTAGTGAGGATCAGGGGTACCCAGACCCTCCAAATCCCTGTCCTGTTGGAAAAACAGGTAACAGATATGCCTTTGGGTTCCCATGAAAAGTTGGGGCTTTGGAAGGAAATCAGAAATTCTAACATCAGCTACAAATATTCCCAGAAATTGTTATTTCCATTCTGATGAGCCCATGTGTATTTGTAAGTAGATGGGAAGGGGAAATTTATTCTAGAATTTTTATATGAGCTCTGTGTTCAGACACACCCACATAGGATTTTCCCTTGCCAAGGCTTTACTTTCTTTCTGTGTCTCCCCTTCTTTGGGAATTGATGCACTTTTCTGCACTTGCTACTCTTTTTTTTTTTTTTTTTTGAGACAAAGTCTCGCTGTGTCACCCAGGCTGGAGTGCAGTGGTGTGATCTTGGTGCACTGCACGCTCCGCCTCCCAGGTTCATGCCATTCTCCTGCCTCAGCCTCCCGAGTAGCTGGGACTACAGGCGCCTGCCACCACTCCTGGCTAATTTTTTTTTGTATTTTTAGTAGAGACGGGGATTCAGCGTGTTAGCCAGGATGGTCTCAATCTCCTGACCTCATGATCCACCCTCCTCGGCCTCCCAAAGTGCTGGGATTACAGTCGTGAGCCACTGCGCCCGGCCTGCACTTGCTACTCTTTTAATGAAAGGGGAAACACTTTTTTTTCCTTTTCCATGATACAACTTCTGCTGAGTTTTAATGTCTTTGGAACTAGTTAGTTTGTGGATTATCCATGCCTGTTTGTTCTCCTCGTTGATCATGACAGTCAACATTCTAACAGTGTCATGCATCAACACCGAGTTAGCATCTATCCTAAAATCCTGTTTATTTGGGGGCCAGGAGGTGGCATGGGAGAGAAGAGGTTCAGGAAGAAGCTGGTTAAGGAAGAAGGTTGAAATTTTCCATGTTGTTCATGCATCCAACCCACTTTCCTACCCACTAATGCCATAGAGAATGGTGAGTGGGCTTCACTTACATCCGGCTTTGAGCAGCTGACCTTGGTGGTTAAGAGTAGTGGCTCTAGACTCTGACTACCTGAGTTCAAACTCCAGGTCAACCTGTGTGACCTTAAACAAGTTAATTAACCACTTCGTACCTCAATTTCCTTATTTGCAAAATGGAGGTCATTGTGGGAATTAAATAAAATTATCCATGTAAAGCATTTTAGCACAGCACCTAGCACAGAGTAAGGACTCTTTAAATGTCATCCTGATTATAATTAGCTTTGCTGCCCCTAGTAAATAATGCACCTCTTACCTTGGGCTTGTGTTAGCTTCTAGCACCAGAGTAGTCTTTTCCTGCAAGCCTAATAATAATAATAGTTGGTATTTATCAGGTTGGTGCAAAAGTAATTGCACTTTTTACTATTGCTTTCAATAGGAAAAACTGCAATACTTTTGCACCAATCTAATATTATTTCTACTTTATATTAAGAAAACAGAAGCTTAGAGAGTAGCTTGCATAAGGTTATCCAGGTAACAAGTAGCTGAACCAAGACTCAAACCCAAGTCTACCTGATTAAGGACTGTGTACTCAACCACCAGGACATACTGCCTTGCTCTGAAAATTGTGATAACATTGACTACTCAACTTTTTTTCTTTTTCTTTTTCTTTTTTTTTTTTTTTTGAGATAGGGTCTTACTTTGTTGCCCAGGTGGGAGTGTAGTGGCACAATTATAGTAATTCTGTGCCTCAGCCTTCCAAGTAGCTGGGACAACAGGTGTGTGCCACCATGCCCAGCTAATTTTTAAATTTTTTGTAGAGGTGGGGTCTCATTATGTTGCCCAGGCTAAACTCAAACTTCAGAGCTCAAACGATCCTCCCACCTTGGCCTTCCAAGGTGCTGGGATTATGGGTGTGAGCTACCACACCGAGACTTTTTTTTCTTATGATACCCATAACTAGTCTGACATCAGCTTTTCTTAAACACAATGCAGGCTGTCTCTGAAAGAGACTGTCTTAGAAAATATGCTCCTCCTTTCATTTAGGATGAGGCCTCTGTTTTCCGTGGGGCACAAAGCTTCCATCTTGAGGCAGAACAACCAAAGTAGTTGGATGTGACCAAGCCAATGTGTGGCTGCTGGGCCAGGAAGGCAGGAAAACCTGAATCCCTGCCTGGCTCTAATCATTTCAGCCACCTTCTACTTGTTTGTAGGGTTTTGGATGGGTAGGAAGAAAGACTAGTTCAGAGTTTAGAGAGCGACAGTCTCCATTGTTAAGTCCATTGGATGTGGTACAGTGCAGTGGTTCTTAAAGTGTGATTCCAGGACCACCAGCAGCAGCAGCACCTGAAAACTTGCTAAAAATGCAACTTCTCAGTCCCTACCCTGATTCAACCTATTGAATCAGAAGATTCTGGGGGTGGGACCCAGGAATTTGTTGCAACCAGTCCTCCTCATGGTTCTAGTGCACACTGAACTTAGAGAATATTATAGGAGAATGGAAAGAGGTCCAGAGTTTGAGCCAAGAGATCTGACCTCTAGTGTTGACTGTAGTATGCCACTTTCACTTTCTTGAGCCTTAATGTCTTCACCTATGGAAGGAAGACATAGGCAATGCCTCCAAAGAGCATACAGTGTAGTTCTAGCTTGTCTGAAAACAAAAACAATAAAAACACAAAATCATACAGACCTGTGGAATCAAGCTCTAGTCTGTGCACTTAGGAGCTCTGAGAGGACAGCAATCAAGCTGGCCTGGTAGAATTGGACAAAATCCCAAATCCAGACACTTTCTTGTCACAGGTTGTCTGCCATTTCCTTTGCTGTTCTTCCATGAAACTAACATATTCCCTCATTCTTTGTTCTGCCACAATCTGCATTCCAAGAATGAAATCGCTTGCTAAATTTAGCCATTATTTGTGAGGAATTGCTTGAATTATGACACAACACAGCACAGTTGAGCAATCCAAGAATAAAACCTTGATTTCTCCTTTCATGCCATGCTGTCCTCTGAATCATGGCCCACTCACCCTGGATAGAGCAGCAGAGCTCAAAGAGTCCATCTCAGCCTCAGAGATAGGATGTGAATTCTAGGGCACATTTTTAAGCCCGGAGACACCTTCGGTTCCCAGAGCAGGCTTTATCTGCATCTCAGTCAGGGCCCACTCAGAGGTACACCAGAAACAATTATGAAAGGTTATAAAGGTGCCATATGCAGATTGCCTGAACTCTCTTGAATTGGTATATTTTCCTACATGTTAATTGCTATATATTGTGTAAGTTAGATAAATAGCTCACTGAAAAGTGGAGAGCCGCATTAGGGATTTGTTCAGAATGCTGATGACTTCCACACTAGCTGTATACTGCTAAGAGCTGAGAGACTGTGTACTGAAAGCTTAAGAGCAGTGTCAAGAACTAGACAACCTGGCTAATTGTAAATGGCCCCCCTTTCAGCATTGACTTTGATGTCTCATTATGTCTTTCAAATGAGACCCTCCTTCCTCCCCCTAACCCTGCACAAAATTCACAATCCCTCCTCTGTCCCCCTTTTTATTGCTGTTGTCTAAAATATATTAGACATGGGAAAAATGACTCATTTTTAGAGCATCATGCCTAGTAATAATAGAATTTACATAAAAGCAGCATCTGAGAGAGATAGCCTTCTTTCTTTGGTTTGAATGGAAAACTTGCTTGATTTCAAAGGGAAGTCATAGTATAAACTGTCAGTCAAAGGGAGATAATGGGAAGGGAACTAAAACATATTGCAAACCTATTATGTGCCGGGTGTTCTAAATGTAATCATCTCTATTCCTCACAGCAATCCCGTAGGTAAGTATTTGATTATTTGCATCTCACACATACATGAACAAACTTGGAGAGACCAAGTTAACTTTCCAAAGGAACTAAGCCTATCTATATCTTAGGAGCTGGGATTTGATCCTTGAGCTCTGCTCTTGTCTGACTCCAAAGCTTAAGCTGTTATCACAATAAAACACAACATCAAGTGCTGTGTGGAGATTGTTGTTGTTGTGTAATGTACTTTCTCCAAGAAGCCAAAGTAGTTTCTAAACTGCTTGCTCAGGAGAAAACAGAGTGGGTCATGTGCAACAGAAGTATGTTACCTAAGGAAACACTTGCTCTTGTAACAAATAAAAACATTGTATGGCTCAACGCAATAGAAGTTTATTTTTCACCCGTGTGAAGTCCTGCCAGAGGCGCGTGAGGCTGTAGTGCGGTGGATGGTTCGGCACCCCAGACTGCCATCTTTACACTTGACCCCCACAGTTGCCCTGGCAACATGTAACAAGCTGACCAGGAGATGGGGGTGGGGAATGAGGAGAAGTGGAGCATGGTATGAGAGGTTTTTATGCTTTTAGGTGATGTATTTCAATTCCAGGCCTGGGAATGGAATACATTACTTGTGCCCACATTCTGTTGGCCTCCACTCAGGCAAATGACTCCACGTGATTGCAAAGCAAGGCTGGGAAATTAGTCTAGCTGGGTGCTAAGGAGGAAAGGGAAGTGGGTTTGGTGAACAGCCAGTGAGTCTCTGCACAGGAGTGGGAGTTTGAGATGAGTAATCCTATCTAACTGGATCCTAGAGGGAAGGTGGCTGCTAGTGTTCTAAGTTACTACTGATGTGAACAGATTCTGACCTTTGGCTGCCTAGTTGTTTTTGATAAATTAACTCTTAGAATAATGATGAATGTCTTGGCCGTTCCTCAAAAACCTTTGGCTGTTTGCAGCAGATGATGGATGTCTAGAAAACACCCCTGACACTGCAGAGTTCAGTCGAGAGTTCCAGTTGCACCAGCATCTCTTTGATCCGGAACATGACTATCCAGGCTTGGGCAAGTGGGTAAGTCCTATCTCAATTGTTAGTAGATTTTGCACTTTGGTACTCTGAAGGTGCTGATGGCAGGGATGAGCAATATGGGCAGAAGGAGAGAAGAAAAATTATTTAGAAGCTAATTTTTCAGAAATCTCTGGTTGACAGAGCTTCAAGTCATGACTACTCAAAACCACACTTATGTGTCCAGGCAGCACTATACCAAATCCAACTAAAGAGACAGCAACCTAACATTGACCGTAGTCTCCAGAGTCTTCTACTCTGGTCTGCTTCACAGCCTGTGTCATACACATCCTAAATTTCACCAGTGTTTCATGCATCTCTATAGGGTTTTATCAAAGGATATGATTTTTTTTAATTGACACAGAAAATTTGCAAATGTGATCTCTAAACTAAGGGAGATGATCTCTGCAGAATCAAGGGAATAAAGATGCCAGAGCTTAGAAACAGATATATATAATTCTGCTTTATAGAAAGAGAAAAAATATTCCGTGATGTGTAGCAGTGAGATTGCTGTCAGTCCTAGGTAAGTGCATATAGCTGTCAGTTAAGGGAGTTGTTTATAAGCACTTGGAAAGATAAATCATGACCATTTGGCATCAGTGTGCTAAAAACAAGTCTTGCCAATCTAATTATATTCTTCCATTTGCCAGCATTATTCATTTATTTGCCAGCTTGATGAGGGAAATGCAGTGGGCATGGTGCATTTGGACTTTTGCAAAGCATTTGACAAGATCGTTTTATGTTCCCCTATTGGAAGAGGTGGAAAGATACAGCCTAGGCAACAGAATGTCACCAAAATGGGGCTTGTTAAAGAGTCCATGTAAATAGGGAGGGAGATTTCACATGGTATTCTGTGTGTCTTAGCACTACCCCACTCCACATTTTTATCAATGTTTGTAATAATATAGAACTTGTACTTATCAGATTCCCAGAGGATGACATGAAGTTGGAAGAGATACCATCAGATGACAGAGTTGGGATTCAAGAAGATCCCAGCAGACTAGAACAATGAGCCAAACAAGATCAGAACTGAGTGGGGATATGTCTGTGTTTCTGTGGTTGGGCCAGATGCTGAAGCCATGGGAGAAAAGTGGGGAAATACCTAGGAGTGTTCCTTCACATGTAACAGTAGGTGGCCAGTACGTCTGTGGAATGAATGAGTGAGTGAATGAGCAAATATTCCAACTCCCTCAGCCCTTCTAAAGTCCTCATCTCTTCTTAGCTCATTATTGGCAGATGGCCTTGCTTACTGCTTTACTGGGAACACTGAAATTTCAAAACTAAACTCCCTCCTTTCCTCCTACATTGTTTTAGAGAAATCTTCATTAATGACCACTTTTATTTTTTTCAGCGTCTTGCTTTAACATGCATTGTCAGTTCCCTCTGTCTTCAACGTACACACATTTCCTGTCTTAAAACAACAAAGCAACAACATTCCTAAGTTAATTTTGCTTCTTCCAATTTGCATTATTCCATTTCCTTCTTTTTCATAAACAGTTCTGTTTGGAAGAATTGGTTTGTGGAGCCACTTTCAAGCCTAGTAGTAGAGCTTAAACATGTTGAATTAAATAGAAAAACATCTATAGGTTCTCGAATAGGAGACTGAAATAATAAAAGCCTTCTATAAAAGAAGTTATTTTGATGGCATATTAAAGGATGAAGTAAAAGGAGAAGAGACTAACCCTAGACAGGAAGAAAATATGGGGAGTCATTTCAGTTATGATGACTGTGAACACCGTGAAGAAGGGTGAGAATCCAAGACATTTTAAAGGGGGAAAAACTAACTAGAATTGGTATACGGAATAAATATAACATGAAGAAGAAAGAAGAGATATGTCAGGTTCATATGAAATGGACAATATGAACTTTTTCTTTGAATGCATTTTAGAAAGAAAGAAAAGAGAAGAATAGAGGGAGGAAGGACATAAAAAAGAGAAGAGAGAGTGAGGGAAAGAGTAGATTGCGGAGGAGTACTGGGAAGAGATCCACAAGAGGTGATCGAAGCATTGCCAAACAGAAGCAAAAGCCAGGTTCGATAAGGCACAAAGAGAACACATTGAGCCTGCTGTGTTCCAGGCACTGTGCTAGATGCTCAGTATGCAGGAGTCATCAGGACATGGTGCTGGTCTTCAGAGAGCTTATAGTCCCACGGTTGAGATGAATTGCATGAAAATGAAATGAACCCAACTTAGCACCGCTCCACTTCATGTTTCGTCTGTATTCTGAGGGCCAGGGGCAATTATTAGGGAAGATGGAAGACAAGGGTAGAGGAAGATCCAGAACTGAGGACTGGTGTGGCTGATTGGGGTAGTAGCCACAGAGGAAGTCAAAGGCACTAAGGAGGGCAGCACTGAAGTTTCAGGTGGGAAAGTCTTCAGCTTCACCAGTAGGCTAGGAATGAGAGAAAGAAAGGAGGGAGACTGAGTCAAGGTGTGAGTGAAGGCAAGGAGCCCAGTTGGTGGCATGATGAGGTGGGAGGGATGAAAACATCTCTTTTCAGCTCTCTTCATCTCTTCTTGAAAATCTTCACAGATTTCTCTCATCAAATTCCACTCACTTCCAGTGCCCCAGTATGAGGCCAACCACGGTCCTTCATTCTCTGTGCTTCCTTCTCGAAACACTGACTTGAGTTTCTCTCAGTGTTTCCTATTCTTTGTCCACATTAGAGCTAAAGACTAGAATCTAGGATCAAATGTAAAAGGAAAATATTAGAGATCAATGACCAGGAACAATGTTTAGATACCTTTTATCATCTGCAATTATGTGTTTACTTAAACTTAGGTCTCCTTGTTTATTTTCTCATTACTACCTACCAGTAAAACATTGTTTCCTTGGTTTTCACATGGAAGTGGGAATTGAGTATGTCTTGCTTTTCTAAACTGGGAACCACAAACCTTCCTCAGTGCTTATATGGAATGACAGTCTCAAGCTTGTCTTCAGCCCAGCCATCCTTTAAGTTAACAGAGTCATCATCTTTCATGATAGAACAGCACAAAGACCCTGCTTCCTTATCTGCTAATAACGCTTCCTTGTTTTTGACAGTAGCTGGAGCTGAGCTGCATCTTTAACAGTGATTCACATATTACACATTTCAGTGTCTGTCTTGTTTCCTGCATTTCTCTCTTCGTTAGTGCATCAAGACACATTTATTAACGACACATCATATGCCTTCCGGGCCCCGTGTTAGGTAATGGGAATACAAAGATGAATGATAATAGTAATTGTATTACATAATACATAATACTATATAATACAATAGTAAATAGTAATATTTATTGACCACATACTATATGCCAGACTCCTTTCTAAATACTCAGTAATCTTATTCAATCTGCCCATCCTTGTCATTCTCACTTTCCAGATGAGAAAATGCAGGCTTGGGGAGCTGAGGAGCCTGCTCAGCCCACAGAGCTGGGATTTGAACCCCATCATCTGACTCCAGAGTACTTTACAAGCTGAATACATTCCCTATCTTTTCATGGCTCATTGCTCCTAACCTGTCCTGTGTGGTAGTCCTATTGAGTCCTACCGAGGGCTGGCTGCCTTCCAGACAATGTGTGTGACTACACCAGTGGTGACCACACCAATGGCTGGCTCCTGTACATGCCAGCTACCCACTCCCCCTTTACACATTAACTGCTGAGTGTTATTTACTTAAGAAAAAGTTGTCTCAAAAAGCAAATATTTTTCCTTTCCAAATGCTTTCACACCTTTTCATCAGTAGCTGATCACAGCCAGAGCCTGAGCCACGGGGATATGAGGGACCAGACCCCTCCCTGACTTGCTTTGTCATTCCTGACCTTAACATGTTTGATGAGTTGAATGCTCTTCAATGTGGATTTGACTCAGGTTTCCATGTGATTAGACCTGCTTAGTATTTTATGTCCTACTTAGTATTTTACATCAGCAAGCACATGATGTCAGGGAAGTTTGTCTCATGACTGGCAGTGTTCACTTTGTTAAGGTGCTGCCCTCCAGGTTTCTCTGGTGTAAAATTCCCTTAGAAATTAATAGGCCGGGCACAGTGGCTCACACCTGTAATCCCAGCACTTTGGGAGGCCGAGGCAGGCGGATCATGAGGTCAGGAGATCGAGACCATCCTGGCTAACACAGTGAAACCCCGTCTCTACTAAAAATACAAAAAAATTAGCCGGGCGCGGTGGCGGGTGCCTGTAGTCCCAGCTACTTGGGAGGCTGAGGCAGGAGAATGGCGTGAACCCGGGAGGCGGAGCTTGCAGCGAGCCGAGATAGTGCCACTGCAGTCCGGCCTGGGCAAAAGAGCAAGACTCCGTCTCAAAAAAAAAAAGAAAAAAAAAAAGAAATTAATAGTTACTCTGTGGGAAGAAGTTTTGGGGCTGTGTAAATATTCTGCTCCTCGTTCAACTTTTAACCAACAAATATAACATCCATTGATGATGCTTACCAGATTCAATAATGATGATAGCTGCAAAATGATGATTTTCTTACTCCGCTATTCTTTCTGCATTTACTAGTTGACATTCTATTCTAAGCAAGAGTTTCCCCTGCTGTTCTATTTATTTATTTATTTATAAATGTGTTTATTTATATAGTATAAGTATGGATTCATGGATTCCATAATGCATATTATTATGTATTCTGGTGTTCAAACTGTCCTAAATTTGGCCAGTGCGAGTCTCCTCAAGCTTTCTTTTCTTTCCTTTTGACAGGACCTCATCATTTTTTTGAGCACTTCTTTATTTTCTGACCTAATTAGCTATTCCATCTTCACCCATCCTTGCACTTTCCTTCCTAGCCCTGGAATTAGACTTTTCTCCAGGAAGCTCCCTGGCTGTATTTAGGAGTGTAATTTGAAACCAGGATCTGGACAGTTGTCCAAAATCTTGATGGCACTATGGAAAGCCCTTTTAATGAACTTGAACCTGCTACTCACATGGAAAACAGGCTCACCACTCCCCAAGGAATCAACAAGGAATGGGCGTGAGGAGAGATAGCTGATTTCTTTTCATTCAATTTGTATGCTTCTCTTACCCATACCATACCTGCCAATGCCTTCAAGTCCATACAATAATAGGGCTAATTAAGAATGTCCCAGACACTTTCATGCAGGGGTAGGGAAGCATTATCCTGCTAATCCTAACCCTAGCTCTTAAGGAGACACAGGGACCATCTTTGAGAGGAAGATTAGCCAGGCCTTTTGCATTTCTTTTTTTTTTTTTTTTTTGAGACGGAGTCTCGCTCTGTCCCCCAGGCTGGAGTGCAGTGGCGCAATCTCAGCTCACTGCAAGCTCTGCCTCCTGGGTTCATGCCATTCTCCTGCCTCAGCCTCCTGAGTAGCTGGGACTACAGGCGCCCGCCACCACGCCCGGCTAATTTTTTGTAGTTTTAGTAGAGACGGGGTTTCACCGTGTTAGCCGGGATGGTCTCGATCTCCTGACCTCGTGATCCTCCCACCTCGGCCTCCCAAAGTGCTGGGGCACATTTCTTTTTGAATGAAGACTCTTATGGGTAGGATCTGCCCCCAAGATCTCCTAAAGAATTAAATGATGCTGGCTTTACCTGGCTGATGGCACAGTGGAACTCTGCCAGAGCTGGCTGACAGTCCCACCCCATGGTAGTAGCTCTCAGGTTCTTCCACACTCCATCCAGCTCAGGCAGCTGAAAACAATGGTACACATGAAGAAGACATGTCCTCACCCCTTCCCGGCCTTCCCAGCTCTAACACCAGCTCTTCGGATATTCTCTGCCTCAGGAGTTTTTACGTTCACAGAAAGGCAACCACAGACTGTAGAGAATGAGCCTCACAGCAATATCCTCATTCCTCAAGGAAATGATCTGCAAGTCTGCCTTTTCTCCCTTCCGATATTAAATTGATTTATTCCCCAAGTGAGCAGGAGATAGAGGCTGTAGCCAGTACTGGTGTTTTTGGTAGTAGAGGCTCCTTCACTCTGGCACCGCCTCCTTGCATAGTTGAGGTTGGGCAAGAGATATGCATTGTAAATTGCAGGTGGGGTAGATTTTAATGAACGTGAAAAATGATGAAGCTCATTCTTGGCATTTGTCATTTTCAATTCCAAATCTATCACTAAAAATAAGTCTTTATAAGTGGACAGCTCAGAGGATACATGTTGTATAAACTTGTTCCTTACCAGAACTCTGTGGTTGTCTTTGTTTTTTTTTTTTCTTAATGTCAGAGTATTTTATTTAGAACAAAACGAATCACCTCTTTTATACATCATTTTCCTCCAGATAAAAAAAATCAAATAAATAAAACAACACAAGTAAAGCCCCCCCCCCACCGCCACCAAATCCCCTTCTCCCTTTCTGCCTTCAGGTTAAGTGTTCTGTCTTTTATAATCTCAATAGAAGGGAAATCTGTTGAGCATGTGTCTGATATTCTAGAGCTCATTGAAGCCCACTATGTGTTTGAAATACAGCAATGTGTGGAAACACTTACACAAACTGTGGTAACAGAGCCCTGCCCCCCGACCCAACATAACTTTCCTTTCTGCCAAGAAGTTTTTTGGCAGTTTTTAAAAGGTTCACTCTATTAAAAATGTTATAGACCAAATGGTTTTCCAATTGTCTTGACTGGGGGCACTGACTTAACGCCACAGACAAAATGGTTGCAGAAGTCAGAATGTCTCGTTTATTTACACAGGGGATTGTTGTTAATAGTCAGACGCTACTCTAGAGAGCAGTTTATAAAAAGGGAGTTAGATACAAAAATAAATGAGATAAAATCATTTGTTTTAAACAAAGGCTGTTCAAAGTGAGGAGATGGGTTTCCAGCACCCTTCATGTTTTAAAATGTCGTATTTCCCTGTTTATGTGATTGTTGATGACACTGGTGTGCCTCAGGGCATTGCAGAGGACTTTATTAAAAGCCGAACCACCACCAGCTTTACTCTTGTGGTCTATCTTTCTGACACGACATTCCTTTCATCTAGTTTTGTTTCCAAAATATGCGTATGCAAATATCTAGGGGACACACCAAGTATTGCTTTTAAAATAGACATTCACCAAATTTGATCCATACTTCTGCATTTTTTGTTTTCTTTTCTCCCCATTCTAGAACAAGAAACTCCTTTACGAGAAGATGAAGGGAGGAGAGAGACGAAAGCGGAGGGTAACACGTGCCTGGCTGGATTGTTGCGGGGATGCTTGGAGCTTTCTGAGTGGGGCAGTGAACAGGCTGAAACCCTCGCTTGTTGGGAAGTCACAGAATCCTCCCTTGTGTAGTCCTGAGAAACACTGGTCCATGTGACAAGGGCCACACCCAGAAAGTCTGTCCTTGGTTTCTGCGATGGCTTCCCCAGGCTTTAGCAGATGATTTTTAGTGGAACGCGCAGTCTGTAGCGATTCTAGCAACTCCATTCCGTTCAGGAAATGTGTATTGCTTCCCCCATCAGTGTGGGACATATCTGGGGGGACATGAGGGTCTGTCTGCCCTCCCAGGGTCTGTAGGCCAGTGGGGAAAAACTGATCACACATCTGCATCAATTCTATAAAAACACAGGACAGAAACAGGGAAGTGCTGAACTGCATGCTCCAGGAAATAACTTTGAAGGAATTCGGGAGCAAAAGATGAGATGAACAAACTTAATTTCTCCTATGTATCTTTTTTTCTTGGCCTAGCCAGACTGATGTAAAATCTACTAGATCTGTAATATTTGTTTGCTGTCTGTTGAATTTACTGCAGGCTTAGTTTTTAACCATCCCAGGGCTGCCCAAGGTAGGAACTTGGTCTAGATACTCCACATTTAGCTACTTCATATACAGTGTTGCCTCACGTAAAACTCAATGTCACATTTGCTTTGGCTTTCCAGGGTATTTTATAGCATCAAGACTTGATAAGTGATCAAGGTCCATTCTGCTAATCCACTGGTACCTTACTAGTCAGAAGGGCCTGGCCACCTACCTCCTTCTTTATCTGATCAGATGAAAGTGGGAGAAAAAACAACCCCACTGTTACATGGTAAAATGCTATGAGATAGTGACCATTTTAGTTAAAACATACAAACCTAAGCACGTACTCAAAGCCACTGACTATTTATTCAGAAGAGCAAGTGCCTGGATCCTCACAAAATTTGGGAATCTGGGCAGTGGTAATTGTGGCCATTCTGAAGGGTTTTGCCAAATCCGGTCAGAGAGAGCTTCAAGAGGTGTGGATTTTCTGGCCTCAGCATCAGTCCTCAGGCCCCCACAACAGAAGGTTCCAAGCCCCTGTACTGCCTGACAAAACACAGAAGACATACAGCAATTTTCTACGCGAGAAGTAGAAAATTTTTACCTCTGGAAACAAATCTTTTTTGAGGAGAGTTAACAGAGTTATTAGGGGTTTTTCTTGGTGATTACAGCTTCCAATAGCAGATGGTGACAGAAAGGGTCCAAAGGGTATAATGTGGTCTTGAGGGAACATCAAGAAATTCTATTCTAGGAACTCAAAATACACATAATTTACCAGTAACACGGCTTGAATATCTCCCTACAACACAACAAGAACATTTCCAAATAAGAGCAATGACTGACCCAAAATCAATAACTTAGCTTGAAACTTTAATTGTCTCTACTTCCTGGCCCACCATTCCTTCTGCCCTGACTCAGTGAATGACCATGGTCACGATTTAGGTCATTTTTCCGTGAGACTAGTGATTACCAAAACTCAGAATGCTGGCTAAGACACATGCTATAAAGGATTTTACTTTAGCCTCAATTTCCTCCACATAGGAAAGGCTTAGAATTTAGGAAAAGAAGGGTCACTTTGACCCAGAGATATCAAGTTCTTCCTGTTCTTGGGCATCTACAAAGACCCATTCTCATGCCATAAACCATGGGCCTCTCTGGATTGATAAGGAAGCACGTTGGCCCTGCCCATCATGAGGTCTCAGATGATGTTCCCATCTTGATTAAAGACATTAACACTGCCCCACCACCACCCCCAGTACATGAATCAATATAAAGAAACTATACGCTTTCTTTTTTGAACAATGAAGTCTTCCTTCAGTGAAGCTCAGCATCTGCTGTGAGTTTCCAGAGGACATTGTAAGCAAAGATCCAATCCCAGTGGTTCTTCCAGTTGTGAAATGGGAATCATGTTCTCTGTGTGCCCTACCCAGTCTCTTGCCCAAGTGAGAGAAGACAAATATAGAAGTGCCTTGAGTTTTTCAGAGCACAATTAAAGCCAAGGCTCAGCTAGGCATGGTGGCTCACGCCTGTAATCCCAGCACTTTGGGAGGCCGAGGAGGGTGGATCACCTGAGGTCAGTAGTTCAAGACCAGCCTGGCCAACATGGTGAAACCCCATCTCTACTAAAAGTACAAAAATTAGCCGGGCGTGGTGGTATGCTCCTGTTATCTCAGGTACTCGGGAGGCTGAGGCAGGAGAATCGTTTGAACCTGGGAGGTGGAGTTTGCAGTGAGCCGAGATCATACCACTGCACTCCAGCCTGGGTAATGGAGTGAGACTCCATCTCAAAACAAAGCAAAACAAAACAAAAACAAACCCAAAGCTCATTATTATTATTCCTAAGTGCCGGATTCAATACTCAGTTAAATATTTATCAAAAAAGTTCACCTGATTCCTCTTTTTACCTCCTCATTAATTTTTCCCCTCCCCTCCAACCTTTGCATGTTGTAGGTCTGGGCAGGACTTCTCCCATGAGAGATAGATTCTCCTCAAAGTTGCAACCAAGCCCCATATGGCTTTGAACAACTTTTTGTACTCACCCAAATCCAATTGAATTCCTCATTGCTTCACAAATGAAATGTCAATCTACCTTTAAATGACTGTGAACTTTTAAACTCTTAAGCTGTATCTTGTTAATATTTGAGCTCTACTATTGATCTTATTTAAACAGTTTATGAACCTTTTAATCTCATATTTGATAAACTTGAACCTCTCATATCCTCCTTTAACATATTAGAATTTTTGGAATAAATATTACTAAACAAAATTCTGATATGATCCCCTGGGGTAGGCCAAACCACTGTAATTGATAAAAGGAATTTTTATTATTTTAAATATTTCTAAGATGAATTCTCAGCAAGGTGTTGTCTTGTGGCATGTCACTTTTCAAATGTCTGAGGACATTGCTCACTTTGTAATTCTCACCTACTTTGTGATGCATCTTTGTAGAGTGAGTCGGACCTTTCACGATTCATGCGTTTAGCAGTCAGAATGTGAAAGAACATTTGTAAATGCTAAACTCAGGTTTCATTCCTTCTCTTTTGAAGAATGTCTGCTCACCTTTCAAGAGTCATGGCAGGTTATTTCATGGGCAAGAGAGCTCCACCTGTGAACAGACTCCATTCATACATGGGGATTGAGCATGCAACAGGGATTGCTGATCGTTTGTAACTACAGCTTCTTTCTTTCTTTTTTTTTTTTTTCTTTTTTGAGATGGAGTCTCGCTCTGTCGCCCAGGCTGGACTGCAGTGGCGCAATCTCGGCTCACTGCAAGCTCCGCCTCCCAGGTTCCTGCCATTCTCCTGCCTCAACCTCCCAAGTAGCTGGGACTACAGGGGCCCACCACCACGACTGGCTAATTTTTTGTATTTTTAGTAGAGACGGGGTTTCACCGTGTTAGCCAGGATGGTCTCGATCTCCTGACCTTGTGATCCGCCCACCTAGGCCTCCCAAAGTGCTGGGATTACAGGCGTGAGCCACCGCGCCTGGCTACAGCTTCTTTCTTATATTTTTGTTCCATTATTGGAAGGCAACTTCAATGAACAAACATCTTCCAAAACTTTTGAATTTTTCTTCTGCTTGCTAAATACTATTTTGTAAAGTTTCAATTACTAGTTCGAATCCACACCTCAATAAATAGATATGTATTAGAGAAGGAATGGAAAAATATTTACTCATTAAGAATACCAACACATGAAAGTGATTTCAGAGTATGGAGTCTTGAGTCAAAAACAAAGGACCCTTCCCGGAAGCTTCCTTTTTTGCTTCAGTTTTTGAATTTGACTGAAGGAAGGTGGAAATGATCACTCGAGCCCCTAATGAATTCTCCTTAGTAAAATACTGGCGAGGAAGAATCAATCCCAGCAACAGGATGATCTGGGACCAGTCTTCAGATGTTAATTCCCACTTGGCCCTACTCTTCTCCTTTAGAACGTTTTTCTTGCAAAATATAATTTAATGCATTTCAGATTCCCCTTCCTACCTAAATAGGGCCATAGAATAATAATTATCTTTCTTATGGGTCTTGGTATCTAAATTAGTAGCAAGGACTTATGAGCTGGTTTACTGCACATCTTTGCACCAAAAATAATAATTTTTAAAAAGACCACATTGCATCTGATAAAGAGCTCTATAGTTGTGTGAAAAACACAATTAGAGACATCTATCAGTCAGAAAATGTTTCATAGGCCACTGAGGTATTAATTAGTACACTGGAGTAATTGTTTGGTAGTTGGTAGGTGCCACTGGTTACATTGTTGTTAACCTAATAGGCCAGAAACAATTCTTTTCTTTTCTTTTTTCTTTTTTTTTTGAGACAAAATCTTGCTCTGTCGCCCAGGCTGGAGTGCAGTGGCATGACGTCTGCTCACTGCAAGCTCCGCCTCCCGGGTTCACGCCATTCTCCTGCCTCAGCCTCCCAAGTAGCTGGGACTACAGGCACCCACCACCACGCCCGGCTAATTTTTTGTATTTTTAGTACAGACGGGGTTTCACCGTGTTAGCCAGGATGGTCTCGATCTCCTGACCTCGTGATCTGCCCACCTCGGCCTCCCAAAGTGCTGGGATTACAGACGTGAGCCACCGCGCCCGGCCCCAGAAACGATTCTTGTTCATTTCTTTTCTGAGATGTCTGTATCTGATGTTCACATATAACACCAAACCACATGGTTTTTGTTTGTTTGTTTTTCAGAGTGTCAATCCATATCTACAAGGACAGAGACTGGATAATGTTGTTGCAAAGAAGTCTGTCCCCCATTTTTCAGATGAGGATAAGGATCCAGAGTAAAGAGAAGATGCTAGACGAAAACCCACATTACCTGTTAGGCCTCAGCATGGCTTATGTGCACGTGTAAATGGAGTCCCTGTGAATGACAGCATGTTTCTTACATAGATAATTATGGATACAAAGCAGCTGTATGTAGATAGTGTATTGTCTTCACACCGATGATTCTGCTTTTTGCTAAATTAGAATAAGAGCTTTTTTGTTTCTTGGGTTTTTAAAATGTGAATCTGCAATGATCATAAAAATTAAAATGTGAATGTCAACAATAAAAAGCAAGACTATGAAAGGCTCAGATTTCTTGCAGTTTAAAATGGTGTCTGAGGTTGTACTATTTTGGCCAAGTCTGTAGAAAGCTGTCATTTGATTTTGATTATGTAGTTCATCCAGCCCTTGGGCATTGTTATACACCAGTAAAGAAGGCTGTACTCAAGAGGAGGAGCTGACACATTTCACTTGGCTGCGTCTTAATAAACATGAATGCAAGCATTGGCATATGGAGTTTTCTTTTTAAAGCATTATAAAGAACAATTTCTTTGTTTAATAGAACAACCTGATCTACATATATGATAGTATATGATCCAAACAATAATGCTGTGAACTTAATGGGTCTGGTATTATCCCCATTTTACAGATGGTAGAACTGAGATGCATTCAACACACTGAGATACGTTCAACACACCATTGGGAATCATCAGCAAAATCCAGCATGAAGAGTCTCTACAGGATAAGTAGCCTAGATTTTTCCAACAAATAAATGATAGGAGGGAAAAATGGTGGGGTACTATCATAGATTTTAAAAGGCTTAAGAGACATACGAGCCAAATATAATGTGTGTGGGTCTTATTTGCATCCTGACTCAAAGAAAAGCATTGATCAGACAGTCAGGGAAGTTTGAGTAGTAACTGAATATTTTGGTATGATTCAAGTGTTACACAGTATTATATTATGGCTATTTTTTTAAAAGAGCCCTTATATCTTAGGGATAAATATTGAATTATTTACAGATGATATGATGTCTTGGATTTCTTTAAAATAATCCAGTGGTAGTGATGAGGTGGAGGGCCAGGAGGGAATGGGGATATAGATAATCAAGACTGGCCATACACTGATAACTGTTGAAGCTGGGTCAAGGGTACTTGGGAGTTCATTGTACTTCTTATATCTTTTTTTTTGTTGCTTTTTTTTTTGTTTTTGAGACAGAGTCTTGATGTATCACCCAGGCTGGAGTGCACTGGTGTGATCTCAGCTCACCGCAACCTCCACCTCCTGGGTTCAAGCGATTCTCCTGCCTCAGCCTCCGGAATAGCTGGGATTACAGGTATCCACCACCACACCCTCTAATTTTCGTATTTTTAGTAGCGACTTGGTGTCATCATGTTGGCCAGGCTGCTCTCAAAACTCCTGACCTCAAGTGATCCGCCCACCCCGGCCTCCCAAAGTGCTGGGATTACAGGCATGAGCCCTCGCATCTGGCTTGCACTTCTTATTTCTATGTTTGTATGTATTTGAAAAATTCAACAATAGAACCACAGTTAATGGTTAAAAAGTAAGAGTAGATCATGGTAAGAACTGGCCTGGAGTCCAGGTGTGGTGCCTCATGCCTGTAATCCCAGCACTTTGGGAGGCCAAGGCAGGCGGATCACCTGAGGTCGAGAGTTCGAGACCAGCCTGACCAACATGGAGAAACCCTGTCTCTGCTAAAAATACAAAATTAGCTGGGTGTGGTGGCGCATGCCTGTAATCCCAGCTACTTCGAAGGCTGAGGAAGGAGAATTGCTTGAACCCAGGAGGCAGAGGTTGCAGTGAGCTGAGATGGCACCACTGCACTGCAGCCTAAGTGACAAGAGTGAGACTCCGTCTCAAAAAAAAAAAAACAACAAAAAACTGGCCTGGAAATAGCAATGTTGGACAAGGTAGAATAAGGCTACATAAGGCTGTGGACAATGTGAGGAAGCCAAAAAGGAAGGTGAATGAAGAGTTGTCCCAAGGTGCTAGGGAAGTAGCAGAGGGATCCACGGGAGAGAAAATCTGGCTGGGGCTAGTGGTGATGAACTAGATAGTGAAGTCAGAGTGGCTGGAAGGAGAAGGGATTTTCCTGGAAAAAAAAATAGGAAACTTAGAGGCAGGAGACAAGGAGAACCTCCATTAGACAGACTCAGAAAGGCCCTTTCTTTCTGAATGGAGTCAGCTGGGCATCTGCAGCACAGACAGAGGGATTTGCCTGTGGGCTGGAGAGGGTCATTACTCCTATCTCAGTCTTCCCACAATGCTCCAGCTGAGGATCTTTGAAACCAGAAAGGTGGTTATAGTCACCCCAGAGACATGTGGAGAACAAAAGAAGAGGATGGTGCTAGCACCACAGCCATTCATCCTGATTGAACTCCCACTGTGGACACAGCCAGCTGGAGCCTCAGAGCAGTCACACAGCATGAGGAGGGGTTTACAATGGGGTCATTCTAGAAGAGAATTTCCTCCGTTCTTGCTACTGGGAGAGAGAAAATAGATTGTTGAGTGTTTCCTACAGCGTTTGTGCAAAGCCATCCTCCCCTCCCACTGCCTTCAAAGTGAGTCACGTGCCAGGTCACCAGGCTGAGTCTTCTAGGGATGGCTCTTCCAAATGTGTTTACACCCAAAGATGCAGTGTTCCGGAACACACCTGGAGGTCCTGAAGGGAGCAATTCAGAGTTGGAAGTGTTTCTGCCAGTGAGTTGGGGGTCTGTCTGGGTTGGGCAGCTACCTGGAGGTGATATGAGCTTGGAAAACTGAGTCATCCACTCGATCCACAGTTCCACAGTCACTGCCACACAATGAGGAGCAGCATGACCCTGACTCCACACTTCCCAAGACTCCTGGAACAGAATTCTATTTCTTTGGCAAGGCTGCGACGAGGACCTTTCCTATTTACTCAGCTAGGCACAAAGGAATAGCAGAAACATCTTTTCTCCTCCTCTTTCCTTTGAAACCTTTGAGAGATACCAGGCTTCACATATAAATCTCACAGATACCAGCCACAGGGTTAGGGCCTGGAGAACGAAACCCTCCAGATCCCCTATCTGTCACAGGATCACATGGTGATCACTAAAGTGCCACTGCCTTGGCCAGGGGGACAGGAGAGCCAGGAAAATGGGAACATTTATTAAAAATAAATTGTCGGCCAGGCACAGTGGCTCACGCCTGTAATCCCAGCACTTTTGTGATCCAGCCAAGGTGGGCAGATCACCTGTGCTCAGGAGTTCAAGACCAGCCTGACCAACATGGTGAAACTCCATCTCTACTAAAAGTACAAAAAAAAAAAAAAAATTATCCAGGCCTGGTGGCGCATGCCTGTAATCCCAGCTACTTGGGAGGCTGAGTCAGGAGAATCACTTGAACCCGGAAGGTGGAAGTTGCAGTGAGCCGTGATGGCGCCATTGCACTCCAGCCTGGGCAATAAGAGCGAAACTCCGTCTCAAAAATAAATAAATAAATAAAATAGATTGTCAGCTAGAGGAACTCATTCTTCTAGCTGCGAGTGGGTAGGGGAGGACATGGTTAATTACTTCTCTCTTATGATCCCTTTTTGTGTTCCTGTGGGACCCCACGCATACTTTCATACAGTCCCTGAAACGGGGCATAATGATAAGAGTTACTCTATATACATAACAAGCTCTGTATACATTGTTCATTTAAACATCCCTCCCTACATTTTATAGATGAAGCCATTGAGGCAGACGGATTCCATGACTTAACCAAAACTCCTCAACTAGTAAGTGGCAGAGTTGGAACTTGAATTTAGGCCTCTGGGACTCCACAGTAGACACTCTCCCCTGTACCACACTACCACCTGTTAAAAGAGAAACCTTAGACAGATTAAACTGAACAGACTTTGAGTAAAGAGCAATTTGCAAAACAGGTTCAGAGAGACTCTGCACTGCCGTGTGGTTGAAGACAACCAATGGACAGCAAAAGGAAAGTGAGGTACACGAAAAGTGAGGGACAGAAACAGCCGTATTGGTTACATTTCAGTGTTTGCCTTATCTGAACATGGTTTGAACAGTTGGCCACCTTTGGCCGAATCTCAGTGATTGGCACAAGAGTAGGTTACAGCCTGTTTACACATCCAGCTAGGTTACAGTTTGCTATGTACAGAGAAAACTTTAGGCCGAGCTTTCACTATGTAAGGAGGCAGCTTTGGGCTGAACTTAATTTGGCACACCTAATACTTGTTTACTTATTATATATGTGCCTCATTCAACTGGGTTATAAGCTCCTTGAAGCCATAGGCTGTGTCTCATTTTTCTTTTTATCTTGATATCTTGCACGCGGCCTAACAAAGGCAATAATAACTGCTGAATGAATGAGCATGATGGAATGTTTTAAAGACGTCATAAAAGGTAAATCATCTTAGACTGTGTACAGAGGGAAAGGTGGAATTACCTCTCACTTTGGTGGGATTTACAGATTGATGTGAAGTTGTGAACATGGTTCTCAAGTCTTTCTTTTCTTTTTTTAGACGGAGTCTCGCTCTGTCGCCCAGACTGGAGTGCAGTGGCACGATCTCGGCTCACTGCAAGCTCCGCCTCCTGGGTTCACGCCATTCTCCTGCCTCAGCCTCCTGAGTAGCTGGGACTACAGGCTCCCACCACCACACCTGGCTAATTTTTTTTGTATTTTTAATAGAGACGGGGTTTCACCACGTTTGGCAGGATGGTCTCGAACTCCTGACCTTGTGATCTGCCCGCCTCGGCCTCCCAAAGTGCTGGGATTACAGGCGTGAGCCACTGCGCCCGGCCCTCAAGTCTTTCATAGAATCAGCCAGTAGAACTACCCGCTTCTTTTCTGAGTCACTGCTCAAGTGTCGGTAGTTCAGGAAGTGTCAAGGCACAGAGTTCCTGCCAAATATCTCAGTTTGCTGCACACCATGACGGTTGTGCATGATTCATTTATTAGGGAGACAGACCAGATGCGTGGGACGGCCCTGCTCACCATCAAGGCAGATCTGTGGGCAGACAGAGCATTGGGTTCTGCTGTGGGTTTTCATCGACCAGTGTTCCCTCTCTGACCATGGGAAAGCCACATGGGCAGTGCAGAAGGCATATCCCAGCCCTTCACTGGTATCATGTGCTGTGGCAACAGCCTTGGGGATTAGAACAGAGAAACCTGGGGAAACATTGGCCACTCAATGAGAAGCAAACTTGGAGGGTAGGAGGAAAGTCCTAAGGAGGGGTCAGGGAAGTATCCAGGCCATCAACTTTCAAAGTGCTCCGGGACATAATTTAGAAAGTCAATTGGCACACCTAGCCAGGAGTATATCTTGAGAAAGTAGTATTCTTTGAAGCCTCCTGAAGCCTGGGTTTTACCAACAGCCTAGTCCTGGCAAGATTCGGGGAGCTTGTACTTCACATACTCAACTTTCTGTTTCTAAAGGGAAAGGAGACTCTACCAAGCCTTTTTGGCCATCAGGCTGCTCTTCCAAAATTGTCTGGTGACTTAAGTGTAGGTGAATCAGAAACATGTGGATCAAATTTCCTGCTAAAATACACATGTGTTTGGCAATTAAAAGAAAATGTGTAGAATATGGCAGATTTGGTGGCCAGAAAGCCCCGTGAGAAGGCAAGGGCCGCTGAAAATTATCATAACTATATAGTAAAAGAAAACTTGATTCCAAATGGGCACAGAGGAATCCATGGAGAAAGTTGGTAAGACATTTATGGGTGTCACACATCGGCTTCTGAAGGCCACAAGTAAAGGCAGGGTGTTTGCAAAGATTCTTGTAGAACCATGTCCTTGAATTTGGGTTTAAAAACTTATTAACTTATAAGTTGCAAAAGAAAGTCTCTTTTAGAAAAGAGCTGCTATAAGATGGGCTGAGTTAGAAAAACCTAACAGCCCATCCTAATAGACTGAATGTTCTATTGTTTGATGAATGTTATGTGCCAGTAGAACTTGTTGATAAGCCATTCTTCCGAACAGAAACCATAACTATATACACAGGAAACAAAAATATTTGTAATGGCTTTTAGCAGTGGCAACTGAACACCTGAGGAGTGAGATGCATCTTAATAAAGCCCATTTGGAAACTATAGTGACTTCCCCACAAGGTGTCACCTTCCTTGTTAGGACTCATCACGATACCATTCATTTATTCATTCAGCAGTAACTTATCAAGGATCTATTCTATGTGCCAAATACTGAGCTATATTCTGGGACTGGGGAGTCTTACTAAAGAGGTATAAGATATAGGCTCTTCCTTCATGGAGTTTAAAGCACATTTGCAACCATAAATATTCAGCTATTTGTACACTATTATTACACACTTGATCCCATGGCATCACAGTTTAACAGAGTAGTTAGATACAAAAACTTTGTAATTAGATTTGCATTTGACGGGTTCTGTGACTTACAAGTTGTGTGGCCTTGAGCAAATAATTCCATCTCACTAAACCTTAGTTCTTTCATGTAACCAATGGGAAAGGTAATACTTACCTTATCATATTGATGTGAAGATCCTGTGATGTGAAATTCCCTGCAATATGGCACCTGTGTTAAACCTCTATTTAGATGTCAAATTCAGAATTCATCAGATTTCAGGGCAAGAAACAAACTCTTTACTCTGGATATTTCCATATGAAAGGGATTTAATGCAAGGAATTATGTGCTTACAAAATTATTTAAAGAAGTGGAGGAGCATGAGGCAGGGATCCACAGTTCGGTTTAACCAGTTCAAGGTCACGCACATAGCTGGAATCCAGAGGTCAGGAAATAGTGGTTGGTGTCACTGCCACCACCACATCACTACCAATGATGTGTGATACTCCCAAAGTCATTGTCTTGACACAAGAATGGTGAGTCTGCCTGCAGCTACCATCTCTCATAGCAGAAACAGCAGCAGAAAAATAGATGTTTTTCTTTCTCTTCCAACTTCAACATCTGTGGGAGTGCATCTATTTGGTGTTCCAGTTTGCTTCCAAAAGCCTGTCTCCTGAGGAGTCAGGTATCAGCTACATCAGGGGTTCCCAACCCCTGAGCCACCAACCAATACTGGTCTGTGGTCTGTTAGGAACTGGGCCATTCAGGAGGAAGTGAGCCCCGGTCGAGTGAACATTACGGCTTGAGCTCCGCCTCCTGTCAGATCAGTGGCAGCATTAGATTCTCATAGGAGTGCAAACCCTATTGTGAACTGTCCATGTGAAGGATCTAGGTTGCACACTCCTTATGAGAATCTAATGCCTGATAATCTGAGGTGGAACAGTTTCATCCCAAAACCATATGCCCCTTGCCATCCACGGAAAAATTGTCTTCCACAAAAATAGTCCCTGGTGCCAAAAACGCTGAAGACCACTGATCTATATTTTCCATATAGGGATAGCCAAAACCCAGGTAAGCTGAAGCTCTATGAAAATTCAAAGTAGAGCCCAGCTGTCCTGATCTCAGTTTTACCATCAATTTACTATCTTATAATAGCTCCAAAGGAGAAAAGTGAAAAACCGTAGAATTTTAGAGATCATTTTTTCCCGCCTTCCTGGTTGATAAAGTAAGAAATAGTGCTTGAAAGAAGATGAATAATCGCAGCACAGACGTAAACCAAACTCAAGCTTTATCATTAGGATTGACATAGGAACCATCCCCATGACATAGACCCCAAAAGTACAATGGTATGAATGAAAAAGGTGACAGCGGAGGCTGATCTTTATCATTTTTCACTATGCTTGGCTTTTTTGTTATTGTTGATTTTTGAGTTGGAATGTGAGCTTATTTATCCTCCACAGCTTTTGGAAGATTTCAGCCTGGCTCATCCTACGTTAGAGTGTCTGACAGGGGAATAACGCGTGGTATTTAGATGGCACCAGTTATCCAAGAAGGTCAAATTTCTTTGCAATTAGTCTGTCGTACTCCAGAAAGCCCTGAGAGACGAGACGTTGGGGTATGAGAGAGGGAGTTATCTTCATTTAACAGCAGATAGACTTAGGAAGCGGCAGGGGCCAATGAAAAAGCAGGAACGAGAATGGAAAATGTCCCAACACTATCTCCCTTCCCCCACCAACAACCCAGGAAAAATTTTCCAAATCACTTTCTACATATGCCTTGACTGTTGATTCATCAAAGATGTCTTCAATAGATTCACAACTCAAACCACATTGTGGTATTTAAGTAAAGGGGAGCATTGAAAATGTGAATATAGTATTTCTTCTATTTTTGCAAATGGATGTGTTTGATACCAAACACTGTCAGCAGCTAATACTATTACTATGTTTGCTAATATGCTCAGATCAGCTGGGCACACAACCAAAACCCATAACATTCCTGAGTGAAGTATGATCAGATGCTCCCAAATGCAATTTGCCTTCTTCCCTCGCATCATAAGAGAAAAGGCTTTTGTTGGATATGTTTTGTGAACACCAAAGAGAGTAAATAGCTTTTTGAAGAAGCCAAAGTGTTTTCCTCCTGATTCATTGTGAATGCCTGCAAGAGTGTTTCCTTTTAAGTTAAAACAATTTACGAATTCTTCCTACTAAATCAATCTACATATTTTTATCACTGCTATTTTTAATAAGTAACTTTTCTTTCTGAAAATTTATTTCACTTTGCCCCAACCTTTCTGTGATTCTTGGGAGACAAGAAACAGAGTTCATGTAAAACACTCTTGTTTATGATGGATGAAACCACAAACTTTGTGTGATGTTAACCCACTCACAGAAGGAGAATCTGAACTTCAGAGTATTTTGTGTTTGGAGAGAAGGCTCACTAAGGGAAATGGGCTCACTTCAATTCAATATATTATAGGAAGGAAAGGATCAAGGAAGAGCTGGTCTTAAAACTGTCAAAATATAAGAATTTGATGGGAAGAAAGAAGGAAAACAGAGCAGTTGGAAATGCAAAGATAAAAGAACTGGATCCAGACATGTCTATGTAATTTCCCAGGAATGGAAATTGTACTGGCAATTTGGAAAGAGATATCGAAAAACAATATACATTAAATGTTGAGCTTTTCTTGCAGCAATGCACTTGGAAGGCTCTTAGAACACATGGCATAATGGTATTATGATTCATCTACATATGGCCTGATCCTTGGTGACTGATGAAAGGGGAAACCAAGTTTCATAAGGAATCAAACACAGAAGAGGAAGCTAAACACTTTTTTAGAGAAAAAAACTCTTTTAAGCTTCTAGGTCATCAGCAGAGTATTAACTAACGCAGCCTAC
Organism: Homo sapiens; assembly: GCF_000001405.40. NCBI lineage: Eukaryota > Metazoa > Chordata > Mammalia > Primates > Hominidae > Homo > Homo sapiens. The sequence continues at coordinate 4,757,932 of NW_011332701.1, forward strand.
TAAATTTGCATTGGGATAGATCACATATGTAATTTCCTTTAATTCTTCAATAACCCTGTGACATAGGCATCATTTTCTCTGTTTCCTGATAGCCCAAGAGTTGCCATCTCTAAAGTTGCTTAGGTAGTTGGTGGTTGAGCTTAGATGCAAACAGAATTCTTTCCACCACACCAGTGATTGTCAAACCTGGCTGCTTATCAGAATCATCTGGAGAGCTTTGTAAAAATACAGATTCTTGGCCCAGGAAATTCTGATTCAGTAGTCTAGAGCAAGCTCTGGGGATCAATTTTTTGTTTTGTTTTGTTTCTCCAGTGACTCTGATACACAGTGAATTTGGGGAAACATTGCACACAATTGCAACCAGAAATGGTGTGAGAATGGGTGAATACAAAAGCCCCGGAGGGAAGGTTGTAGAACACAGGGACTCCACTGCTCTACGAGAAGCCTGCTAAACTACACCCAGCCATAAATAGTCTCACAAAAATCTACCAGATCTGAAAAACATGCTTCGACTTCACCTGAATTTATTTCTAAGGCCCCAGACATTCCTAATCAGCCCATCTCCTCCCAGATGGCTCTGCAAACCATTCCTATCGTTTGGAATTATGTTTTCAGAAGCCTCACAACCATGATAAAATGCTGTTGCCATAAGCATTTTCCTATCTCCTCAAGATGAATTAGATGAGCTACTTAGTCCTTCATCAATAAATTGTAAAGGGAGAGGCATTTGGAACTATGGATGCCCTTCAAATGTACTTGGCTAGTTACTTGCCTCTGTTTCCAAAAAGATTAAAACGTAAAAGAAATAAGTGGCAAAACGTGCATCATTCCTGGCCACATACCCAAATATTCTTTCTCTTATCCAATATGACTTTTTCCTTTGCATGCTTTTTCACCAGGCTAAGAAAACTAAAATATCTTTCTACAACAAATCCTTAAGGTTTCCCAGAAACACAAAGCAATGGTGCATTATTTATTTCTTAGGAAATTTTACCATGTTATTTTTAGCAGAGTGCATGTTACCCTGACACAGGCCATAAAACTTACTCACTTCTTTGGGGTCTGAGGAATGTCATCTTGTGACTGGTTTTACAGGGAGAACTTATCGGGGTGCAGTTGCAGTTTCCAGAGTGAGTCAGTGCCATCATTGCCTCCGCTGTTATTCAGTGGGTGGGGCACCTGGAGCACAGGAATGTGCTCTCTGATTCCACGACAAAACTAAGGACTGAGGCTCCCCTAGGCTCAGTTGTAGATTTTGAGGCTCTTGAGTTTCAGTTCTCCAATGAGTTCCAGGTAAAATGCAGAAACCAGGCCAGGCGCCAATGGCTCATGCCTGTAATCCCAGCACTTTGGGAGGCCAAGATGAGTGGATCTCTTGCCCCCAGGAGTTCGAGACCAGCCTGGGCAACATGGTGAGACCCCATCTCTACAAAAAATACAAAAATTAGTGTGTGCCTATAGTCCCAGCTACTTGGGAGGCTGAAGTGGGCGGGTCATTTGAGCCTAGGAGGTCAAGGGTACAGTGAGCTGTGATCTCACCACTGCACGCCAGCCTGCTGGGTGAGAGTAAGAGCCTGTCTCAAAAAAAAAAAAAAAAAAAAAAAAAATGAAGGAGGAGAAATCAGAAACAGAAGCAAGGCAAAAAGGGGGCTAGAGCAAGGGTTATAACAGGAAGGAAAATAAGAACAGCTGCACTTTTAATCTATTCATTCAACAAAGGTCTGGGAGCATCTATGTACTCCAAGTGCCATGTAGAGGCCGGGGATTCAGTGAGCCACACAGAGACGGTTCTTGCCCCCACAGAGCTTACAGGCACGTGGAGGAAACAGACAAAAACCAAGCAAATCTACAAATTGCATAATTTAAAAATTTGGTAAGAGCCAGGAAGAAAGGGCGTTAGTCAAAGGAAGGACATGGCTTAGTATATAAGTTAAGAAATGTCCAGGCTGGGCACAGTGGCTCACACCTGTAATCCAGCACTTTGAGAGGCCGAGGAGGGTGGATCCCAAGGTCAAGAGATTGAGACCATCTTGGCCCACATGGTGAAATCCCATCTCTACTAATAATACAAAAAAATTAGCCGGGTGTGGTGGCACACGCCTGTAATCCCAGCTACTCGGGAGGCTGAGGCAGGAGAATCACTTGAACCTGGGAGGTAGAGGTTACAGAGAGCTGAGGTTGCGCCACTGCACTCCAGCCTGGTGACAGAGCAAGACTCCATCTAAAAAACAAAACAAAACAAAACAAACAAAAAAGCAAAAAACAAAAAAGAAGAAGTGTCCAGTGGCTTTGGGTCAGCATCGGTGAAAGTGGGGAGAGCAATAAAGAAGCAATTGCAACCTTTTAGGTGAGAAATGACCGTGACCTGGACTTGGGGATGGGCCGCGAAGAGTCAGGATGGACTCAAGACAGCTACTGGACTGCCACTGGCCGCGACACTTTGGAGAAACTCTAGCAGTTAGTTCTTCCGACACAGTTCCTACAGGTGACGGGATAAAAATAGAAGACAGCAGGGGAAATGATGAGGAGACCTGGAGCACTTTAGTTACGATTCAACTCAGCCTGTGCTAGGGCCACAGGGACTCAAAGAGGAGGAAGGAGACACTTTCTCCATGCAAGGAGTCTACATTTCATTGAAGAAGATGTGTCCAGCATACATGTAACTACAATAAAGGAAAAATATGACAAGAATAATAGAAAAGGCAGAAGGCTCTGAGAAGAAGGCTTGAGGTCAGAGTAGGAATTCAACCAGAAGAGAGAAGGGTGGGAACTTCTGAGGGGAGGGAGGAGCAAGAGCAAACGTGTGAACATGGTGGTCTGTGGTATGTGCTCAGCTCCTGCTGGGCTCAAATGTTGCATGTGCACAGAGAACATTAGCTGGAGACCATCAGGCTGGCACTGAACACCAGGGGCAGGAGTGGATGCTTGCTACTCAGCTGTGCACTCCTCTCATGTTCTTTTCTACATGTGTGCAATTGAATGTCTGTGTTATATGTGCGTATTAAAAGCGAACTCTCACCTTGAAATTCTTCTTAGTGGCAAGATTCTTTTCTCTAGATTGACAGTGCAGAGCTCACATAGTAATCACTGCTGTTAAAATAGATATTTAGGACTATAGAGTTAAAGCTTAAATACCATTTAAGGGAAGCTGCTGTTATCTGAAATAATTTGTCTTTCTTATTGAAAAGAACCAATACCCTCCCTCCCTCTTTCCCTCCTTCCCTCCCTTCCTTCCCTTTTTTCTTTCTTCCTTCGTTGGAAGAGTGGAAACATAACGAGGGGTTCTGGCTAGTGTCCTGAGGTGTTGGCTAGGTAAACTTTCTGGAGTTGCTCGTGCCAAGAGACCAGCACATACATTTCTCTAGGGGAAGTACATCCTAATTATTCCACAGACATCCATGGATCACTCTGGCTAGCAGAGTAGCACTGCAAAAATCATTACGATTTTTTTTTTTTCAGAAAGTTGTTCTACTTTGGCTTAATGTCCACATGACCAAGAATCACACTTTACAGTCTTTAAGGGCCTATCCCATGCTCAGCCACTTTCCTACAAAATCGTGGCGACGTGGAAAGGCAGACATGTGCACCTGGGAGCTTCTAAGATCCTGTCTGCTCTGGCTGATGCAGTGACCAGAGTCACCAGAAACCCTCTGCTCCATCTGGGAGACCCAAGAGAGATCATCTGGAAGCTGGTATCTGGGGACACACTGCTACATTGTCCAGTCCAAAGTCCATCAGCTTTGTTTTCTTTCTCTGTCACACGAACAAGTAAAACAGAGTGTAGAAACAAACACTGCAGGCAAGGTTACCTAGTCTCCTTGAAAAGGTTTCCTTCCTACTGGCTAACTTTCAACCTAAGGGAAAATGCAGCTCGATGCTCAACTGGTAGATTTTCTTTCACATTTTATTATACATGTGCATATAAAGGAATTTCTCTTACTATTGGTTTCTTCCTTCTCTGATCCTCTCTCCAAAGGCACCACATTTCTCCAGAGAGTGTGTCCCAAATGCCTCATGTCTACGGAGTTCTTTGCAAACATTAATAGACAAATGGTTAGTTTATATAAAGCACACATGTATTGCTCTGACATAAGCAGTGAGGAGCCCACAGTTTACATTTTTCATCTTTCTTTTAAAAAGGAATGAGAAATCGTATTCCAGATGATCCAACCTATTACGCTACGAAGGGAAGAGTGGAGAGGGAACCAAGATTGAAAAGAGATTTAAATTTGGACCCTTTGTGAGCCAAGTGCAAATTGGTGTACAAGTTCACATTGATCTTTAGAAGGGAAAGCAGGTATTGAATTTGCTTTCCACCTTTAGCTCCATCCTTCTCTACCTTGAGAAGAAGCCCAAAATACTGAACTTACTTATAAGCTCCTAATTTTAAAGGTAGACTGATACAGGTTAGGTGCAGGGGCTCATGCCTGTAATTCCAGCACTTTGGGTGGTTGAGGCAGGCGGATCTCTTGAGGTCAGGAGTTTGAGACAAGCCGCGGTCAACATGGCAAAACCTTGTCTCCACTAAAACTACCAAAAAAAAATTAGCAGGGCGTGGTGGCGAGTGCCTGTAGTCCCAGCTACTCAGGAGGCTAAGGCAGGAGAATCGCTTGAACCAAGGAGGCAGAGGTTGCAGTGAGCTGAGATTGTGCCAATACACTCCAGCCTGGGTGACAGAGTGAGGCTCCCTCTCAAAAAAAAAAAAATATATATATATATATATAGAGAGAGAGAGAGAGAGAGACAGACAGACAGACAGAGAGAGAGAGAGATAGACAGAGAGAGACTGATACAGTCATTAATAACTAATGGCAATAAGGCAGGCTTTGGTTTTTGTAGGAAACCTCAAGACAGGCCATATGGGTTTTCATTTTTTCTTTTTTTTTTCTTTTTTTTTTTTTTCTTTTTTTTTTTTGAGATGGAGTCTCGTTCTGTCACCCAGGCTGGAGCGCAGTGGTGCAATCTCGGCTCACTGCAAACTCCACCTCCCGGCTTCATGCCATTCTCCTGCCTCAGCCTCCCGAGTAGCTGGGACTACAGGCGCCCGCCACCACGCCCAGCTAATTTTTTGTATTTTTAGTAGAGACGGGGTTTCACCGTGTTAGCCAGGATGGTCTCGATCTCCTGACCTCGTGATCCACCTGCCTTGGCCTCCCAAAGTGCTGGGATTACAGGCGTGAGCCACTGTGCCCGGTGGCATATGGGTTTTCAATGGCCATGTGTTCAGCATTCTTTATGAGTAAACTCATGTGATATCGAAACCCATATTCCTCATATATGTGTTCATATTTTACACAACCAAATGTTTTGACAATACCAACTATCAAATTATTTAAGTCATTTCGCACTTAGGAATAGTTTTCTTTCATGAAAAAATAGTGGTATTTGAATACCAGTTCTAACAGTGTATGGTGTAGACTCTTGTTCACAGTATAGAGGGTAGAAGCTCAGTGTATGGGGCTCAGGGGTCAGCAGCTGTGACTGCTTCATATAGCTGTGTGCCCTTGAGACAGTCATACAACCTCTCTAGACATCAGCTTTCTCATCTTTAAAACAGAACAAACAATAGTAGCAATTTCGTAAGAGTGTTAAGGTAATTAAATTAGATAATGCATATAAAGCCTCGTGTTTGGTACACATTAAGTAATTAATAAAAGGCCACTTTAAGAAATGTATGTATACACACACACACACACACATACACACACACATTGTTAATCCTATAAGAAAAAATAAAGTGTTATAGTATGTTATTCATACAAGAGAATATTATACTACTCTTAAACTGATATTTTTGAAGAATTTTAATAATGTCCGCAAAAATAATCAAAATATTAGGTTAAATTTAAAAGTTAAATAAAGCATCTTATTATATACAGCATCTTCTCTCTCTCTCTCTCTTTCTCTCACATACACATGCACACACACACATACACATGCACACACACATATACACACACTATATAATTAGAAGGAAATCCATATATGTACATATATATACAGTGTGTGTGAGCAAACAGTGGTTATTTGGGGATTGTGAGATTACGGCATACTTTTATTTTCTTTGTATTTTTCTCTATTTCCAAGTTTTCTGTGATGAGTTTGTAATATTTTTACAATAACTTCATGTTATAAAATATTTTATAAGATGTAATGAATCAGTCCAAGTGACATATTAGGAGAGCGGCAGCAAGAGCAAAATCACACGTATACTTCCATGCCTTCAAAAAAGGACACAAGAGTGAAAACGTGAATCCTAAAATGACTTCTAGTAAATAGCAGAGACATCAAGGAAACAAAGACTGGGAAGGGACTAAATAAGCCAAAAGTCAAAAAAAAAAAAAAAAAGTGAGGAGCAGGATAGCCAGAGACAGCGGGGTAAAACCTTGCAACCTTCAGTTTAATAGGTACTTTCAACAGATCTTCCCCAAGGCACTAGCATTTTAAAATTGCATTAAAATGAGCTTTTTTCAAAGAGAAACCCTCCACCAAAAAAAATTTAGAAAATGAAGAACACAAGCTATAAGGGAAAACACAAAATTATTAACTGAATAAAGTCCCATCACATTTTTTTCCCAAGAGTGAGGTCACATCAAAGAGCTCAAAACAAATACATTCGGTATAAACCTTTCAAACGTAACAGGTTACCCTGTCTGCAGACAAAGGAAGGAGCCTTGTTTCACACAGACTCTGTTACATTTAGGCACTGGGTATGTGAATTTTGGCTAAGAAATACATTGCTGTCTCTGTCTTTCTGTCTTGTTTCACTCCCCAGTCTCTTGGATGGGAGTTTCAGCCTGTCTGACTACACATTTGGGCATCTTCTGGTCTCTTATTCTTAGCTTCTATCACTGCAGTGGAACCATTCTGAGAAGGGTAACTTTAGGTTAGCATGATTCTTGTAGTGCAGGCAAAAAAGAGCCAGAAGTGTTTGGTAAAACTGTTTACTGGTTTTACAAAAAAAAAAAAAAAAAAAAAAAAAAAGTTGTTGTGCCATTTACTGGAAGGTATCACTCATTTTCTTTCCTGTCTTCCTCCTTCCCTTTCTCTCCCTTCTTTCCTTCCTTCCTCCCTCCATCCCTCTCTTTATCTCTTCCTCTATCTCTTTCTTTTCCCCTTATTTTCTTCTCCTCTCTTCCTCCCTTCCTTCCTTCTCCCTGTGCAAGTACTCATTTCATAGCTTTGTCAAGCATTTGCCGTGTGCCACCCCTGCGTTACCCAGAGTGAATATAAAGATACATAAGACCCGGTCGGGCGCGGTGGCTCACGCCTGTAATCCCAGGACTTTGGGAGGCCGAGGTGGGTGGATCACGAGGTCAGGAGATCAAGACCATCCTGGCTAACACGGTGAAACCCCGTGTCTACTAAAAACACAAAAAATTGGCCGGGCGTGGTGGCGGGCGCCTGTAGTCCCAGCTACTCGGGAGGCTGAGGCAGGAGAATGGCGTGAACCCGGGAGGCGGAGCTTGCAGTGAGCCGAGATCGCGCCACTGCAGTCCAGCCTCGGCGACAGAGCAAGACTCCGCCTCAAAAAAAAAAAAAAAAAAGATACATAAGACCCAGCAGACGCTGATATTAGACTTACTGTTTTATTGTGTTAGCTCCCAGTTGAACTCTAGTATCTATGCAGACACTGATGTTTATTAGGTGCCTGGCACTTTCACAGAGCTTGTTTTACTTAATTCCAGCATCTACCCAGAAGTGGGTGTTATCACCATTCCTATAATACAGATGGTTGAATTTCAGCCCAGAGGCTTTAAATACCTAATTGAGACATTCAGCTTCTAAGGGGAAGTATCAGGAATTTACTCTGACTTTCCTGACTCCGAGTTCCGTGCTTTTTCCCACTGTGCCAGAACTATTGACTGTGAAGGATTATGTTCATAGTTTGAAGCCTTCACCTTTTGATACTGCACTGCACGTGGAGTATATGCAATAAATATGTGCATGAAATAGGGCAAGAATTGTATTACAATGGTCCTGAATAACTCATTCCATATACCTGTATTTGGCAACATTGTCCAGAATTTTCACATGCACGTGCATTTTCCATACACAGGAAACTGGTTAGGCATACACCTCAGACAGGTCAGCAGACATACACACTTACATAAGGGCTTGTTTGCATTCTGAAAGCATGCCTACTCAGATTGGAGCTTGTTACAAAGAACACATGGGAAGCAAAAATGTTCAGTTTACAAATGATGCTCAAAATCACTCTTGAAATCATAATAGAAACATCACATTTGTTTTAAATTTGAGGGTTTAAAACATTATCAACATGTAGAGAGAGTTATCTAGCAAACACATCCATGTACCCATCACCCAGAAATTCAAATTGTCCACATTTTGTCATATTTCTTTCAAGATTTTTTTTAAGACATAAGATTTTTAAATGGTTTGTAATGTTGAAGTTTCTTTTGTTGTCCATGCCTGATCCACCTCCTCCCCTCCTCATTCTGGTGAACATCATTAAAGGTATGGATTCCAAGTCACTATTTATCCATGCACATGACCGTATGTTTCACAAGCAATTTATGCTATTTTTATATGTTTACTATAAAATACACATAATGGTATCATACTACTTATATCATTCTGCAGCTTCCTTTTTTTTTTTAAAAAAAGCATCTCTATGTTTTGAGCTCTATGTTAAAATATAAAAATCTAATCAATTTCTTTTATTAGCTATGTAGCATTTTGCCATATGAATAAAATAATTTCTTATGCCTTCTCCTATATTTGTTGATGGACATTAAGATTGTTACAAACAATACCTTGATAAACATGCTTATACAAGTTTCTAGTCCTCATACACACGTTCAAATTTTTCTAAGGTGTTTACCTAGAAGTGTAATGTCTGGGTGGCATACTAAGTGCATGTTTAATATTAATGCAAATTGACAAATTACTTTCTGAAATGATGGTACTAATTTACCCTCTCACTAGCAATGCATTTGCTTGCTTGCTTCTCTCTACCTTTTCCATTGCTGGATATTGTCAGACTTTTAGATCTTTGGTAACTTTGTAGATAAGCAACAGTATCTTCTCATTTCAGTTTATATTTCTCTGATTTACTGGTGTAATGTTGCATCTTTTTATATTTACTGGCTGTCCAGGTTTCTTTTTTGTGAATTACCTGCCCATGTGCTTTGGCCATGTGCAATTTTTTTTTCCTATTGGGTTATTTGTGGGGATTTTTTTCTTACTAACTTATAAGAAAAATTCATTCTGAATATGATCCATTTAACTGGTATTTGACTCTTGTAAATATGTTTTTACTTAATCATTATCAAGTTTATAGGTTAATACTTTTTTTCTTTAGAAAGGGCATACAAGGTCAGTTCCAACTGTGTAAAGGGCTTTATTCTTTTTTAATCCTATGCAAGACAGCATACGTAGTCTCTGCAATTGGATGAACAGCTGTAAATAGCTTTTGCAGATCTAAGTAAAAACTCTTCTCTAAAGGTCTTCAAAGTTATTCTCCAAACCTGGGGAGTAGCCCTCTTTTAGCTTCTTGGGGTTACAGAGAGGCTAGCACATTCCAAACACAGGTGGGCAAAAAAAGAGGAAATGGACTTTACTTTTACGAACCAGTGGCTGAGCAGAATCTACTCTTCTCACAACCTCAAAGTAGTTTGAAAGTACTTTCATTAAATAAAATTAATCATTTAGTGATCGTGGTTTAGGCATCATGGTTTAGGCATGACTACATCGAGTCATTCTACTTCTTCTCCCCTTACTAAAAGCAGGTTTTAGTTATGTAACCATGTTTAGAGCGGTCTAGGGAGTTTTTATCCTTATGCCTTCATCCTGATTGGACAATGGTTTGCAAGAACTTGTTAGGAGCTGTGGAAACACAAATATTGGGCAAAAAACTTGTGTTTCTATATAAATATTTACAAACATACTAGACTATAAATTCTTTGAGGTGAGGGCCTGTGTTTATCCTATCCACGATGGTTATACCCTCAGCATTTGGTTCAGCTGACAATCTTAGTGGGAATGTGCTCAACATTCTCAATCCACAACTATTTATTGAATCTGAGTGCTGTGTTAGACAATCTATATTCTATGTGCTTCATGTAATCAAAGTGACCTAGACAAAATCCCTGCCCTTATGAACCTTACATTCTAGTGGCAGGAAATACTATAATGCCAGGGAGAAGGGAGAGAGAAATGAGAATGAAGAAAAATGATGCAGTGATGCATAGCCCTCTCTATCTCTTTGGGATACAGAGAGGGGGCGTGTGTTGTGGGGAGGAGGTGGGGGCTCTATTATAAAAAATATGGCCTGAGAAACTGCATGAGGAAGAGTCATCATGATTTGATACATGGAGATAGAGAAAACCACAGTGTCAGGGCTCCAAAAAAAAAAATCACTTCCATTTTGGGAGGTAATTTCAGCTTCTTTGTATTTTGATTTGGGGCAGTATATAAGTCTTGGGAAAAAAAGAAGTGACTAAAGCTTTTATTTTAGATGAGGAGGACTTAATGAATTTGTAAAATATGCTCCCTTTTGTGGGGAGAAGTACAGCAGTTTGCACGTTGGGAGAACAGCTGGCTCCAATACAGCTTGGTGGTGGGCTTCGACTGAACTGGTCATCGCCTAAGTATTTTGTGTATTTCTGATTACCTATCTCTCCAGGAGCCCACGTGAGCAAGACAGGTCTTCAAGCTGGTTCAATGCTCCCATTCTGTAGGCAACTACAAACTGTGGCTCACTGCATGACTTAACAACAACTGATTGAGAATTGTAAAGTGCAGCCTCGAGTTCATGTGTAGAAACTGCCATCTGCACAAACAAAACATTGAGAGGACTAAGATTTTAAGGATACTAATGCAGACGTCCTTCTTGCTTCATTTATTTAAAAATATCCATTTCACGTTCCTAACAGCATCTAGTAGATGTTTCTTGCTTCTTCCCCCTAACGCCGGACTAAAGAGAAAAAAAAAATAGGCTGTTTTCTGGTCTGGTTTTGTTTTCCTAGTCAAGTACTTAAATTACGGGTGTTTCGTAAGTATCTTTTGATGGATTTCATTGTTTTGTTTATTTCGCGTTAGACAATACAGACACCTTCATATTTCCTTCTGTAGCAAATCTTTTTCAAAGTCTTCATTTGACGTGGCTGATGGAGCTGGTCTGCAGATCTTGCAGACGTGTTAATTTTTGCACGGACTTTAGCTTCAACACACAAAACTTACGGCCTCTTTGAGGAACCAATTTTTCAGGCTAAGAGAACAAATGAAAGTGTTCGCTCATCTTTCGAAAACTATTTATGTACTTGGTATCCGGAATGTGACATTGGTTTTACACGTCGGTAGGTTTTTGTCCTAAATTTCTGGGAAGTTACTTCCTCATCTAACGTTTTATTTTCCTGACTTATTCGTCTTTGATATGCTACAGAAAACCCCTCTCGCCCAGTGGCTGTTTTCTCTCTGTCTCTTAAGATAATTTAGGAACAGAAGCCTTGACTTTTGACGGTCATTTAGTTTTATTCTCCTCCCGTGACTCCCCTCTGTACACTCACAGGGGAGGCCGCCGGCATCTGGGCTGAAAGAACCCTTGGCGGGCGAGGAGAGGAGGGTGTCATGTTGGCGACAGGCTCCTGCTGGCGGCCAGCGAGCCCGCCAGGTTAACGGGGGCGCCGGGGTCAGCGCCCTCGAAGTTGGGGGCCTCGGGCGGGGCCGCCGGGGAGCCACGACGGCCGCTCGACCAGAGCATCCCGCAGTCCCGTTCCCTCCAGAGGGGAAGAATGGCCGAATCTGGCACGATCCCACGGAGATCTCGCTCTTCCCAGCGCAGTCTCCGCTACTGAGCGCGGGACCAACGCAGGCGATGCCGGGCGGCCGACAGGGAAAGCCCAGACCTGGGGCAGAGAAGGAATGAGGGGCCGCCAGCCGGGGGGATTTCCTCCCGCTCTTCCCTCTCCAACGGGAGCGGAAAATGTGATTTGCTGTGCATTCCAGGCGCGGTTCCCTGGGGTGACCTCTCCCAGCCGGCCCGGGCGGGGGGAGCAGACAAAGAGGCGAGGCGGGCGGAGAGGGGACCCCGCGGGGAAGCAGGAGGGGTGCGGGGGGCGGGGGCAGTACCGGGAAAGGGGGCGGATAGCGGGTCTGGCGGCGGCGGCGGCGCCTGGCCAATGGAGAGGCGCGGCCCCGGGCGCCGCGCTCTGCCGCCGGCATTTAAACGGGAGACGGCGCGATGCCTGGCACTCGGTGCGCCTTCCGCGGACCGGGCGACCCAGTGCACGGCCGCCGCGTCACTCTCGGTCCCGCTGACCCCGCGCCGAGCCCCGGCGGCTCTGGCCGCGGCCGCACTCAGCGCCACGCGTCGAAAGCGCAGGCCCCGAGGACCCGCCGCACTGACAGGTGAGCGCGGACGCACCCGGCAGGGATGTGAGTGGGCGGAGGGAAGAGGGCCGCAAACCAACCCAGGACCCGCTCAGTTCCACGCGCGGCAGCCCTCCGTGCGCGCAGGCTCGGGTGCGTTGTTCGCGGGGGTGAATTGTGAAGAACCATCGCGGGGTCCTTCCTGCTGAGGCCGCGGACACCGTGACCTCGCTGCTCTGGGTCTGCAGGGAAACGTAGGAAAAAAAGTTGTCAGGAGCGGGCAGGATGACCCCCACATCCCGTTTCCACCTCCCGGAGGCCCCCGAACACGCTCCTGGTGCTGGTGGCAGCAGCGCCTGGCAGACGCGCCCGCTTAGCGAGGGCGCGAAGTCCAGGCCGCCAGAGCGCAGGAGCATCCGGACCTGCTAGTCGGCCGCTGACTGCGCGGCGAGTTGCCTTGAGAGGGTCCCATGTGCTTGGGGCGCCGCGCTGGGTCTGGGGGCGTCTTGGGGCGCCCATTGGAGTCCGCGGGTTGGAGCATCCGGAGAATCCATGATGTGTGCATTTGCCGATCCCCGAGGTGAGATGGAGACTGGCAAGGGCAGAGCCGCTGTGTTCAGCCACAGCGGAAAACCGAACGGTGGGTAATCCGACAGCTGCGGTGCGGGGCGCGGCCCTGGCCGCGGGGTCCAGCGAACCCGCAGTGCTCACAAGGCAGACACCACACGCGCTCGCGGACCGGCCACGCACTCGCGGGCGCTCGCTTCTCTACTCCAGCCTCTTCCCCGCCCCGCGCACGCCCGAGCTGAATGGTAGACGTTCTGGCGCCGGGCAGCGGCCACCGGCTGGTTCCCACTTCCGCGCGCACCCCTTAAACTGTGTTCTAGAGGCCCCAGCCTCGCCTTGCAGCGCCTCACTAGCTCCTGAGGACTAGGGACTGGCGGCTGAGGCGGGTTGGCGGCTGCAACGAGCTGGGCGTCTTTCGTTCTCTCTCGCTGCCTGGCTGGCTCCGCTGGCCCCTCCACAGCTTGCGGAGCAAGGCCATAGCAGGGGAGTGGGAGGTATATTGGGGCTGTCACCTCCTTGCTGGCCGGAGTTATTTGTAGACTACAGACTCCGGAAGAACAGACGCGCCACCGCTCTCGCTTGGCATTGCCTTCGGATCGCAGCTCCTCCTTGGGGGTGCCCCAGCTTGGCGTTTATTTGCCTGCGCCAGGCTCTGGCGACGGTCACCGGGCCAGGCGGGGAGGGACGGACGGCAGGTGACCAGCCTCTGCTGTGAAGAAATTCCTGCGCGCCCGGAGCTGTCCCTAATGCATTCCCGGGTCGAATCCGTCTACTGCCTTCCCCTCCTCGACCGACTCCGAATCTCGGCTCTTATAGACAGAAATACAGCCTCAGCGTTAGGGGTTAAAATCCCCCTCTTAAACGGTCCGAGGGCAGAGAGGTGACCACCGATAGGTAATTGGATCTCCTGCTGGAAAGAGCAAATCTGAGCGGTGTGCGCGTCTGTTTATGTTCCCCTTCGAGATGGTGCCAGGACACGAACTGATTAAAACAATCTATTGTGTTAAGTGGGTCACTAGGGTTTTAAGCTGTCCCAGGGACCCCAGAGTAGTGGCTTCCTTCTGGCTGTACACACAAGTTAAATAAATAGCGTAGAAGAGGTTAAGATAACCCCATTCTAGGGTGAGGAGTCCTCTTTCATCCCTAGGGCTTCCCCCTCCCCTTTTCTCTTTTTTTGGAAGGAGGGGGAGCATGAGAGTCTTGAGGGGGGGATGTACTTTTCAAAGCAAGGAGGGAAAGATCTTAAGAAAACTATATATTCTCACTGCCCCCCAAGCCAAGTCTATAACAGTAGGTGATTTGATTACTATCTCTGGATAAATGGCACTGTCAAATTGTTAATATTAACTATTTCAGGGATTTTTAGCAGGGTAGTGGCAGTATGTGTGCGTGTGTGTGTGTGTGTCTGTGTGTGTGTGTTTAACCTCCAGGTCATTGTAGGAATTAGAGTCTTTTGTAAACTTTGTAATTTCACAGGTTTCCTATTTTCTTAAAAGTTCATTTTTAGTGAAATGTTTTGGTAACCCACGCTCTGTAGGAAATCCAGGTTGGCTAATGCGGTCTTTATGTGAGTAGTTACACAGGGAAGGATAAAAACCTTTTATGTCCTACATCTCTGAATGAGGGCTGCCTACCCTGTCTTTGAAACTAAGCCGAAGATGCCTTCAGTCTGAATGGTCAAGTATTAAAAGTGATAAAATGCAAAGAAATTTCATGCCGCAGACACCTCCCCCAAGAACTGCTTGTTGACAGCAAAGCTGTGGAACATGTTCCACAACAGAGAGTAAAGGACAGCCAGGAAATATAAACCTTTTATGTAAAGGAAAGGCAGGTGGGGGACAGTGGTTAGGGGAGGTGACTGCAGCCTCTAACCAAAAGGCAACCATCAGGCAAGTGCTACCAGCCCGTGTCTTCGATCTGCAAGGAATTTTCTTTAGTTTTAACATATGCTCTTAGAAATTCAAAGTACAACAGGAATTCCTGGGACAAGAGAAATCTTTTTATTCACATGTGAACATGAAGATACAAAATAGATAATTATTTTATTTATAGCACTCTTCAAATTGTATTGCATTAGAAAACATATCCATTGACCCACTGTTAAGGACAGCACTGGGTGTCAATAGGACAGTGGTTAAGGACCTGTGTTTGGGGCTAGATAGAATTGGGTTTAAACTGCTGGCTGGGCTGGGCACAGTGGCTCACACCGGTAATCCCAGCACTTTGGGAGGCCAAGGAGGACGGATCACCTGAGGTCGGGAGTTCGACACCAGCCTGACCAACATGGAAAAATCCCGTCTCTACTAAAAACACAAAATTAGCCAGGCATGGTGGTGCATGCCTGCAATCCCAGCTACTTGGGAGGCTGAGGCAGGAGAATTGCTTGAAACCGGGAGGCGGAGGTTGTGGTGAGCCCAGATAGCGCCATTGCATTCCAGCCTGGGCAACACGAGTGAAAACTCCGTCAAAAAAACAAAACAAAACAAACAAACAAAAAAATGCTGGCTTTCCCACTTATGAGCTGTGTGACCTTGGACAAATTTCCAACTTTTCTGAGTGTAGATTCCCTGATTGGTAAAAGGAAGATGATATTATCTACCTCATATTTTGTTATGAAAAATAAATGATAAAATTGGGTCAGAAATCAGCATAATGCCTGGCACAGTAAGGGCTTCAAAATAAAAGGTAGCTCTTATTATTAGTAATGGTGTTAGGAAAAGTAGCAATGTTATACAGAACCAGGATATATCACAGGGCAGTTCTGAAATTAAATCCTGAATCCTGGCCGGGTGAGGTGGCTCACGCTTGTAATCCTAAGCACTTTCGGAGACTGAGGCAGGCGGATCACGAGGTCAGGAGTTTGAGACCAGCCTGGCCAACACACTGAAATCCCGTCTCTACTAAAAATACAAAAATTAGCTGGGTGTGGTGGCAGGCGCCTATAATCTCAGCTACTTGGGAGGCTGAGGCAGGAGAATCACTTGAGCCCAGGAGGCGGAGGTTGCAGTGAGCTGATATCGTGCCAGTGCACTCCAGCCTGGGTGACATCTCTTAAAAAAAAAAATCCTGAATACCACACTACGCAGTGACTAACACATCTTTCACTACAGAACAGAACCTGTAACTTGGCCGTCTCTCAGCAGTGCTGCTCAGTGAACATTTAATAATTTATTACTTTCTAACTCGTTTCTTGTTGACCTCAAGAATTGTACATAGTCATTAACTTTCCTAAGAAAATCTTTGACAAACATAGAGCTCCTGAGATATTTCACAACCAGGTGGTCTCCTCCCTGTCCTATGCAATGTTGGGCCCCAGCCTGATTTAGCCGACCTGGTCTTCAGACTTGAGAGGCTGTTTAGGGTTCTTACAACACAAAGGGGATGAGACTTTATCCTCTACCTGTGTGCCAACAAGGGATTCTTCTTATCTCCTTGGTGCAACTTGTCTGAAAAAGAAAGTCAACACAATTATCTTCTTAAAAGTTAAAGATCAAATTAAAAATAAGCTATAGTTTTCCCAAAGATTTAGACCTGAGAAAAAGGAATAGATCTTTCTAAAACCTGGCCTGCACTTAGAGCATTTGTAGTCACTTCCACTATTTCTTATGCTGAGAGAATAATTTGATGTCATGCCTATTGAATGTCTTTCTAAAGCTTGATTCATCAGGAGGAACTGACCAGAAGTCCATGCACAGACATTTGGCTTTCACTGTAATTCCTACTCAAAACTCCCTTTCACTGATTATGAGCAGGTTGCTTAGCTAAAATGAGAAATACAGCAAGAAGAGGGATGGAAAGAGCTGGCTTAAACTTTCCCAAAGACATCATGAACACTGGGAACAGGTCATACATATACCATTTTTATTTCTCAGTCCTCAGTATTAGAATATTGTGTTCCTAGAGGCTTTGTGAAAATTGGAATACATTGCCATGACCTGCACAGGATAGAGGTGGTTAATATGGCTTACCTTGCTTGTAGATGTTTACTCTTGATCCCTAAGGGAAACTGGAAGGAAAGCATGCTGTAGAGAGGACCTGCTTTGAGAGTATGTGTCCTCTGGGACAAGTGGAATGAAAGAGAGGATAGAGGCAAAGAGAAAAAAAGGTGGAGATGGGGTGAGACTTGCTGGTGGACAGTTGCAAAGAAAACTCATGATGAGAATAACATCACATTTCTTGAAGAAGCTGAACTGCATTGATGGGAAGTTGAGGCAGAGTTTGAAAAGAAGATATACTGTCTGCAAAAAAGAATCAACGGAGATGTCAGGTATCTTGATGCACCCTGAGTCTATGAGATGCAGCTTAATTTAATTTAATGATATGAGTAGGCCATTTCATAAGTGGTGGAAATTACCATAAAGTGTTTGCAGCTAATGACGGCGCATGAATGATGTCATAGGAACCTAAGTCTGGATGAGCTATGGATTGAATTTTTACTATGGGACACCCTTCTACATGTTGCTGTGGAAAAGAATTGTCCTCAAGAAATGTACATCTTCTGCATTTCCTCTACATCTCTGATATTTACAAAGTGCACATTATTTGGTGATACTACAACTGGGATTTCAAGTGCACATCACTACTATTTCCTTCACTGAAGAATCAAGAGCAGTCTGGGGGTGGGGAGAGCTTGAGTGATTGACAAGGATGTGGCAGAGCCCTGGTTCCACTATGAATTATAGTTCTTACCCTGCTTACTGTCACTCATGTAGAGCAGCTAGTGTGCCTCAGAGCACTGCTGTTCTCTGAGAAGCTGAGGTCTCGATTGACATTCTTGAAGTTGGTGTTTACTTCTCTCTGAATAAACAAAGGTTGGCAACTCAGACATCTTACAATAAGTACTAAAGATTTTTGAAGAATAGGTTTTTAAAAAATGAAAAAACATTTCACTTTCCATAGCTAATAAATCTTATTTTGAGGAAAATGTACTTTTCTTTAAAAAAAAAAAAAGCCTGTCTGTCACTCTAGACCCTTTGGCTTAGAAGGTAGGCACACTCACATAGAAACAGAAAGTCTGTCCAAATTAAAACTGAAAACCACAGTTGACTAATTTTGAATTTATAGCTCTGCTGTTGGCTTCTGCGATAGTATTAATTTCAATGGCTTCAATTAGAAAATGAAACCCATAGCATTCCATATGAGAACAGGTAAAAAGTCAGGGACATTTGGAGTTTTCCAAGAAAAAGAAAGACAAGTCTTAGGAAGCTCTCTAGGATGGAAGGAATTTGCCACACTGAGAGTTAGACATCCAAAGGATAGCAATTGGCTCTTCTGCTCATGGGCACTGGTGAAGGCATTTTAAAATGCGAAGAATGGTACCTCTGTAAATCAATGAGGTTCATAATAATCATGCATTTACCAAATTTTTATAAGCACCTGCCTTGTGCCAGGCACTGAGGGTAAGGTGATGAATAAGCCCTCATCAACTGTCAGACTAGATATTTACTCAATAACAGATGTGAAAATGCCAAGAAGGAAAAGTTGAGTATAAAGAAAGCCTTAAGTTGGTTCAGAGAAATAAAATTGCATTTTTCGGATAGATGTTTATGGAATCGGCCTTATGAGGTAAACTTGTCCTATGCAGTGAACATACATTCCCAGTTAGTCTCAGATTGGCCTCTGTGATGACAAACTCAGAGGGTCCTGGTCTAGGAGGGGTGAATTTGTCTGGAGGCCATTTTCAGGAGGTATGGAGGAAGACTGGGGCATAGGCCTGGGGCCATCCCATGTACTCCTCCTCTGAAATGGGGAGCAACTGAATTGTGTTTTATTTTAGATCTTCGTCCAACTTGAATACCAGAAATTCGTGAAACCTTCTCAAATTCACACTATATTTTGAGACCAGGAGAAGGCTCCTTGAGAAATTGCCACACTGTCTTATCCTAGTCTCTGGAAAAATTCAGTCCTGTATTATAACTGGGCGTTTCTCATAAGTGCTTTTTTTTTTTCTTTTTCTTTTTATAATACTTTAAGTTCTGGGATACATGTGCAGAATGTGCAGGTTTGTTACATAGGTATACACGTGCCATGGTGGTTTGCTGCACCCATCAACCCATCATCTACATTAGGTATTTCTCCTAATGCTACCCCTTCCCTAGCCCCCCACCCCTCGACAGGCCCCAGTGTTTGATGTTCCCCTCCCTGTGTCCATGTGTTCTCATTGTTCAACTCCCACTTATGAGTGAGAGCATGCGGTGTTTGGTTTTCTGTTCCTGTGTTAGTTTGCTGAGAATGATGGTTTTTGGCTTCATCCACGTCCCTGCAAAGGACATGAACTCATCCTTTTTATGGCTGCATAGTATTCCATGGTGTATATGTGCCACATTTGCTTTATCCAGTCTATCATTGATGAGCACTTGGGTTGGCTCCAAGTCTTTGCTATTATGACTAGTACTGCGATAAACATGTGTATATGTGTCTTTATATTAGAATGATTTATAATCCTT
The DNA here is from genome assembly GCF_000001405.40 of Homo sapiens. NCBI lineage: Eukaryota > Metazoa > Chordata > Mammalia > Primates > Hominidae > Homo > Homo sapiens. The sequence continues at coordinate 4,777,278 of NW_011332701.1, forward strand.
TAGGTCTATACCCAGTAATAGGATTCCTGGGTCAAATGGTATTTCTGGTTCTAGATCCTTGAGGAATTGCCACACTGTCTTCCACAACGGTTGAACTAATTTACACTCCCACCAACAGTGTAAAAGCATTCCTATTTCTCCACATCCTCTCCAACATCTGTTGTTTCCTGACTCTTTAATGACGGCCATTCTAACTGGCGTGAAATGGTATCTCATTGTGGTTTTGATTTGCATTTCTCTAATGACCACCGATGATGAGCTTTTTCTCATATGTTTGCTGGCCCCATAAATGTCTTCTTTTGAGAAATGTCTGTTCATATCCTTTGCCCACTTTTTGATGGGGTTGTTTGCTTTTTTCTTGTAAATTTGTTTGAGTTCCTGGTAGATTCTGGATATTAGCCCTTTGTCAGATGGATAGACTGCAAAAATTTTCTCCCATTCTGTAGGTTGCCTGTTCACTCTGATGGTAGTTTCTTTTGCCATGCAGAAGCTGTTTAGTTTAATTAGATCCAATTTGTCAGTTTTGGCTTTTGTTGCCATTGCTTTTGGTGTTTTAGTCATGAAGTCTTTGCCCATGCCTATGTCCTGAATTGTATTGCCCTGGTTTTCTTCTAGGATTTTTATGGTTTTAGGTCTTACATTTAAGTCTTTAATCCATCTTGAATTAATTTTTGTATAAGGTGTAAGGAAAGGGTCCAGTTTCAGTTTTCTGCGTATGGCTAGCCAGTTTTCCCAACGTTATTTATTAAATAGGGAATCCTTTCCCCATTGCTTGTTTTTGTCAGGTTTGTCAAAGATCAGACGGTTGTAGATGTGTGGTGTTATTTCTGAGGCCTCTGTTCTGTTCCATTGGTCTGTATATCTGCTTTGATACCAGTACCGTGCTGTTTTGGTTACTGTAGCCTTGTAGTACAGTTTGAAGTCAGGTAGCGTGATGCTTTGTTCTTTTTGCTTAGGATTGTCTTGGCTATATGGGCTCTTTTTTGGTTCTATATGAAATTTAAAGTAGTTTTTTCATAGACATCTATAGAACTCTCCACCCCAAATCAACAGAATATACATTCTTCTCAGTATCGCATCACACTTATTCTAAAATGACCACATAATTAGAAGTAAAACACTCCTCAGCAAATGCAAAAAACAGAAATCCTAACAGTCTGTCAGACCCCAGTGCAATCAAATTAGAACTCAGGATTAAGAAACTTACTGAAAACCACACAACTGCATGGAAACTGAACAACCTGCTCCTGAATGACTACTGGGTAAATAACAAAATTAAGGCAGAAATAAATAGGTTCTTTGAAAGAAATGAGAACAAAGACACAATATACCAGAATCTCTGGGACACAGCTAAAGCAGTGTTTAGAGGGAAATTGATAGCACTAAATGCCCACAGGAGAAAGCGGGACAGATCTAAAATCGACACCCTAATATCACAATTAAAAGAACTAGAGAAACAAGAGCAAACAAATTCAAAAGCTAGCAGAAGACAAGAAATAACTAAGATCAGAGCAGAACTGAAGGAGATAGAGACACAAAAAACCCTTCAAAAAATCAATGAATCCAGGAGCTGTTTTTTTTTTTTTGAAAAGATTAATGAAATAGACTGCTAGCCAAACTAATAAAGGAGAAAAGAGAGAAGAATCAAATAGACAATAGACACAATAAAAAGTGATAAAGGGGATATCACCACTGATCCCACAGAAATACAAACTACCATCAGAGAATACTATAAACACCTCTACGCAAATAAACTAGAAAATTGGGAAGAAATGGATACATTCCTGAACGCATACACCCTCCCAAGACTAAACCAGGAAGAAGTTGAATCCCTGAATAGACCAATAGCAAGTTCTGAAATTGAGGCAGTAATTAGTAGCCTACCAACCAAAAAAAGCCCAGGACCAGACAGATTCACAGCCGAAGTCTACCAGAGGTACAAAGAGGAGCTAGTACCATTCCTTCTGAAACTATTCCAAACAATAGAAAAAGAAGGACTCCTCCCTAACTCATTTTATGAGGCCAGCATCATCCTGATACCAAAACCTGGCAGAGACACAACATAAAGGAAATTCAGGCCAATATCCCTGATGAACATTGATGTGAAAATCCTCAATAAAATACTGGCAGCACATCAAAAAGCTTACCTGCCATGATCAAGTTGGCTTCATCCCTGGGATGCAAGGCTGGTTCAACATACGCAAATCAATAAACGTAATCAATCACATACACAGAACCAATGACAAAAACCACATGATTATCTCAATAGATGCAGAAAAGGCCTTCGATAAAATTCAACACCCCTTCAATGCTAAGAACTCTCAATAAACTAGGTATTGATGAAACATATCTCAAAATAATAAGAGTTATTTATGACAAACCCACAGCCAGTATCATACTGAATGGGCAAAAGCTGGAAGCATTCCCTTTGAAAACCGCCACAAGGATGACTTCTCTCACCACTCCTATTCAACATACTATTGGAAGTTCTGGCCAGGGCAAGCAGGCAAGACAAATAAATAAAGGGTATTCAAATAGGAAGAGAGGAAGTCAAATTGTCTCTGTTTGCAGATGACATGATTGTATATTTAGAAAACCCCATCATCTCAGCCCAAAATCTCCTTAAGCTGATAAGCAACTTCAGCAAAGTCTCAGGATACAAAATCAATGTGCAAAAATCACAAGCATTCCTATACACCAATAATAGACAAACAGCCAAATCATGAGTGAACTCCCATTCACAAGTGCTACAAAGAATAAAATACCTAGGAATCCAACTTACAAGGGATGTGAAGGACCTCTTCAAGGAGAACTACAGACCACTGCTCAAGGTAATAAGAGAGGACACAAACAAATGGAAAAACATTCCATGCTCATGGATAGGAAGAATCAATATTATGAAAATGGCCATACTGCCCAAAACAATTTATAGATTCAATGCCATCCCCATCAAGCTACCACTGACTTCCTTCACAGAATTAGAAAAAAACTACTTTAAATTTCATATGGAACTGAAAAAAGAGCCGGTATAGCCAAGACGATCCTAAGCAAAAAGAAAAAAGCTGGAAGCATCATGCTACCTGACTTCAAACTATACTACAAGGCTACAGTAACAAAAACAGCATGGTATAGTATAAGTGCTTTTTTTTAAAAGACAAAGTAAAGTAATTTTTTTGTTGTTGGGGTAAAACAAAAGCTCTGCATAAAGAGCAGGGATGTTGTAACATACACTGACCAAAGGTGGGAAACCTACAGTTGGAGCAGAAGCTGAATGTCACATTATCAGCTCCGAACTTATAATGGTCTAAAAGTACTAGGTTAATGTTGGAAAGATGGTGCCATTTAAAGATATCTTAAATTCAATATTTAATTATTTTAATTTGACATTATCCTAGAGTTGAATGGTGTTTACTTACCATGTGCTGTTCATTAGAAAATCTAGATCCTACACTGCCTTTGCGCAAGGTAGTTGCTCTAATAATACCAACCTGTCCAGTTTTGGTGGGAGAAATAATGTTACTGTTAAGTTGCACTTAGTGGTTATTATGTGTAATACTGGTATTCCAAAGAGAGAAGGAAAATGTTTGCTACACAGCTGTGTTCTTAGGTTCAGAAAACCACAGGAGTGGGACAGGAGAACCTTCAGGATTCAGGTCCGATTGTTGTGATGGCCGCAGGAGGGAGACTGTGAATTTGAAACTGCATCCATTGAAAAGAAAATCCCTCCACACTTTAATAATTCTCTCCGTGCCCCATGGCAGCAAGTGCTTATAGGCCTTGCTACTCAAAGCTTAATAAAAAGGCAGACCTGCTGAATCATAATCTGCATCTTAACAATATCCCCAGATATTGTCTGCACTTTCTTTTTTTTTTTCTTTCTTTCTTTCTTCTTTTTTTTGAGACAGAGTCTCGCTCAGTCACCCAGGCTGGAGTGCAGTGGCGCGATCTCGGCTCACTGCAAGCTCTGACTCCCGGGTTCACGCCATTCTCCTGCCTTAGACTCCCGAGTAGCTGGCACTACAGGCGCCCGCCACTACGCCCGGCTAATTTTTTTGTATTTTTAGTAGAGATGGGGTTTCACCGTGTTAGCCAGGATGGTCTCGATCTCCTGACCTCGTGATCCGCCGCCCATCTGGGCCTCCCAAAGTGCTGGGATTACAGGCGTGAGCCACTGCGCCCGGCCAATTGTCTGCACTTTCAAGTCTAAGAAGCACTGTCCCAGGAGGAAAATCTTTTTAGTCTGAGGCTTCTCTCTTGCACTCTCCTTTTTAAAAATATGCTGCTCCTTCTCCACCTTTCCCTCTTCTTCCGCCTTTTCTGTCTGCCTTTACTACCTCCCCTGAACATTCAACTTGTAGAAGAGTTCCCCTTTCTCTGAATTGCATTCTTCACTTCATTCATTCTTTTCTCTCTCTGTCTATGGTTTCCTATTTTTTGTCGGTTTTCCCTCACCTCACCTCCTTGTTATTTTTTGCCATTGTTCACATATCACTGCCCTTTCAGACCCATATCTAGCTTCTGACCCATCCACTAATCCATTGCCACTAATTTATTCAGCATGCCCATGCCATTTATTAATGTAAATATTTGCACATACTTGTTCTATCATGCCCATTTTTCTACCTTTTAAATTGTATATACACAGACACATGTGAATGACATATTTCACTATTTAAAAGGTAGAAAAATGTATATCGTGGTACAAAGTGATACATTGAGTATCTGTGCCCAGTTTCAAGATGAGAATAAGTGAGAGGTGAAGCCTCATGAGTCACGTCACCTACACGCTACTGTCTTTCATTCCATCTGCAGTACTGCCACACATTTGGTTAGTTCTCCAATTGCTGTCACATTGACATCGAGTTGGATCTGAACAGCGTACCTGGGGAGACGAAGTATTGGTATCTTTGCTTAAATGGAGTGATTTACTGAGAGACAAAGTGACATCTTTAAGATCAGATAGCAAGTTACTGCACCAGGAGCGCGACCTTTCCTGTTTTGTTGTTTTCCCTCTGTCAAATGCCTTCTGGTCTCCATGAATCTCTCCTTCCACATATGATAAAAATGCAAAGTCTCATAAGCATTCACAGCTCAGGAAGCCTCAGGCTAGTTGGGGAGAAAAGACTGGGAGGTTTCCGGAGGAATGAAGTCCTCTGAGCAGAGAGGTTAATTCATCTTGCTGTAAAACAAAATAGAAAATAAGTTCCCCTCAATAAGTGAACGTAATACAAAGACAAATGTGGTTGGTGCCAGAGGCCAGGAAGAAGTTCTTGTGAGAATAGGTGCAGAGAAGAGCTAGGCCCTGGCTGAGTTTAAACCTTGACTTAGTCACTGTGGGACTCTGGGTGAGTTACTCCATGGATTGATGGCTGGGTCATGGAGATAATAGTACCTAATTCATACAGGTACTGTGAGAAGTAAATGGAATATTTCACGTTAAGTGTTTAACGGTGCGTTTAAATGCTAGGTGCTATTATTATTAATTTTTAAATTAACTTTGCCATGTTTTGTGTCTTCCCCTCTCTGTGCTTCCTTTCTTTAGTATGAGCCGCACAGCCTACACGGTGGGAGCCCTGCTTCTCCTCTTGGGGACCCTGCTGCCGGCTGCTGAAGGGAAAAAGAAAGGGTCCCAAGGTGCCATCCCCCCGCCAGACAAGGCCCAGCACAATGACTCAGAGCAGACTCAGTCGCCCCAGCAGCCTGGCTCCAGGAACCGGGGGCGGGGCCAAGGGCGGGGCACTGCCATGCCCGGGGAGGAGGTGCTGGAGTCCAGCCAAGAGGCCCTGCATGTGACGGAGCGCAAATACCTGAAGCGAGACTGGTGCAAAACCCAGCCGCTTAAGCAGACCATCCACGAGGAAGGCTGCAACAGTCGCACCATCATCAACCGCTTCTGTTACGGCCAGTGCAACTCTTTCTACATCCCCAGGCACATCCGGAAGGAGGAAGGTTCCTTTCAGTCCTGCTCCTTCTGCAAGCCCAAGAAATTCACTACCATGATGGTCACACTCAACTGCCCTGAACTACAGCCACCTACCAAGAAGAAGAGAGTCACACGTGTGAAGCAGTGTCGTTGCATATCCATCGATTTGGATTAAGCCAAATCCAGGTGCACCCAGCATGTCCTAGGAATGCAGCCCCAGGAAGTCCCAGACCTAAAACAACCAGATTCTTACTTGGCTTAAACCTAGAGGCCAGAAGAACCCCCAGCTGCCTCCTGGCAGGAGCCTGCTTGTGCGTAGTTCGTGTGCATGAGTGTGGATGGGTGCCTGTGGGTGTTTTTAGACACCAGAGAAAACACAGTCTCTGCTAGAGAGCACTCCCTATTTTGTAAACATATCTGCTTTAATGGGGATGTACCAGAAACCCACCTCACCCCGGCTCACATCTAAAGGGGCGGGGCCGTGGTCTGGTTCTGACTTTGTGTTTTTGTGCCCTCCTGGGGACCAGAATCTCCTTTCGGAATGAATGTTCATGGAAGAGGCTCCTCTGAGGGCAAGAGACCTGTTTTAGTGCTGCATTCGACATGGAAAAGTCCTTTTAACCTGTGCTTGCATCCTCCTTTCCTCCTCCTCCTCACAATCCATCTCTTCTTAAGTTGATAGTGACTATGTCAGTCTAATCTCTTGTTTGCCAAGGTTCCTAAATTAATTCACTTAACCATGATGCAAATGTTTTTCATTTTGTGAAGACCCTCCAGACTCTGGGAGAGGCTGGTGTGGGCAAGGACAAGCAGGATAGTGGAGTGAGAAAGGGAGGGTGGAGGGTGAGGCCAAATCAGGTCCAGCAAAAGTCAGTAGGGACATTGCAGAAGCTTGAAAGGCCAATACCAGAACACAGGCTGATGCTTCTGAGAAAGTCTTTTCCTAGTATTTAACAGAACCCAAGTGAACAGAGGAGAAATGAGATTGCCAGAAAGTGATTAACTTTGGCCGTTGCAATCTGCTCAAACCTAACACCAAACTGAAAACATAAATACTGACCACTCCTATGTTCGGACCCAAGCAAGTTAGCTAAACCAAACCAACTCCTCTGCTTTGTCCCTCAGGTGGAAAAGAGAGGTAGTTTAGAACTCTCTGCATAGGGGTGGGAATTAATCAAAAACCGCAGAGGCTGAAATTCCTAATACCTTTCCTTTATCGTGGTTATAGTCAGCTCATTTCCATTCCACTATTTCCCATAATGCTTCTGAGAGCCACTAACTTGATTGATAAAGATCCTGCCTCTGCTGAGTGTACCTGACAGTAGTCTAAGATGAGAGAGTTTAGGGACTACTCTGTTTTAGCAAGAGATATTTTGGGGGTCTTTTTGTTTTAACTATTGTCAGGAGATTGGGCTAAAGAGAAGACGACGAGAGTAAGGAAATAAAGGGAATTGCCTCTGGCTAGAGAGTAGTTAGGTGTTAATACCTGGTAGAGATGTAAGGGATATGACCTCCCTTTCTTTATGTGCTCACTGAGGATCTGAGGGGACCCTGTTAGGAGAGCATAGCATCATGATGTATTAGCTGTTCATCTGCTACTGGTTGGATGGACATAACTATTGTAACTATTCAGTATTTACTGGTAGGCACTGTCCTCTGATTAAACTTGGCCTACTGGCAATGGCTACTTAGGATTGATCTAAGGGCCAAAGTGCAGGGTGGGTGAACTTTATTGTACTTTGGATTTGGTTAACCTGTTTTCTTCAAGCCTGAGGTTTTATATACAAACTCCCTGAATACTCTTTTTGCCTTGTATCTTCTCAGCCTCCTAGCCAAGTCCTATGTAATATGGAAAACAAACACTGCAGACTTGAGATTCAGTTGCCGATCAAGGCTCTGGCATTCAGAGAACCCTTGCAACTCGAGAAGCTGTTTTTATTTCGTTTTTGTTTTGATCCAGTGCTCTCCCATCTAACAACTAAACAGGAGCCATTTCAAGGCGGGAGATATTTTAAACACCCAAAATGTTGGGTCTGATTTTCAAACTTTTAAACTCACTACTGATGATTCTCACGCTAGGCGAATTTGTCCAAACACATAGTGTGTGTGTTTTGTATACACTGTATGACCCCACCCCAAATCTTTGTATTGTCCACATTCTCCAACAATAAAGCACAGAGTGGATTTAATTAAGCACACAAATGCTAAGGCAGAATTTTGAGGGTGGGAGAGAAGAAAAGGGAAAGAAGCTGAAAATGTAAAACCACACCAGGGAGGAAAAATGACATTCAGAACCAGCAAACACTGAATTTCTCTTGTTGTTTTAACTCTGCCACAAGAATGCAATTTCGTTAACGGAGATGACTTAAGTTGGCAGCAGTAATCTTCTTTTAGGAGCTTGTACCACAGTCTTGCACATAAGTGCAGATTTGGCTCAAGTAAAGAGAATTTCCTCAACACTAACTTCACTGGGATAATCAGCAGCGTAACTACCCTAAAAGCATATCACTAGCCAAAGAGGGAAATATCTGTTCTTCTTACTGTGCCTATATTAAGACTAGTACAAATGTGGTGTGTCTTCCAACTTTCATTGAAAATGCCATATCTATACCATATTTTATTCGAGTCACTGATGATGTAATGATATATTTTTTCATTATTATAGTAGAATATTTTTATGGCAAGATATTTGTGGTCTTGATCATACCTATTAAAATAATGCCAAACACCAAATATGAATTTTATGATGTACACTTTGTGCTTGGCATTAAAAGAAAAAAACACACATCCTGGAAGTCTGTAAGTTGTTTTTTGTTACTGTAGGTCTTCAAAGTTAAGAGTGTAAGTGAAAAATCTGGAGGAGAGGATAATTTCCACTGTGTGGAATGTGAATAGTTAAATGAAAAGTTATGGTTATTTAATGTAATTATTACTTCAAATCCTTTGGTCACTGTGATTTCAAGCATGTTTTCTTTTTCTCCTTTATATGACTTTCTCTGAGTTGGGCAAAGAAGAAGCTGACACACCGTATGTTGTTAGAGTCTTTTATCTGGTCAGGGGAAACAAAATCTTGACCCAGCTGAACATGTCTTCCTGAGTCAGTGCCTGAATCTTTATTTTTTAAATTGAATGTTCCTTAAAGGTTAACATTTCTAAAGCAATATTAAGAAAGACTTTAAATGTTATTTTGGAAGACTTACGATGCATGTATACAAACGAATAGCAGATAATGATGACTAGTTCACACATAAAGTCCTTTTAAGGAGAAAATCTAAAATGAAAAGTGGATAAACAGAACATTTATAAGTGATCAGTTAATGCCTAAGAGTGAAAGTAGTTCTATTGACATTCCTCAAGATATTTAATATCAACTGCATTATGTATTATGTCTGCTTAAATCATTTAAAAACGGCAAAGAATTATATAGACTATGAGGTACCTTGCTGTGTAGGAGGATGAAAGGGGAGTTGATAGTCTCATAAAACTAATTTGGCTTCAAGTTTCATGAATCTGTAACTAGAATTTAATTTTCACCCCAATAATGTTCTATATAGCCTTTGCTAAAGAGCAACTAATAAATTAAACCTATTCTTTCTGTGTGTGTGAGCGTGCGTTTGTGTTTGGTAGTGTTCCTAGGGCAGAGGTGGAGCAGGGATGCACTTATCATGGGAAGGGAGGTAGAAAAGAGAATTGGATAGCCTGTGATCTTTGGTGGAATTTATTCCTTTTGCCTAGGCCTTTCAGACCCTGCTTGATTTCCGTAGGACACTTCAGGTTGTGGCAAGGGAGAGCTGGTCTGCAATCGGAAGTACCAGCCTCTTCCCTAGAGCACAACTAGAAAGAAGAACTATAGAGTGTTATAAGGGAGGCCCTGAGATGGAAGGACCATCACACAGAAATGATAATAACTTCATTTCAGGGTGTTCCAGGGGAAAAGCAGGAGAAAGATTTGGGGCTCAGTAGAAGGAAAAGCTTCCTAGTGATAAGAGTGATTGGCAATACCATGAGGTACCTTTAAAAGATAGTGAACTCCTGTCCTTGGAAATATTAAACCACAGGCTAGATATCATTTAATAGGGATGTGAAGTAGAGTAAGTCACTGCCCTTGGTGTGCAATTGTGAACTTGTCAATTTCTGAGGTCCCTTTCTACTTAGATATATAATACAAGATTTCTATTAGGTATGGGTGCTCTGATGATAATGAAAATCCCAGCAGCTATGTATGGGATGGTTACACCAGACACTGTGCTAAGGATTTTCTTTGAATTGTTTCTCACTCAATCTTCACGGTAGCTCAGTGAGGTAGGTACCATTATCACTGCTAGAAAGCAGTGAACTTATATGGTCTTACTGTGGCACTGGGTCCTTAAACATTATGCAAAACTGTGAGCAACTTTTATCGGTTTGTTCTTTTAAGAACATAACACAGCACTCTAAAAATAGATCTAACTAGATTGTTCACATCTAGCGATTAAGGCCACCCTGAGATTATAGCTGCATCATCAGGAACCCAAGATCTGAAGCATTCAGTCAAAGCCTCTTGGCCACCTCTCTTTTTGTCATGGCCTTCTTGGACTTGGAGGGGGAGAATGGAAGCAAGTACCAAGGAGAAAGTGTTCTCAGAAAAGCCACACCCATTAGAAAAATACAAGGCCTGAAAGGTGTGAGTGGGACTTGACACGGAAGAGCATTTCAAGCTTAAGAAAAAAAAAAAAAAGAAGAATGTGGGAGGATGTCAGCAACAATGCTTGAGATTCCCTGGTCCCCCAAAGAGTCTCTCCTCCATAAAACTAATGAGAATGTGACAAAAATAGATTCAACTTCTTATAGCTCTGGAAATTAACTGAAGATGTATAGCAATTTGCAGAGCATTTATTCAAGAAAAAGACTAAATCTCTGTGAGCACTGTGATATTGTAACTTGCACTACTCTCATCTCCCCCTCTCCAGCTCCACAATAGCTTTGAAACCAACAGCCTGCAATTACCATGAAAATCAGCAGTCTGGCAGCCACTGAAGGTGACAGAATGGAGTTGGAGTTCTTTCAAAGTCCCATTCCTAGACAATTGTCACTATTTGACCTGTTTGGCAGGCCCTGGAAGCTCCACTTGCAAGGCTATATTTGACCTGACTGGAAGCTTCCCAGGGTAAAAAACTTTGTCAAAACAACTAGAGGCAATTGATTCTCTTTGTGGCTGCCTGGGGTAATGTATAACAGTTGGGGAAAGCAATTGGCTAAATAAAAAGCCTAAAAGGAGAAGCTGGAAAAAGAGATTTTCATAGGGACTTTGAAAAGCTCCAAAGTGTTATTGGCAATCTAGACTGCCAAATGCATAAATAGGACTCCATCCATGCCCAGGACTGTGCAGATGCTCAGGAAAAACCCAAGAAAGCCTTAAGCTCTCACTTCAAGCTGATCTTGAGGCTCTGCACAAGCCATAAGTAAAGGGAATGCAGAGTTGTCAATTGCATGGCGGAGTGTTGAGTGTGCCTCAGCATTCACACAGAGCTCCTTGGCAGAGACTGGTTGAATTATTGATTCCAAGTGTTTGAGGAAATCCGTGTACAACTATTAGATGACTACTAACCAAGCAGAGACTTCAGTGTCCACACACAACAAAAAATACAGACTTTACAGAATTAGTTCAGAAAAGTCATTAAACAAAGAAACAACAACAAACCCTGGGGAAATGACAGTACGATCAAACCATGCATGGCCCTGCCTGCATGTGGGAATCCTCATCCAAGTCATACTTTCTAAACATCATAAAAAGCCCAAACCAGTCTCCTTTCCTGGCTCTCTCAAGTCATTTTCAGACCAGGTTAGGAGACGTGAGCTGCTCTCCACAAAAAGCCTCATGTGAGTAATAAATGTTTCATACTCTCTTGGGGTGTGTGTAACATCATCAGTCTCAGCATCTAAACCAAATTTTGGTGACATTTCATCTTGTTTATGCAGATGTCCACCACACCTATAAATAAACAAACTACTGAAACTGATTCAAGAAAAAATAAAAATCTGAATAGAGCTATCACAAGTAAAGAGATTAAATAAGCAATCAAATAACTTCCCAGAAAGAAAAGCCCAATTTAGGATGTCTTAACTGATTAATGTTAGCAAATATTTAAAGAAGAATTGGTACAAATTCTTCACAAACTCTTCCAGAAATGGAAGAGGAGGAAACACTTTCCACCTTATTTTCTATAACTAGTATTACCTTGATACCAAATTCTGACAAATACATCAAAAATAAAACCATAGACCAATATCTCTTTTAAGTGTAAATGCAAAAAAATTCAACAAAATGCTAGATAACTGGGTCCAACAACATATGGAAAGGATTATATACCTTGACCAAGTGGGATTTGCCCCAGGAATGCAAGATTGATTTAACCATCAGTGTAATGCATCATATTAATAGAATAAAGACAGAAACCACACAATCATCTCGATACACGCAGAAAAATCATTTGGCAAAATTCAACACCCCTTTGTAATAAAATCACTCAACACACTAGGAAGAGAAGGGAACTTCTTCAACCTCACACATGGCATCTATGAAAAACCCACAGCTGGCCGGGTATGGTGGCTCAAGCCTGTAATCCCAGCACTTTGGGAGGCTGAGCCAGGCGGATCACCTGAGGTCAGGAGTTCGAGACCAACCTGACCAACATGGAGAAACCCTGTATCTACTAAAAATACAAAAAATTAGCCCGGCGTGGTGGCAAATGCCTGTAATCCCAGCTGCTTGGGAGGCTGAGGCAGGAGAATCGGTTGAACCCAGGAGGTGGAGGTTCTGGTGAGCCGAGATCACGCCATTGTACTCCAGCCTGGGCAACAAGAACAAAACTCTGTCTCAAAAAAAAAAAAAAAAAGAAAAGAAAAACCCACAGCTAACATCATACTTAAAGGTGAAAGACTGAAAGCTTTCCCCCAAGAGGAACTAACAGGATATCTGCTGTCACTATTTTTATTCAATATTATACTGGAGGTTCTACCTAGGGTAATTAGGCAAAAAAAAAAAAAAAAAAAAAAAACAACAACAAAAAAAAAACAAAAAAAAAAACAAACAAAAAAAAGAAAAGAAAAAAGTCATCCAGATTGGAAAAGAAATAAAATGATTTCAATTTTAAGATGACATAATATTGTATGTAGAAATCCTAAGGAATTTACAAAAGAACTATTAGAGCTAATACATGATTTCAGCAAGGTTGCAGGATACAAGATCAACATACAGATATAAATTGTATTCTACACACTTGTAATGAAAAATCTGAAAATAAAATTAAGAAAATAGCACCCTTTGAATAGTATCAAAAAGAATAAAATACATAGAAAAAATGTAACAGGAAGTGCAAGACTGGTACATTGAAAACAATAAAACATTGTTAAAAAATTTAAAATCATCAAAATAGATGGAAATAAAACCTGTGTTCATGGATGAAAAAAATTAACATTGCTCTACAGATTCAATACAATTCTTATCAAAATCCCAGGTGGCTTAAGAAATTGACAAGTTAATCCTAAAATTCATAAGAAATTGAAAGGGATCCACAATAGCCAAAATAATCTTAAAAAAGATTTTAAAAAGTTGGAGAACTCACACTTCCTGGTTTCATAACATACACCAGGCTGGGCATGGTGGTTCATGCCCATAATCCCAGCACTTTGGGAAGTTGAGGCAGAAGGATCACTTGAGCACAGGAGTTTGAGACCAGCCTGGACGATATAGTGAGACCTTGTCTCTACTAAAAATTTAAAAAGGAATTAGCCAGGTGTGGTAACATGCACCTGTTGTCCCAGCTACTTAGGAGGCTGAGGCATGAGGATCACTTGAGCCCAGAAGATTGTACCACTGCACTCCAGCCTACATGACAGAGTAAGTCTCTGTCTCAAAAACAAAACAAACAACAAAAATACTGAAAGCTTTCCCCATACAGGAACTAACAGGATATCTGCTGTCACTATTTTTATTCAATATTGTTCTGGAGGTTCTAGCTAGGGCAATTAGGCAAAAAAAGGAAAAAGAAGTCATCCAGATTAGAAAAGAAATAAAATAATTTCAATTTTCAGATGACATAATATTGTATGTAGAAATCCTAAGGAATTTACAAAAGAACTGCTACCCTGAAAGAATTGTTGTAAGGCAAATACCCCTGTAATTACCATTAGGGGAAGAAATTTTTCCATGCTTCACAGAAACTCTCCTTATACCCCACCTCAATTTTAATCTTTTTCTGTACCACTACAGTTATAATTCTCCTAAAGCTTAAAGCAATTACCTCCTTGTTTATATTTATAGTTTCATCACTGAAGTGTGCATTCCTAAACTCAACACCTTAGTCTGGTTGCAAACAGTTTAAATGAGAAAAGATAAGGCCTGAATTAAGGCAGCAGCCCTAAACCTTTTTCTATAATCCTGATAGTGATTACCACCTAGGGGATTATAAATGTTTGCTTCTTCCTCTGGCACCAACAAGTTTACTGAGCAGAAGTTTAAAATAATTGGATAATGGGGCAGGTGACATCAGCAAGATGTTGTATTAGCAAATGCTGGACCCTTCTTCAATCCACAAACACATCTATTCTGCAAAAATTCATGGCTAAATTCCTTTGTGAGGAATCCAGAAACTAAAAGGCTCCTGCACTCCCAGCAAATGCAAAAACCAGACTCACCAAAGCTGGTAGAGAGATTTGAGATACCACCTTGTCCGAATCCCTAACCCCAGCACAGTGCCATGTAGTCAGCAAGAGACTCCCTAGCACTCAGTTTCTCCCAGGTGAGAGGAGTTGGTTCACATATCCAAGACCTCCAACTTTTCTGAGGAGATTCCCAGAGGACTGGCTTCTATCTTGTCAGTCTTGGAGCTCTGACAGAATTGGTACTATCTAGCTACCTGGGGAAGGACAGAGACAGAGGTTTAGACCAGTAGATGACATGGCACCCTGCCCTCTACTGCCTCACCTCCTGGCTCAGCACAGACAGGACAAAAATCATGGCTACCTACATTTCCCTGGAGAAGGAATGATTTGTTAAAGGCCCCCAAATCACTGGGCAGACTTATTGGTGGGGGTCTTCTCCTCTGAGGCCCAGCTGTGAGGACTGGGACAGGTGACTGCTTTGTCTAATGTGCAGACACCAACACAAAGAGTCAAGGAAAATGAATAATCATACGAAGATGTTCCAAACCAAAGAACAAGATAAATCTCTGGAAACTGAGCTAATGAAATAAACTTATGTGATTTACCTGACAGAGAATTCAGAATAGCTCTCATAAAGATTCTCACCAGAGTCAAGAGAACAATGCATGAAAAAAGTTAAGAATTTTGACAAAGAGATAGAGTATATTTAAAAGTACCAAAAAGAAATGGAACTGAAGAACACAACAACTGAACTGAAAAAATTTATGACAGGACATCAACAGGAGACAAGATTAATCAGAAGAAAGAATCAATGAACTTGAAGACAGGTCATTGGAAATAATTCAGTTAGAGGAGAAATTAAAATGAAAAAGAGTGAAAAAAAGCCCAAGGGTCTTATGGGCAACATCAAGCTGAACAATATACTCATTATTGGCATCACAGAATAAAAGAGAGAAAAGAACTGAGAACGTATTCAAAGAAATAATGGCTGAACACTTCCCAAATATGAGGAAGAAAATGAACATTCTGATCCAAGAAGCCCAAAGGTCATAAAAAAGTGATCCCAAAGCCTACAGGCATATTATAAGTTGTCATCCTAGAGAAAGAAAAATATCTTTCTCCCAGCCTCCATATTCAAATCTTAAGGAAAATTCTTATGGACTTAGCTTGAGTTTCAAGTTCATTTCTAAAATCAATCATGGTGGCCAAACGGAATGAGCATTCTGATTTGCCAGTGTGGTCTCATGTTACCCCTGTGCCTAGAAAGGAAACAGGAGATGAAAAGCATGGTGATAAGAAGACTGGATGGCACCACATGGGATAGGGGGAAAGTAGTTGAAAAAAAATAGTTGTAAGGAAAAGAGATACAAGGAGTCAAAAATAACAAATATCTACTTAAAAGCCTTTTCCACATTTAATGTTTTTTGTTCACTGTGGTGTAGTAATAAATGTCTATACTTAAGGGGTGAGGATTGATATATTTAAAGTGAATGGTCTGGAAGGCAAGGAAGCTCATTCCAACAGATTCATGCTACATTGTTTAGTGACAAATAAGGGGAACAGAACAGAGAAAGTGATTTCAGCTATAAATATAGGAGATAATAAAATCCTTTAGTAAACAGTATCTAAGCCTTGTTTTTATGATATTGGGGAACAGTAACAGATCAAAGTACTGTAGTCTTCAGTATGCAGACCTTTCACTTTCTTAGTTTATTCCAGGGTCTTTTTTTTTTTTGCTGCTATTACAAATAGCATTGTTTTCCTAATTTTTGTTTAAGATAGTTCATCGTTGGTATAGAAATGCCATTGATTTTTGTATGTTGATTTTGTATCCTCCAACTTTACTGAATTTATTAGTTCTAACAGTTTTTTGATGGAGTCTTTAGGGTTTTCTATGTATAAGATTATGTCATCTGCAAACAGCAACAATTTTACCCTTTGTTTTCAACGTGAGCGTCTTTTATTTATTTTTCTTGCCTAATTGCTTTAGCTAGGACTTCCAGCACTAAATTGAATAGAAGTGATGAGAGTGGGCATGTATGCCTTGTTTCTGGTCTTAAAGAAAAACATTTCAGTTTTCCATTATTCGGTATAATGTTAGTTATGGGTTTTTAAAAATATATATGACCTTTATTAGGTTGAGGTACTTTTCCTCTATTCTTAGTTTATTGAATGTTTTTCTCATGAAAGTGTGTTAAATTTTGTCAAAACCTTTTTTACATCCATCAAATGATTATGTAATTTTTATCCTTTATTCTGTTAATGGATTATCACATTAACTAATTTTCATATCTTGAAGCATACTTGCATCCTAGGAATAAATCCCACTTTGTCATAGTCTTTGATCCTTTTAATATAATGTTAAATTTGGTTTGCCAGTATTTTGTTGAGGATTTTTGCATCTATATATTCATCAAGGATATTGGGCTGTAATTTTCTTTTCTTGTGGTGTCTTTGTCCGGCTTTAGTATAAAGGTAATTCTGGCTTCATAAAATAAGTTAGAAAGTGTTCTCTCTTCTTTGATTTTTTTGGAAGAGTTTGAGAATAATTGGCATTAGTTTTGTTAAATGTTTGGTTGAATTCACTAGTGAAATTATTTGGTCCTGGGATTTTCTTTACTGGGAGTTTTTTGATTACTTGTTCAATCTTTACGCTAGTCATAGGTCTGTCCAGTCTTTGTATTTCTTCATGATTTAGTCATCATGTATTCATGGGTTGTAAGACTTAATATTCTTAAAATGCCCATATTACCCAAAGTGATCTATAGATTCATGCAATCCCCATCAAAAATCCCAGTGGCATTTTTATTTACAGAAATAGAATAATTCTAAAATTCATCTGAAGCCACAAAAGACAATGAATAAACAAATCAATCTTGAAAAAGAAGAACAAAGCTGGAGGCATTATACTTCCTGATTTCAAAATATCCTGCAAAGGTACAGTAATCAAAACAGTATGTTACCAGCATAAAGACAAACACACAGACCAATAGAACAGAATAGAGAGCTCAGCAACAAATCCGTGAATATACAGTCAACTGACATTTGGCAATGGTGCCAAGCATACTCAGTGGGAGAAATGATAATCTCTTCAACAAATGGTGTTGGGAAAACTGAATATCCACATGCAAAAGAATAAAATTGGACCCTATCTTATACCAAAAATCAACTCAAAATGGATTATTTAAATGTAAGACTTGAAACAGTAAAACTCCTAGAAGTAAACAGAAGAGAAAGTTTCATGACATTGCCCTTGGCAATGATTTCATGTACATAACAACAAAAGCACAGGTAATAAAAACAAAAATAGACAAATGGGACTACCTCAAATTAAAATGTTTCTGCACAGCAAACGACCAACTGAATGAAAAGGCAATCTATGGAACAGAAGACACGGGGTGACATGAGACCACTTTGGCAAATCAGAATGCTCATTCCATTTGGCCACCATGATTGGTTTTAGAAATGGACTTGAAGCTCAAAGAAAGCCCATAATATATTCCTTAAGATTTGAATATAGAGGCTGGAAGAAAGATTTTTTTCTTTCTCTAGGATGACAAGTTATATATAATAAGCCTGTAGGCCAATATCTGCTGGCAGCCACCTTTCCCAGGTATATGGATGAAACTATCTGAAGGATGAAGCCTCCATTCACAGAAAATCAGAGCTGTAAAGGGAAGAGGATATCCTGATGAATTTTTTTCTTGGATTGAGCCATGTCTGAAGTCAAGCCAACTTTTGAAGTATCCTATAGTACTTATATATTGCTTGGTAACAAATTATGCCAAAATTTAGTAGCTTAAAACAACAAACATCTATTATCTCATGCATTTCTGATATAGATATAGGAGTGACTAATCTGGGTGGTTCTGGGTCAGAATCTCTGGTGAGTGTGTAGGCAAGGTGTCAGTAGGGGGCTGCAATTATCTAAAGGCTTGCCTGGGGCTGGAGACGCACTTTCAATGTGGTGTACTCACGTGGCTGTTGGTTGGAGGCCAAATGTGCTAGGCAAAGCCTCATGCACATTTCTCTGTAAGGAAACAAAGCTGGCTTACTTGGGGGCAGGATTTTTTTTTTTCCCAGTTGTTCTTCAAAATGAAGTTTCCCGCTCCAAGTCCCAGCCAGATATGTGAAAAACAATCCTTGCAGAACAACCCTATTAGCAGTTCTGCAAGGATTTTTAGGAACCGTATTAGCAAGTTCCTCAGTTCCTCACCATGTGAACCTCTCTTCACGACTTAGTAACTGGCTTCCTCTAGAGTGACTAATCCAAGAGACAGCAAGGATTGACAGCCATGACAGCACAGTGCCTTTCATGACTTACTCTCCAAAGTTACAAACCTTTACTTTTGCTTTATCTTATTTGTTAGAGCAAGTCACTAAATTTGCCCACATCTAAGATGAGGGTATTTGGGCTTCACCTCTTGAATGGAGAAGCACCCAAAAATCTGTGGCCTTTTTTTTTAATTACACTCTCAGTTACATGAATCAATAAATTCCATTTTTGGCTTAGCTTCTATTGGGTTTCTATCACTTGCAACCAAAGTGCCCTAACCAGTATCTACATCTGAGTCATTAAGAAAGTTTCAGACAGGGCTGGGCGCGGTGGCTCACACCTGTTAATCCCAGACTTTGGGAGGCCGAGGCAGGCGGATCACGTGGTCAGGAGATCGAGACCATCCTGGCTAACACGGTGAAACCTTATCTCTACTAAAAATACAAAAAATTAGCCGGGTGTGGTGGCAGGTGCCTGAAGTCCCAGCTACTCGGGAGGCTGAGGCAGGGGAATGGCGTGAACCCGGGAGACGGAGCTTGCAGTGAGCCGAGATCACGCCACTGCGCTCCAGCCTGGGCGACAGAGTGAGACTCAGCTTCAAAAAAAAAAAAAAAAAAGAAAGTTTCAGATATTATTGTTTATTGCTTTTAATCTAGTGAATTCATAAATCGTCACTTAACTCAAGCAAAACAATGTTACTCTCTTTGTACATTGTACAGATGCAGGATAACAATGCAGTGTTATCCTGCATCTGTACAATCAAGCACCCAAACTGGTTCTGTAGAGGCAGGACCTTAGCATATAGCAGAGATAACTTATCTTCCAGCAGATCCGGAGCTCCATTTTGTAGACAGAAATGAATGCTCTGTGCCACAGAAGGAGCTGTTGCACTATTCATTCCCGTTTCCTCCCATTCACTCTCCACATCTCCAATCCTGGCATTGTCTGCTTTGTTACTTGTTAAAAACTTGATTTCGTAGATTGCTTTAAAATAAGAACAAAATGTACTTTGACACACATCATTTTGTTTGGTTCTCATTAATTTTGAGAGAAAGGCAAGATAGATATTTAAATGACCCCTATTTTAGTGGTAAACAAGCTGAAATTAGATAAATAAAATGATTTGCCTAATGCCTCATGAGTGATTTGCTTTCTTTTAAATACTTTAGGAGAATGTTTGGGGATTAAGTCTCAAGATAATAAGGGCAAGTCAGAAAATACAACTTACCTGTCTTTTCTTTTCAAAACTTTTTTGAGAGAAGGATATAATGCGTGGAGTTCAGAAAACCCATAATTTGTATAGCATTGATGTAGCCCATTCACAATCTAGGATTTTTGATATACGTGAGCAGTCATGGTGGAGTGGGTCAGACCAGGCATGGCTCAGCTTCGTACTTCAGGCCACACTGTTCAATCTGTTCACTTGATCCACATGCTAGGATGTGAGAATTTTTCTCTTACATCCTTTCGCTGGAGCCATTTTGGCTGTGCTTATGGTAGTGACAGAGTTTCAAAGAAGAAGAGCCCATAATGTCTCCCAGGCATACTACAAAGGAAATATAAGTCATCAAATAGTTGAATCTGGATCTGGGCCAGGATAACTCGACTCTTCTTATAGAAGGTGCCATGGGATCTATAGTGATGGCAGGTGATGGAAGAAGTGGGTCCCCTCAGCTTTATGTCTTGTCTGAAAGATGATAACCATGCTAATAAATTTAGTGCCACATTCTTTACAGTGTGCTCATCCGACCCCTAGAACAAGGCCATAAACCATAATGGAGTCCATGATGCTTTCAATTATTAGACATTCATTTCTGCTTTTCACTTTCTTTCTCTTCTGCCAAAATTTGGCTTTATTGATTACACTTTATGGAAGGATGGAAGAGGGCAGGGGTAGAAAAAAGGCCCACTTTTTAGAAATCTGAGAAGAATTATATGTCTGTCAAAATAAAATCCCGGCTCTCTAATGGAGGAATACAAAACATTTTTGCTATTGTATCTACCATAAATACACAGATATAATGAGCAGAGCCTGGTTGGGGGCATTCTTGAGTCTTTTCAGAGCCACAGGTTATTTTATGTTAACACCCTCATTAAGAAAATCATTAAGTTTTTCTTTTAGTAGTTAGTAGTGAGGATATGTACAACCCCACTTCTGGCTTTTTTTTGAGAGCAGGAAGGCATACAGAAAAGTTTATGGAATGTGGCATTGAGCTCCAGAGAGAGGCTCTGTTTGTCAAGGAAAAAGGGAACAGAATAGAGGTGGGTGTTAAAGAATATTTTATTTGGATTTCTTGCCCTGATACTTGACACCGAAAACGTGCCGTTCCAGTTGTTGGAAGGAAGACTGGAAGAGCTATTTTATTCCCTGCTGGTCTATTCTTTTGTATTTTATTAAACATTTTAACTAGTCACCTCCTTTCCAGACACACTGTTAACAATTGAATGCCACATCCATACCAAATTCTCACCCATGACTCAAGGGAAGCTGGACACTATTCTCAAAATAGAAGTAACGAGCCATTAGTGGTGATGAAATACTAGATGGAAAAATCTCAATTCCAACTCCCTCCAGGAACTGAAGACTCTAAAATATTCTTCTACCCTGAAACCTGTCTTGCAATCAAATTAAGATCTCCTCACTAATTTTTACCTCTCACCTGAGATTCCTTGTAT
This sequence comes from Homo sapiens, assembly GCF_000001405.40. NCBI lineage: Eukaryota > Metazoa > Chordata > Mammalia > Primates > Hominidae > Homo > Homo sapiens. Next base: position 4,798,796 of record NW_011332701.1, read on the forward strand.
TTGTGAATGAAAGTCTTTCATCAGCAATAAAGGGTATGCTTAGTGAATAATGAATTAAGATTGTGGAAGAGAATCATGTCTTTTGGAGAAGACGATCAGTCTAGGATGATGCAAAATCTCTTGGTGATTTTTCTTTTTTTAACTTTTGGCTGGCAGTGAAAGTTTTCCCTGAAAGATTAAGGTAGGTGAAAATAGGTGAGGAGAGGAAAAGGCTGAGGTAGTAAGTAAAGAGACAATTTTGATTTGTTTTGTAAGTTTCCAGAAGGTCCCTAGGCAAGTAGAGAACCAAAATCAGTAGAAGGAAATTGCAATGGAAGGGAAATATACAAGTGGGACTGAGCAGCATAGCAATTTGTGAAGCCCTTTAATAGAAACCTTATCCACTATATTGGAGAATGAGTGAACCATGTCAGTAGTCAAAGAATGCTGCCAAGAGCTCTATGTGATATTCTAAATACAGAATCCATATTGCCATTGTCTGCATTCCTTTCTAGACTTTTTGGAGTGAGGAATTAGTGAGCGTTGTAATGAGGAAGTACTGAGTAATTGGAAAATATTGTTAATTGTGGCGCTTCCTTCTTTGATTGCTGTCTCTGAAACAGTCTGAAAAAATAATCCTATCCTGCGTTTTTGCGATTTGTTCATTATAACAAATGAAGTCAGAGCCATGTGCGCTGTTTCTGGTTGTGGATATTAAGAAAGGCCTTTAAATTGAATCATGTCTATATTTTTGTTCGTTTGTTTGTTTTGAGACAGAGTCTTGCTCTGTCACCCAGGCTGGAGTGCAATGGCGCAATCTCGGCTCACTGCAAACTCTGCCTCCCAGGTTCAAGTGATTCTCCTGCCTCAGCCTCCCAAGTAGCTGGGATTACAGGTGCCTCCCATGGTGCCCAGTTAATTTTTGTATTTTTAGCAGAGATGGGGTTTCACCATGTTGGCCAGTTTGGTCTCGAACTCCTGACCTCAGGTGATCCGCCCATCTTGGCCTTCCAAAGGGCCAGGACTACAGGTGTGAGCCACCGTGCCCAGCCATGTATACAATTTATACAGACATTAAGCAAATTCCTAGTCGAAGAGCACAATTGACCTTGCTTTCAAAGCTTCCATTAGAAAAAAATGTATGGTAAGACAAATCTATGTTTTTATAACCAAAATGGGAGAAAGGAAGCACACAAGTTTTCAACTACGTATTTGGTGACTCAGTCTCACATTGTGATTTGGGCAAAAACAGAGTCAAATAATCTAACACGGATGTGTCTCCTCAACTAAGTTAGCTTTGCAAACCAGAAAGTTCTAGCTTTGGGGGATGGGCCTATACAGGAGGGGTCAGTGGACGGGGCCATGTGACGACAACATGGCCGTGGCTTTGGGTTCTTGAAGCACTCACAGATGACCAAAGAGGCACAGGAACAAACTCATCAGTACATTTTTATGTGATCCTGTAGAGCTTGTTTCTTTTTGAGAGTGTCGGGAGGTTTGGCTGATTCACCCAATATGCCTCAAGTGGGAGCTGAAAAAGCCATGTTCTCTAGACACCAAAAATGAGAGTGGATGAATTCAGCAATTGGTAGGTAACATGATCTGCCTTTTGTAGCAAGCCAGAAGCCAGATGTCCCCTCCCCTTTGATCTGAATAACACTTTAGGCTGCAGACAATAAGATTGGTTTTAAATTTATTGTCTCTTTGATTTCTGCATTCTAATGCTTTTTAAATTCTTTACACAAGACAGGGCTATATATAGGCAACTGGGATGGTTCAATGGAAGCCAAAAAAATACCAGTAGCTTATGAGAAGTGCTAGGCAAAGTCTCATGCACATTTCTCTGTAAGGAAACAAAGTTGGCTTACTTGGGGGCAGGATTTTTTTTTTCCAGTTCTTCAAAATGAAGTTTCCCGCTCCAAGTCCCAGCCAGATATGTGAAAAAAAATCCTCGCAGAACAACCCTATTAGCAAAGCAGTAAAGCAGAAGAATCTGATTTAAATGAAATACACCAAATCAGAATGTCTTCCTTCTCTAAGTCCTCTATGACTTTCATCCCAGTTAAAGTTTTATTCCTGTCCTTGTTGATGCAGCCTGTGTCGGGCAATCAGATGACGAGGCCAAGAGTTTGATTTCATTCATTCTGTTGATGGTGAAGATGCAAATATCTGAACCCAATCTCATCCCATTGACAGAAGGTAAATGGCATTTGGAAATCTCCTTTTTTTGTCTGCAACAGAGTCTTACTCTGTCACCCAGTCTAGAGTGCAATGGTGTGATCTCAGCTCACGGCAACCTCAATCTCCAGGGTTCAAGCAATTCTCCTGCCTGAGCCTCCTGAGTAGCTGGGATTACAGGTGCACACCACTACGCCCAGCTAATTTGTGTATTTTTAGTAGAGATGGGGGTTTCACCATGTTGGCTAGGCTGGTCTCGAACTCTTGGCCTCAAGCGATCCACTTGCCTCGCTCTCCCAAAGTGCTGGGATTAAGGGTATGAGCCACTGTGCCAGTCTCCTTTAATTAATCTTCAGTGAATACTACTGATGAGGCATTCAACTGAATCTGTAAAAACATTTGGCCACGATTTTGCCCTCAAGTGGATCAAACCACGGACAATTGCCCCAAGATGTGAGCCTGCTCTAGAGAACACCAGTTCCGTAGCAGGAGAAAGGGTTCAAGTCTCAATACATCATGTTTTCACTGCAGCTATGTGACCTTGAGTAAATCATGGCTTCTCTTCATCTATTTTCTCTTCTGGAAGAGTAGGTAAACTCAGATTGGCCTAACATTCTATTAAATTAAAAAGTCCTTCTACAAACAGAATGTTATTGGAGCCAAATAACCGCACTGTAAGGGAGCCAGGGCAGCACTGTCCTTCATACTTTAGGATGAAGAAGCCGAGCCCAAGGGGTCCACGAGTACTGGAAAGCCTTGTGACTGGTTGGAGACAAAGGCAATACTGTGACTCAGATCTCCTGACATCTTCTATCTCTCTCTCTCTCTCTTTTTTTTTTGAGACGTAGTTTTGTTCTTCTCACCCAGGCTGGAGTGCAGTGGCGCGATCTCAGCTCACTGCAAACTCCACTTCCTGGGTTCAGGAGATTCTCCTGCCTCAGCCTCCCGAGTAGCTGGGATTACAGGCGCTTGTCACCACACCTGGCTAATTTTTGTATTTTTAGTTGTATAGTTAGGGTTTCACCATGTCGGCCAGGCTGGTCTCGAACTCCTGACCTCAGGTGATCCGCCCATCTTGGCCTCCCAAAGTGTTGGGATTACAGGCGTGAGCCACTGTGCCCCGCCTCTTCCCTCCTTCTGTCCACTTAGTAAGACTCACTCTACACTCTGCCTCTCCACCTGTGTACTATGAGGACCAGAGGTTTTGTCTGTAAGAAGCGTTTGCAAACACATGCTGCCATTACAGCACAATTCTGATTCTTCTCCTCAGGAATCCCCTATGAACTTCTAGTGGAAAGACAAGCCATGAAAGCAGTCATTGAGGTGAGGACTGAAAAAACAAACAGCAAAGGCTGATTTTATTTTTTTCTGTGCCAGTGGTGCAGCTCACCTTTGCAGCATGAAAGCAGAGTTCGGTGTGCCCCTTTGTGTCAACACATCTATCAGATTTTCCAGTCAGTTTTCAATCAATTCCTTGGATATCAGGTATTAGGCCATAAAGCATTTCTTTCCACTTTATGGTTCTAAAATATAAACTATGGCCACAGCTGAAGCTTTTAAGTCTGATGGGGATGGCTCCCAAGAGAGGCTCTTCAGAAGCCTAAATAATAGTCTGAAGTGGGTATAAATTTGGGAGGAAACACAGACCCTCACTGCACTGACACTCAAGTCTCCCTAGGATATTTTCTTAGTGCTCACAAAGGACTCCCCTAGAGGTTTTGAAGAAATATGAAGAAACTATAAGACCCAATCTGTATACCCAAGGGTATTACAGACAATATGGTAGCAAAAGCACTTAAAAAAGATCTGTGAAGTCAGCACCTGCAACAATCTATCTGAACAACTCTACATGGAGATATACTCACACACAGTGGTGGAAGTGCAGATGTGGCTGGATTTGCTCATGTTTTGAATAGAGGTCTCTTAAAATGACTGTTTCAAGGTGTCCTTTCAGACCTGGGGGTTACCTGCTTCTTCTCTATATTTTTCTGCTTTTCAGAAAAATTCATCCTATCTGAATGAAGACTTTCAATATGTGGAATGAATGCCATACAGGTTCTGACTACATGATCAAAATTACTTATGTAACTTTGGGCCTGAGAAAGAATTGTACAGGGGACTACAGGATTTTATCCTAAAGGACCAGAATCCCTCTTTTTATTCACTTCCTGAGAATGAGCATGATTTCTTAGTTCAAATACACAGGCTGTCCCGCTGACTCCCAATCACCCAGATGGAAATGAGTGGTGTCAGTGCTGTGTGCAGGAAGCAGGATGTTACTTTAGACTCTGTGTGCAGGAGAGATGGCCGTAGTAACAAATTTATGTGGGTCTGGCCTTTCAATCCTGGAATTCAAATGCGCATGAGGTTGCAAAGGGGCCTGGAAATTCAATTGCCATCCCTTGACCTAGCCCAAAGCAAAACATGAAGAAGGTAACCAGGAGACACCACTGTAAATTGAAATCATCTGGTGTACATAGCATAGGGATATATAAACATGAAGTTTAAAGCATATAGAATTCTCCAGTGCCACTATCTTATAGGGTATGACATTTGTTCTTTCTAAAGTGCTACTGATATAATTTGATTCTTATAACTTTGTGAAGTAGGGAGGTGAATGTACATTTGGCAGATTGAGAAACCAAGATTCTAAAAGGTCAAGCGACTTGCCTAAAGTCATAAATGAGAGCTATGACAGTACCCCAACCTTCCAATGCCCTAGGATCTTTTTCTTTCTTTCCTTCCTTCATTCCTTCCCTCCTTCCTCTCTTTCTTTCTTTTTTCTCTCTCTCTCTCCTTCCTTCCTTCATTCCTTCCTTTCTTCCTTCTTTTTTTTCCCCGCATAATTTGATCTGCATTAGCCTCCAAAACTCCTTGGATTGGAATAAAATATGGCTCCTGTATTTTGTTTTGTTTTGGTCCTTTAAAAAATGTCCTTTCTTTATCATGCTTTATCATATATATACAGAAAAAGACACAAAATGAAGCAGAGCTTATTGAATTATTTTCAAAGACTTTTGTAACATCGCCAGCACGGTGGAGGTCCTTTGAGTGTACTGAGCCAGGAGGGCTTCATGGACATGAGACAGGATCCTGTGCTTAGCAGACCTCACACCTTGGTTAGTGTTCTACTGAAACTGTTTTAAAATTCCTAATAATTTATGAACAAGGAATCTTATATATTCATTTTGCACTGGGCCTGTCCAATTATGTACCCAGTCATGCTCCTACCCAATCACATCTCCTTCTCCCTCACAAATACCCATTATCCTAACTTTCACGGGTCCCTTTTTTGCTCTTCTGTATTGTTTTATCACCTCGGTATGCATATCTGCACATTATAGTTTACCTGTCAGAATTTTCTGTAAATGGAATTGCATGGCATATTATCTTGTGTGTCAACCTTGTTGGTGAGATTCAACCATTTGTTATTTGCACTTGTCTCATTCCTGTATAACATTTTCATCTGTGAGTATATCATAATTTTAAAAATATATTCTATTTTTGATGGAAATTTGAGAGATTTCTAGTTTTGGCTATTATGAATAAGGTTGTTATAAAAATTGTTGTATGTGTATCTCCGCACCAAAGTGCATCTGCTCCCATTGAGCATTTTACCTGTGAGTGGAATTTTGCTAGGTTATAAGGTGTGTGTTTGCTCAGCTTTATGGATAATGCCAAGTGTTTTCCAAAGTCATTGTCTCAATTTACACTCCCTCCAACAGCATCAGAGGATTTTCTTGTGCCACATTTTCACCAACGCTGGATGTTGTTGGTTCTTTCAATTTCAACCATTCCAGTGGGTGTGTATTAAATCACACTAATAATCTCATTGTGATTTTTTTTTTTTTTTTTTTGGAGACGGAGTCTCTGTCGCCTAGGCTGGAGTGCAATGGCACAATCTCAGCGCACTGCAACCTCCGCCTCCTGGATTCAAGCAATTCTTCCGCCTCAGCCTCCCGAGTAGCTGGGATTACAGGTACCCGCCATCGTGCCTGGCTAATCTCATTGTGATTTTTATATGGTCTTCCCTGATCAGTAATGAGGTTGAGTATCTTTCCAAAAATTTATTGGCCATTTGGCTATCTCCTTTTGTGTAGTTTCTTGCTGATTCTTTTATTAGTTGGGGTCTTTTCTTATTAATTTATGAGTTCTTTATACATTCTGATGACAGTTCTTTATCAGAACCATGTAGCAAATAGCTTCTCCCAGTCTTTACCTTAATAGGAGAGAAGTTCTTACTTTTAATGTAGTAAAATTTATCCAATTTTATGGTTGGTAACTTTTTGTGTCCTAATTAAAAATATTTTCCTTTCACAAATCATGAATACAGTCTTTAAAAAACTTGATTCCTTTGCTTTCACATGTAGACCTACAAAGCACCTGGAAACTGATACTTGCACGTACATATTAGCTAGAGGTCAAGTTTTTTCTTATATAAATGTACCATTATCCCAGAACTATTCATTGCAACAGCTTTTCTGCATTTCTCTAGAGTGGCATTTGTGTAATAGATCGTATAGTTATATATAGGTCTGTTTGGGGAGTCTTTATTGTATTCTATTTGTCTATCCTTGTACCAAATTCACACTGTTATAGTAGTTATATAGTTTCAAAAAAATCATGATATCTGGTAGAACACATTTCTGACAAACTTGTTCTCTTCTTCAAGATCATCTTGGCTACTCTTGACACTTTGCAATTACATTCAGATATTAGAATCAGCTTGTCAAGTTTTACAATGATATTTGCTGGGATTTTAATATGCAACTGCATCGAATCTATTTATTAGTTGGGGGGCGAATTAACATCCTGAAATGGACTGAATGTTTATGGCCCCCCAAAATTCACATGCTGAAATTCTAATCCCCAATATGATGGTTTTAGAAGGTGATTTGGGAGGGAATTAGGTCATGAGAATGAAGCCCTCATCAATGGGGTAAGTGCCTTTATAAAAGATACATCAGATAGCTCTTTCACCGTACTTTCACCATCTGAGAATATGAGAAGTCAGTTGTCTGCACCCTGAAAGAGGGTCCTTACCAGAACCTGACTATGCTGGTCCCCTCCCTGATCTTGGACTTCCAGACTCCAGAAACTGTGAGAAATAAATATTTATTGTTTAAGCCTCCCCATCTGATATAATTTGGATATTTGTTCCTTCCAAACATCATGTTGAAATTTGATCCCCAATGTAGGAGGTGGGGCCTAATGGGAGGTGTTTGGGTCATGTGGATGGATCCTTCATGAGTAGATTAATGCCCTCCTTCTGGGTGAGTTCTCGCTCTAATAGTTCCCACAAGAGCTGGTTGTTAAAAAGATCCTGGCACCTGCCAGGCGCAGTGGCTCACGCCTGTAATCCCAGCAGTTTAGGAGGCTGAGGCAGGCGGATCACGAGGTCAGGAGTTCAAGACCAGCCTGACCAATATGGTGAAACCTAGTCTCTACTAAAAAATACAAAAATTAGCCGGGCGTGGTGGCACCCGCCTGTAGTCCCAGCCCAGGAGGGAGACTGAGGCAGGAGAATCGCTGGAACCCGGGAGGCAGAGTTGCAGTGAGCCGAGATCACACCACCGCACTCCAGCCTGGGAGACAGAGTGAGACTCTGTCTCAAAAAAAAAAAAAAAAAAAAAAATCCTGGCACCTTCCCCTTCTCCCTCTTGCTTCCTTCCTCTCCCCTTCACCTTCCACCATAAGTGGAAACAGCCTGAGGCTCTCGCCAGATGCAGGTGCTGGTGCCATGCTTCTTGTACAGCCTGTAGAACAATGAGACAAATAAGCCTTTTTAAAAAATAAATCACTCAGCCTCAGGTATTCCATTATAGCAACACAAAAGAGACTAAGAAACCATTTTTGGTAATTTTTTTCTTTCTTTCTTTTTTTTGGAGACAGGCTCTCACTCTGTCACCCAGGCTGGAGTGCAGTGGTTTGATCACGGCTTACTGCAACCTCTGCCTCCTAGGCTCAAGCGATCCTCTCACCTCAGCCTCCTGAGTAGCTGGGACCACAGGTGCACACCACCATGCCTAGCTAATTTTTGTATTTTTTGTAGAGATGGGGTTTCACCATGTTGCCCACACTGGTCTCGAACTCCTGGGCTCAAACAATCCACCTGCCATGGCCTCCCAAAGTGCTGGGATTATAGGCATGAGCCACCACACCCAGCCTATGGTAATTTCTTATAGTAGCCCAAATTGACTAAGACACATCCTACATACTCAATGTATAAATATGCTTATATCCCTCTATTTGTTTAGGTTTTTAATTGCTCACAATAGTGATTTATAATTTTCTATGTAGAAGTCATGTGTATACTTCATATGTGATTCCAAATGGCACTTAAACATTTTGTGGTTGGTTGTTGAGATATATATATGTGTGTGTGTTTATATACTATATAGTTTATCTTATATTCAAAACCTCTCTTATGTGCTTATTAATTCTAACACTTTGTCTATAGATTATTTCAAATTTTGTGTGCATACAATATTATCTGTGAATAAGTTTTATTTTTTCCTTTCTAATTTCTACAACTTTAATCTTTTCTCTTAGATTATTGCACTGATTAGGATCTTCATTCAACATAACAGTGATTAGAGATAATAATAGCAGCATTCTTCTCTTGTTCTCAATCTCAAAGAGAAGCTTTCAGTATTTCATCATTCAACATAATGCTCAATTAGGTTGTTTTATGAATACATATTTATCAGATGCATTTATTCTAGTTTGGTAAAAGTATTTTTCCATTATTAATTCATGATGCATTTTATCCGATGTTTTTGGGGAGCATCAATTGAGATGATAATTTTTCCTCTTTACTCTGTTACCATGGTGAATTAAATTGCTTGATTTCTCAATATTAAACAAAACCATTGAGTTCCTGGAATTATAAAGCCAATTTAATCATGGTATATCATCTTTTTATATATTAGTTGAACCCAGGTTGCTAATATTTTGTTTAGGATTTTTGGATCTAAGCTTATGACTGAGAATCACCTGTAATTTTCCTTTGTTATGTGCCTTTATCAAATTTTATTATCAAGATTATTTGATCATCTTTCTTTTTTATTCTCGAGAAGAGTTTGTGTAAGTTTCATGTAATCTCTTCCTTAAATGATTGATGAATTTTTTAAGTGAAAGCTTTGGGTTTAGTTTGATTATGTTTAATAATTTTAGAAAGATTCAGATATTCTATTTTTTTGTTAGTTTTGGTGAATTGAATATTTTTAGAAGAATGTTTCGATTTCATCTAAATTTTAAAATATGTTGGGTTAAAGGTTTTTAAAATCATCTTTTTAATCTTCTACAGGCTCTATAGTGATGTTCCATGGGTCCCTTCTTTCACCCTGATTTCTTTTTTTGTTTGTTTGTTTGAACCATTCCCACCTTCACCCCCTCCCCACCTCCTGGCCCCACACTACCCTTAGAGCCTCTGGTAACCATCCTTCTACTCTCTATGTCCAGGAGTTCAACTGATTTCATTTTTAGATCCCACAAATAAGTGAGAACATGTGATATTTGTCTTTCTGTGCCTGGCATATTTCACTTGGAATAATGATCTCCATTCCATTCATGTTGTTGCAAATGACTGGATCTTGTCCTTTTGTATAGCTGAATAGTATTCCATCATGTATATGTACCACATTTTCTTTATCCCTTCATCTATTGATAGACAATTAGGTTGTTTCTAAATCTTAGCTATTGTAAACAGGGCTGACAGTGCTGCAGCAAACACTAGAGTGAAGACAAACCTTCAACAAAACTGGTTTACTTTCTTTTCGGTATATACTCAACAGTGGGGTTGCTGGGTCATATAGCAGCTCAATTTTTAGTTTTTTAAAGAACTTGCAAACTGTTCTCCACAGTGGTTTTACTAATTTACATTCCCAACAACAGTGTACAAGTGTTTCCTTTTCTCCACATCCTCGCCAGCGTTTGTTATTGCCTGTCTTTTGGATATAAGCCATTTTAACTTGGGTGAGATAATAGCTCATTGTAGTTTAGATTTGCATTTCTCTGATAATCAGTGATGTTGAGCACCTTTTTCATACGCCTGTTTGCCATTTGTATGTCTTCCTTTGAGAAATGTCTGTTCAATTTGCCCATTTTTGGATCAGATTATTATATTTTTTCCTATACAGTTGTTTGAGCTCCTCGTATATTCTGGTTATTAATCCCTTGTCAGAGAAGTAGTTTGCAAATATTTTCTCTCATCCTGTGGGTTGTTTCTTCACTTTGTTGGTTGTATCCTTTGCTGGGCAGAAGCTTTTTAACTTGATGTGATTCACTTACCCATGTTTGTTTTGGTTGCCTGTGCTTGTGGGATAATTCTCAAGAAGTCTTTGCCCAGACCAATGTCCTGAAGATTTTCCCAAAAGTTTTCTTGTAATAGTTTCATGGTATGAGGCCTTAGATTTAAATCTTTCATTAATTTTGATTTGATTTTTGTATGTAGTAGGAGATGGGGGTCTAGTTTGCTTCTTTTGCTTACGGATATCCAGTTTTTCCAGCACCATTTATTGAAGAGACTATCTTTTCCCTAGTGTATGATCCTGGCACCTTTGTCAAAAATGAGTTCACTGTAGGTGTGTGGATTTGTTTCTGGGTTCTCTATTCTGTTCCACTGTTCATGTGTCTGTTTATATGCCAGTACCATGCTGTTTTGGTTACTATAGCTCTCTAGTATAATTTGAAGTCAGGTAATATATTCCTCCAGTTTTATTCTTTTTGCTTAGGATAGCTATGGCTATTCTGGGTCTTTTGTGGTTTTGTATAAATTTTAGGATTGTTTTTTCTATTTCTCTGAAGAATGTCATTGGTATTTTGATAGGAATTTCACTGAATCTGTAGATTGCTTTGGGTAGTCTGGACATTTCAACAATATTAATTCTTCCCTTTTATGAACATGAAATATTTTTCCATTTTTTTTGGTGTCTTCTGTTCCTGCTTTCTGATATTCGTTCTCATGCTCTCATTTGACTTAGTCTTGCCAACGGTTTAAAAACTTTATTAGACTTTAAAAAATCATCTTTTGGTGTTAATTCTGTTTTCTACTTTAATTATTTCATTCTTCCCTTTCTTTTGATTCTACATGTTGTTATTTGTCTAATTTCTTTTTTCCCCCTAAGGTAGTTTTGTTATAGCATGCCTAATTTCTTGAGATTAATATTTTGTCTTGTTTTGTAATTATACACTTAAGATTATAACTTCCCTGCTAAACACTGATTTTGCTCTATTACGCAAGTTTTTCCACGAAAAATATTATCTCTCAGCTCAAAATATTTTTAAATTTTCATTGCGATTTCTTTTTACCCACTGGTCATTTAGAAGAACGTTTCTTACTGTTTATAAATGTAGAAATTTTCTAGTTTAAAAAGCTATTTATCTCCATTTTAATTGCTTTGCTTTCACAGAACATATTTTATAGTTTCAGTTATTTTAAATTCGTTGAGACTTGCCTTACGATCTAACACATAGTCAATTTTTGTAAACATTTGTATGTGCTTAAAGAGTTGTTGAGTGTTGTGTTCTATATATGTAGATTAGGTCGATTTATTAATCATGGTGTTCATGATCCTACTTCCTTCTAATTTCTCTCCGTGTGACCTGTCAGTTACTCCCACAGTGTTGGGTGGCTTTTTCTGTTTCTCCTTATAATTCTATTTTTCTATTAAATATTCAGAGACTATGCCATTACATAAATAAAAAATGAAATTGTTTTATCTTCCGAGTAAGTGAAGCCTTTTCTTAATGTGAAGTGTTCCTATTAATGTAATGCTTTTTTTCTTAAAGTATACTTTAGTGAATATTAATGTAGCTATATCAATTTAGGGCAGGGCTTCAGGTGACAAATTTTCTCTTTTGTGTGTGTGTCATTTGAACACTGAATAAATCATATAATTATCTTCTGAATTTCATGCTTTCACTTGAGAAATCAGCTAATGATCTAGTTTTTGTAACTTTAAATGGTATATTTATACACTTTTTATCCTTTCACTCTCACCCTTTCTGAATCTTTGTATATCCCATCAGTAGCTGTAAAGATTTTTGGTCTTCCCAAGAAATCCATTCTCACAGAATTTGTCTTTTAATTGGGGTATATAATTTATTTACTTTTAACATAATTACAAATATGAGTTTAAATCTACCATCCTACTATAAGTTGAGTTTTTCTTATCCAAAATACTTGGGACTACAAGTTTTTCAGATTTCAAATGTTTTTGGATTTTGGAATATTTGCACATATATAATGAGATATCTTGGGGATGAGACCCAAGTCTAAATGTGAAATTCATTTGTTTTATATATACCTTAAACACATAGCCTGAAGGTAATTGTATATATTTTAATAATTTTGTGCATGAAACAAAGTTTATTTACACTGAACCATCAGAAAGCACAGGTGCCATTATTTCAGCCACCTGTATGGACAATCTGTCATTGTTTGGCATCACCATCTTTACTGACTGAATTTATATGCAACCGAGAAGCAATCTTTTTCTTACACTTACTCACACAAGTACCCAACAGTAAAAACTAGGAGGTACCATGAATCCAGTGAAAAAATAATGTTCAGGGTAACTAAGCAGCACAGTAGCGTCACCAGAATACCTGTATCAGTTTTTAAACAATAGCAACCACAAAGAACGGCAAGTTTTCAATCTCTACTTTTGATGTGTGTTTCGATGAAAAGGTTACTATACACTGAATTTTACCTTTCTAGATGAGAAGAAACATTAGAAGCAGTTGAGAGACGAGGAAGTGGGTCCTCCAGGAATGAGGAGGCATTCTGCTGCATGGCTATTTTTAAATGGCTGGAGGGTCTGTTTTCCCTTGGAAATCCTGAATAAACTGAGGTTGTGCGTCTGCATTTTGACTACAACCCATCACATGAGGTGGTGTGGAATTTTCCACATATAACATCATATCAGTGATCAAAAGTTTCAGATTTTGGAGCATTTCAGATTAGGGATGCTCAACCTGTATAACAACTCTTTGATTTTAATGTCTTTTTTTCCCTGGATGCCTTTAAGATTTTATTTTTGTTTCTGTTTTCCTGAAGTTTAATTAAGATGCATCTAGGAGTGAATTTCTTTTCCTTTATACTGCTTGGGTTTCCGGCAGCTTCCTGAATCTGTTGGCTGATGCTTTGCTTTAGTTTTGGAACATTTTGCCATCAACCCTGCTAATATAGCTTTACTACTTCTGTTCTCACTGTATCCTCTACATTTCTTACCTTCTGTTCAATGTTTCATCTCTTTTGAGTTTCATTTTAGATTGTTTCTTCAGACCTGCTTTTCAGTTTACCAATTCTCTATTACTTTATTTCTAATTTGCTGTAACACCTATCCTGGGCATTTTTTTTTTTTTTTGAGATGGAGTCTCGCTCTGTCACCCAGTCTGGAGCGCAGTGGCGCAATCTCGGCTCACTGCAAGCTCTGCCTCCTGGGTTCATGCCATTCTCCTGCCTCAGCCTCCCCAACAGCTGGGATTACAGATGCCTGCCAACACGCCCGGCTAATTTTTTTGTATTTTTAGTAGAGATGGGGTTTCACCGTGTTAGCCAGGATGGTCTCGATCTCCTGACCTCGTGATCCGCCCGCCTCGGCCTCCCAAAGTGCTGGAATTACAGGCGTGAGCCACCGTGCCTGGCCCATCCTGGGCATTCTTAATTGGGATTACTGCATTTTTTTGGTTCTAGAATTTTTCTTTCTCCCAAATTTGCCCTGTAATCTTTTCATGGTTTTCAGTTCTTTGCCAAAATTTCCAATCTTTTCATTTTTTCTCCCTGAACATTGCAAGCTGATAGCTTCAATATGTCAAGCCTGTGCATGTTTTGTTCTATTGAGCATGTTTCCTACTAATTCTCATTCATGATTGTTGTTTCCTTGTATGCTGGTTTATCCTTGTGTGACAGAAATTTTATTTGAAAAATTGGTTTGTTTGTACAGATGTAGGATGACATTATATACCTCCAGAAAGGATTGTGCTGCTGTTGTTCCAGGCACTTGAGAGCACTAGCCATCTGGTATCGCCTTATTTCAGGACTATTGAAATTTCTGTCTGATAATTGTTTATTGTGGAAGGGATGTCCTATGCCTTGTAGGAAGTTTAGGAGTTTCCCTGGCCTCTCCCCACTAGATGCTAACAGCATCCCTTCCCAGTCCTGACTATCAAAGATGTCTCTAGACATTGCCAAATGTCCCTGGTACTTGAGAACCACTCCCTTAACCCAAAACAAGGTGATTTTATCAGGTTTAAACATAATGGTGCCTGATCTCACTTTTGTACCTCTAACACATCAAAGTTTCCCAGCCGCTCAGTAATCTTTTTTAGAATCCCTGGGTGGAAAGCAATGCCAAATGTCATCTTTATCTCTTTGATCTTCTCTCAAATCTTAGTTCAGTAATTTTTACTTTGTAAAGTCTTTCAAGTAAATTTTTAAAAATTGTCTTTCTTGTTGCTCTCAGTGAGGAGACCCATATTACCTACCATGCCTCAACATAGGATGAATCTACATACACACATTACTGCTGCCTGGACAACACCCTGCCATATCCTTTGATTTATCTGCAAATGTGGTTATAGGGCTTCCGTATTTACTGTCTGCTTCCCACATGGGTCATTATGCTGCTTGGAATAGGCTTTCTCTTTTTTGCCGTTCTTCAAGAGAAATGTCTAAAGAGCCAGTCTTCAGCTCTAAGTGTCAATGGCCTCTTCCCAAATAGAATGTGTTTAGTGTAAATGCCCATTCGTTTTTATTAGTGGTGTGTTTCCTCTTTGGTATATTGTAGGTCTTGAAGACAGGAGCTCATACGGTGCTTTCTACAATAGCTGCTTACAGAGCTTAAAAATCTTCTGGTCTAAACAGATGTGGAAATTGAAATGCAAAAAGTCCAAGTGAATAAATAAAGTACTGTTGTGGGCTAACTAGAACTGAAAGAATATCTCACCCCTAGAGGAACGGGAAAGGCCAGAATGAATCAACTCACATGCAGACTAAGTAATCGAGTGGCAAGGTTTGGGTTCAGGAAATGAGACAGTAATTTCCAATTGTGAAGTTCAAAAGGGGATGGTCCCAGGAAAAACAGTATTGGCTGTTTGTGTAGAGCACCTCGGACATAACTAACTCCATCTTAGAAAAAGACTTTACTTTATATTTCATAGGGCACTTTGCCAATAAGGATAACATGTTTTGTTTAATAAACATATAAAGAAATGAAGATTGCATCCAACCAGATAAGTTCACAAACAAGCACACTCTTCCACTATCAGTTTTCACCAGAGGACTCTGTGACCATAAAAAAAATTAAGCCTTCAGGAGCTTCAAACAGCCATCTTAACTGACACAGTCTTGCAGTCACTTGTAATAAAAACTTGGTATCTACCACTGAAGGCTTTGCCACCTCAGAGGCTCTTCCTTGCAAGACCTACTGTATTAGCCCATTTTCACGCTGCTGATAAAGACATACCTGAGACTGAGACATACCTTACATTTCCACATGGCTGGTGCGGCCTCAGAATCACGGCGGGAGGTGAAAGGCACTGTTTACATGGTGGCAGCAAGAGAAAAAGGAGGAAGATCCAAAAGCAGAAACCCCTGATAAACCCACCAGATTTCGTGAGACTTACTCACTATCATGAGAATAGCACGGGAAAGACCGGCCCCCGTGATTCAGTTACCTCTCCCTGGGTCCCTCCCACAACACGTGTGAATTCTGGGAGACATAATTCAAGTTGAGATTTGGGTGGAGACGCAGCCAAACCATATTATTCCACTCCTGGCCCCTCCAAATCTCATGTCCTCACATTTAAAAACCAGTCATGCCCTCCCAACAGTCCCCCAAAGTCTTAACTCATTTCGGCATTAATCCAAAAGTCCACAGTCCAAAGTCTCATCTGAGACAAGGCAAGTCTATTCTGCTTATGAGCCTGTAAAATCAAAAGCAAGCTAGTTACATCCTAGATACAATGGGGGTACAGATATTGGGTAAATACAGCCGTTCCAGGCCAGGCGTGGTGGTTCACACCTGTAATCCCAGCCCTTTTGGAGGCTGAGGCAGGCAGATCACGAAGTCAGGAGATCGAGACCATCCTGGCTAACATGATGAAACCCCGTCTCCACTAAAAAATAGAAAAAATTAGCTGGGCGTGGTGGCGGGCGCCTGTAGTCCCAGCTACTCAGGAGGCTGAGGCAGGAGAATGGCGTGAACCCGGGAGGCGGAGCTTGCAGTGGGCCGAGATCGCGCCACTGCACTCCAGCCTGGGAGACAGAGCGAGACTCTGTCTCAAAAAAAAAAAAAAAAAAAAAAGAGTGCCTCTATTCCAGAGAGGCAAGACAAACATGTCTGTGCTCCAATATGCAGATTGAGGGAGGGAAGATTTGGGGAAAAGTAGGAAAAAATTTGAAAAAGAAATCTAAAACCTAGATTTAGGACAAAAATTAGAACAAGGGAAGGAGGAGAAAGACTAGAGAGAAAAAACAGGGCAAGCTGCTGTAACAGATTGTATTTTCCAAAGATGGTCTCACCAATATACATCCCATCTTACATGCTCTTACAATGTGGCATTGACATTCTTCCATCAAGAGGCAGAGTCTAGTTCCCCACTTCCCCAGTCTGCACAGATCATTTATAAATAGCTCAATATGAAAGTGACTGGGTGTAGCTTCTGAGCTTTGGTCAGAAAGCACATTACATGTTTCACTTTGGACCACTCAAGACGCCCATGTGGAGAGGAACTGAGGCTTCCAGCTTAGAGCCAGCACCAACTTGCCAGCTGAGTCAGCTAACTAGAATGGGCATCTTCCAGTCCCACTCAAGCCATACAGTTTTCAGATGATGACAGGCTCATATTAATAATTTTTTAGATGACAGATATGTTAATGAACATATCACTACAACCTTATGAGACACTCCAAGTGATAACAGCCCAGCTGAGCCTTTCTCAAATTCTTGATCAACAAAAGCCAAGAGAAGTAATATTGTTGCTTTAATACACTAAATTTTGGGGTATTTTGTTATACAGCAATTAATAACTAATATATTTTCTCCTACAATTTATCATTGCACAATGATGGGCATGAAGCAAACATTACCTTCAGAAGATTTGGATTCAGTGGCATCTAATGTGCATGAAGGGCCAGTGGAGAACTTTAAAGTCTTTTATTTCCATAATGACAATCACAGCAAGGTGAAAGTGGGCAGCCGATCTGGGGGAGAATATTTAGCCTCAGGGATTTATAACCTGTGCTATGGTTTGAATGTTTGTCCCTTCTAAAACTCATGTTAAAGTTTAATTGCCGTTGTAACAGTATTAAGATATGGGACCTTTAAGAGGTGATGAGGCTATGAGGGCTCCACTTTGATGGGTGGGATTAATGCTGTATGAAAAAAGCTAGGCCCCCCCTTGCCTCTGTGGCCTGACTTCTGCCGTCTGATGATGCACCAAGAAGGTCCTTGCCAGATGCTGGCACCATGATATTGGACTTCTCAGACTCTAGAATTGTTAGACAATGCATTTCTGTTTATAAATTGCCCATTCTCAGGTATTCTGTTACAGGAACACAAAACGTACTAAAACAGATGTTAGTTGGACCATCAGCTTCATAGACTATTTAAAGACTAGGCAAAGATGTATACTCATTAGCTAAGCAAGGGAGGGTAAATCTTGGTTAGACCAGAGATGAGATTCTTCCTATGGTGTGCTGGTATTTTTTCCTGGGTCCTTATGACATCCAGGCCTCTACCCTCACATAGGTGTTGTAATTCAGAACACAAACCTAATAATGTTTCTCAAAAATGTTAGCGGCCTTTGGATTCTTCTTTTCAAAGAATAGTTCTAGAATATTTCTCCATGATAGAGTATTTTGAAGGAGAGAGCGGTCTAATTTGATGAATGAATCCATCAGTTGGAAGGGCTTTGGCCTTAGTGTCAAGAAATCTGGGTTCTAGTCTTGAAGTGTTCACCAACAGTAAGTGTGATTTTTAGCAATTCCCTTGAACTTCAGAAGTTTTACTGAGATATTTTCTCCAATGTCCAAAGATTTTTGCAGCTCACTGACTATGATTTAGAAGATTTTGTAGTGGTGAAATGTCTTCCTAGATAATAACTATGTATGTTCATTAAACATTGCTATACATAATAGGGTATATTGCAGCAAATATCTAGAACTGTAGCGTACGGCATTCAGGAACACCAAAGAAATGAATTAACTAAAAAGCACAATTACATTTGTATTTAAATAGAAGACTGTTTTGCTTAAAGTGTTTTATGTTTATAAAATACCTGCATGCTTCATATTATTCCTTGAAAAGAATGTGTACCTTGTGCTTAGTAAAAGAATCCATACAATTATGTTTCTATTCTGTTTCTCCAGTTTATTATTTTCAACCTATAGCCTGAAGTCACCAATCTCTTTGTGCCCCGTCCCTTGGGCAATGTATATTCAGGAAGTGTTGCTTTTGGGTAAGCCTTGTTGAGACAATGCCTGGCTGGTTTTGTCTGTTGGTTGTTAGCCTTGAATGTCTGGCCAAGTTGCCCACAGTTGATAGGGGACAAATGGGAGAAAAACGGAAATACCAACGATAGACTTCCTCAGACTCAGCTCTTGCAGCTCAGAATAGTGTACCTGAGTGGTAACGCAAGTTAGAAATGACTGGTGTTCTCCACATTACAGTACTACTGGGATATTGCTTTACATGCCTCCTGAAAACAAATCTGCATTGCACACCAGATGGACATGAAACCAAGATTTATTAAAATACCCTTAGCATATTTACAATTGAAAGCCATGAATGCAATTCTCTGTAAATTCCAAAAAATATAATTCTCTTAAAACAAATTAACAGAGGTATCAACAGATTAGGATAAATATAATCTATCACAGAGATAGAATTTTTTGAATAGACAATTGACGTTTTTCTAATCAATATATATTATGTACAAAAATACACTTGATATTGTGACCAAGTACTGTCAAGGAGGAAAAAATATATATATATAATACACACATTTTTATTATGTACAAATCAGTGTTGGTTCCTTCACTCTCTTTTTAAAAATAAATACTTCATTTGGTTGCAAATGACATTTATAAATTCAACTCATGAGCATTTCTCAGCTTTGACAAAATTAAATATGCAAACAAATTAGAAATACGTATTTTTAAAAATGCAAAGGGAAAAATACCTGAATCCAATGAGCTTATTATGCTTAAAAATATCCCAAGAGCGTGTAAGGTTTCATGTCTTTAAAGGGCCTTCTCCTTTCCCCAACTGTCTTCATTACTGCCTACAATCTTTTCAGATTATATCTACAGACTGGTCTAATACTTAATTAAACAGAAAAGCCTATGTTTTACCAGGTTAAATGGCTATTTAGGACATGCTTGCACTTTTAAGTGCTTTCAAGAGTGTAGCAGTTACTGTTCATCTGAAAATAACCAAGAAGTGTCAACATCCTGATTCAGAACAGGGGTAGATGTTTGAATCATGAATAGTAGTAAGAATGGAGCGGCAATAAAAATCCTTATGATTCAAAGTGTTTGCCTGCACAGAATTAAGTCAATTTGTCCAGCACCACAGAAAGTTACTTGAGATTCAAAAATCTGGCGTTCTGCATCATAGCTGGTGACCCGGTCTGATGTACAAATTTATCAAGAGAATGGCCTTAATTAGTTTAAGGTAAAATCTATGAGAAATTGAGAAGGCCTAGAATAAGAACCCCCCCCCCACCCCGCCCAATCTTCTTAAAATAAAATAAAAAGAGACGTATTTTCCATCTCTTTTATGGATTTTCCTTTTTGCTTAAGTGATGAGGTGATGCTGACATTAACAAGAGGCAGTCACAGCAGTGTGTCTCACATGGGCTCCTTGGTGACAGCGGAGCTCCCTGTCCAAACGGCTGAGGAACGGAGCACAGGGTGTGAGAGGATGGAGGAGGGGCCAAGGGAGCTACTCAGTTGTCTATGATGCAGAGGTGTGAAAAAATCTGGGTCTGGGGGAAACTGTAAAGTAGGAAAGAAATAGCCATGGAATATGAAGGAAAAGGACGAGGAAACAGAAGTATTGAAAGAAGAAAGTGAAACAAAGCTAGAAGTCAAAATGACTTTTGAACAGGCATGGAGTAAACAGGGTCTATGGTCAAGCAGCCCCATGGATCTGAAATTGTTGGAGCTGTTAAACCAAGCACAGACCAGTTTCACTGGGGTACCTGCTTTCCCAGTACATTGGCACTGATCAATACAAGATCAAGGGCACTCACATTTGCCTAATACAGATGCCTTGAATTTCCACGGAAAAGCTGTCCACGATACGACCATGGCAAAAAATCACCAGCTCCCTAACAATGTAATCTATCAGCAAAACATTGCACTAGCCTCGTTCAAATTTTTCTCCTCCATGCGTCCTTTTTTTCTTGCTCATCCCATTGCTTGCAAACTCACAAGATACCAGTTATATGAAGACATAAAACTGCATGGATCAGGTGCACTTTAGAAAGCAGCATCCAGGGTCCAGGGTGTCACTAAGAAAACTAAACCCTGAAGTACTTGAAATAATTTACATTTCTGCTAGGTCTGATTCATACTAGGATGTTGACTGCCTTCACTCAGGTTCTAGGCATGCAGGCCAGTGCTTATTTTCCAGGCCAAAGCACGATCCCCTAAATCAAAGTCCAAGGCCACCCTGCTTGCCATGCTAGTCTAAATGAAAACTCAATGAAAGAAAAAGACTATGATAAACCAATGTTTTCTCTAAAGATTCTTAAAAATTATCCAATTTCTAATTTTAAAAGTTTCTGCCTTTTTAGTATTTTAGATTGGTTCTTTAAAGGGAAGTTCTTTTTATTAATGCATACTCTCTTTGAAGATAAGACATCTAGCTGACAGTAGGGTCATATTACTTATGCCTTGGGAAATTACAGAATTGCACAATTATAAATTTAATAATTTTGGAGTAGACCTATCCCTTAGGTAGATCCCCAAAACCTATTTGTGTCATTGCGAGCAAACAGAAGAATTGATACTAGACTTTCCCTCTCACTCATGGATTTGTTTTCAATGGAAATGGAAGCCTTCCAAATATTATGCAGAACACAATCTCAGTGGCGCTGAGCTACCTTCTTTATGCCTTGTGGTCCAATGTATGAAGAAATAAGATTTTATCTAGAGACAAGTTAGCATGAAGCGAGGAAAAAGGAGATATTTATAATTCACAAAAACATCTAAAATGTAAAGATTTCAAATGTCCTTTTAGTCCCTTACTGGGAAGAGCAGTATAATTTTTGTATGCTATAAACTCCTTTTTATACATCTCCTATAAAGAAATCTGGAATTCAAAATCCATGCTAAGAGTTTCCAGAGTGTTCATCCCTCAACACTTATCATCCATGTCATGGGGAGGTAGAGAGTAATTTCCCTGAATAGCCAGTGGTCTATGGGACTAACCTTTCATTTGGGAAAGACAGATCTGGAAAGCGAACCCAGTTAACAGTCAAAAACACATTCGTTTCATAAGAGGAAAGTGGAAGAAAGCCCCTGAAGAGAACAATGAAGGAAAGCAGGTACACGTTTGCCAAGGACATTAACAAACAATTGCTAATGTGTGCCTGAAATCTGATTTCCTTCTTGATGTATTAAGATAATGCATTGGCAGCTCACACTATACATGGAGAGAAATATTCATATTAATTTAAGACGTTCTCATAGTTTCAAAGGTAGAGAGCCCCTCAGTGTCTGCACAGGTAGAATTTAGGAAAATG
Organism: Homo sapiens; assembly: GCF_000001405.40. Classification (NCBI taxonomy): domain Eukaryota; kingdom Metazoa; phylum Chordata; class Mammalia; order Primates; family Hominidae; genus Homo; species Homo sapiens. The sequence continues at coordinate 4,820,714 of NW_011332701.1, forward strand.
TTCAGCCTATGTGAGAGCTATAGTGTGGTAGAGGTTGTTTAATCCATGCCAAATTCTTTGGACGTGATTTTCTGCCTGAAACTATAGTCTTCTTTGCATTTTGCTGGCCCAATGTCATCAAGTTTCACACAAAGCTTGGAAAAATAGCCCACAAGTGTAGTTGGATCAGCCTTTAGAAAAGGAGACTAGAGATTCTCAGTATATTTAAGAGAAGATTTAAAAATAGAAAATTACATAAGCGTAGAGGGAATGTAGAAAAATAAATTGATGGCTATATCTAACACCTTCATATAAAAATGGAATAAAAGTCAATCTTCCCCACATCAAGAACTTCAGAGATGTAATATAAAGTCTGGAGTTCACATGAGCTCTTGACTGAAGGACACGATCCTATCAGAGAAAGGTAAGAGAGAAAAGGTCTTCTATGGCCCTGGTTATCACCATAGTTAGGAGAAGGGCTGGGGATAGAGGAGGAAATGAGTTCCGTAAGTTCCACCAGACAGCAGACCTACTGAATGAGGCTTAATTTGCTTCCCTAATCTCTCCATTGGTAGAAATTGCATAGTGGCTTAAGAGACAGTTAGCCAGCTGCCATTTTAATATCTTCATGTTTCCAAGTTGTTAACTACACGTTTCCCAAATCCTAACTTTATATCACAGTATTGGTTAAGAGTCTTGGAACAAATAAGGATACTGAATTGGCTTCAAATTTGACATGTTAAAACTCTCTTAAATTCATCACTTTCCAACAAAGCATTGATCTGGAAGTTCAGTAGATTGCCCATTCCTTGGGAAGGGAGATGAAGAATTGTGAAACCAAAATGCAGTGCCTCTAATAAGGTGTCAACAGCGGACAGGTGTGCAGAAATGACACAAAATGGGCTTCCCAGTCACAGACAAGCTGTGTAACTGAGCCCGGTTATGCCTGGATTCAATTGCTAATGGAGAGATGAATATCATTATGTAAGTCTAAAGAAGAAAGATATGCTAAGTCAAGTATTTGAAGATGCTTTTCTTTAAGCCACTTCTATACTAATAACAGTTTCCAGGCAGCTGGATTGTTTCTCTCTATAGCTGGAAAATGGAAATATATCCAAGTTATTTGCATTTTGGAAAGGCTAAAAATTATCCACTCTTTTCAAATCCCATCAGCTTGGCCACACAGACTGGTTTCATCTGTGTTGCAGATTTCTTTATGAGGTCAAAGTAGCAGACATGAATGAAAGTTCACTTCTTTATTCTCTCCACTCTCTTCAGTTGTAGGGTCCCTAAAGGTAAAATAACTAATACAAAACAAATTTTAAAAAGTGGAAGCTTTTTCTTTCCTCTCCACTTTTTGGCCATTTTTGTTTTTATTAGGACAGACAGGATAAAAGAAAAATGAAGCTCAAATATAACTGATGCTTGTTAGCAATTTAAAAAGACAATTTAAACTGTTTTATAAAATCAGATATTTAATATTTGGATCAGATATGTGGGAGGGGGGAAGGCTATATATTTTTGGACTTCTTCCTTTTTGTCATATAAAGCTCCAAATTGATTTTATCTTTGTTGTTTTTGTGGATGGAGATGAGTACTACAAAATTGACCAATTTAGTATGTCAGGGAATGAAGAGGTTCCCCGGTCAATGTTACAGCCTGGTTCCTGGAAAAAGAGCCTGCAAGCGTGCATTGCTAATTCCCATTCACACACTGACTTGGCGCAATTTGCTGTGCTGTTGTATGCAATGATCTGCATCAATGACACTGGCCAAGGGAGAAGCAGAAACAGAAATGAGGACATGTAACTTTCAAGAAAGGAAGAGTATCATTAAAATGAAAATTTCTCTGTTGCAAACATCATAGAGAAAATGTGCAATCCCAGGCCAATAAGCAAATCTTTGCCCAAAATAAACATATTTCTTCTGCTACATCTCACTGCGGCCCTTAGAAAAACCGTACCAATGACTTATCTTACTGGAGGTGTTAATACCACCAACATATTTTATTCCTTCCTTCAGTTTTTCCAGTTTCTTTACCAGCAGTATCTGAACTTTTCATTTAGGAAACACCATTCTTCATGGTGCTTATGAAAACAGGAGGTGCCTGAAGGAGGCTGAGAAGAGGTTTGCAGCTTCTACTGTCCTTGATAGGGGAGGGGAGGGGAGACTGCATGCCATCTGATATTCAATTCCTCAACCATACTGGCAATTTGTTTTGGCTAGAACATTTAAAAGTGTAATAGCTCCACTGGGTTTCCTTATTCCACTTCTCAGATTTCAGAAAATCTTTATAATTCCTGAGTAGTTGCAGTGAGTGTGTAGAAAGACACCATCATCAACATAAGGATTCAAAAGGCAACTGTTGGGCAGTAGGACCATCACCTATGACTTCTGGGCCCCCACCGTCATCATAAACATCCACTTCTGCTTGGCCACACTTTTTCTTATTTCTTTTTCCCCAGTAAGCTGCCACTTCTTGAGATAAAAGCCATACAGCACACCTCCTAACCTGGTTTTTGATACTTCATGGGCCTGATGCTTTTTTTTTTTGAAACGGAGTCTCACTGTCGCCCAGGCTGGAGTGCAGTGGCGCGATCTCGGCTAGCTGCAAGCTCCACCTCCCGGGTTCACGCCATTCTCCTGCCTCAGCCTCCCGAGTAGCTGGGACTACAGGCGCCCACCACCACGCCCGGCTAATTTTTTGTATTTTTAGTAGAGATGGGGTTTCACCGTGTTAGCCAGGATGGTCTCAATCTCCTGACCTCGTGATCCGCCCCTGCTTGGCCTCCCAAAGTGCTGGGATTATAGGCATGAGCCACCACGCCCGGCCCGGGCCTGATGCTTTTTACCTAATGTGTCTGTAGTGTAATTTATGATGTACTTTGTGTAATTTATGTAACTTATGATATTGTGTGCTCTGATGCTGTCAATTGCTCATGCAAGAATCTGAACTACTGTCAAACTGTGTCCTCAGATTTAATGAATATTGTCTAAGAGGAGACAAAGTTGTTTGTAAGTTAAGGGTTCTTAGAGTTACTACTAAGTCAGGTGTGTCTGGTGAGACGCAGCATAGCAAACTGGTTACTCTCCTTTCTAGTTCAGGGAGGGCTATGCCTAGAACAGCCACTTAAAGCCTGCTGGCAGGATGTGCTTAAGCTGCCAAATGGCATCCCGATCACCTCCTCTCCAGGAAAAGTTCAGATCCTCCTGCTACACTGAACACAAGCTCAACAGCATTTTAGAGGGATCATTTTCAAGGCCTCCAGATTATTTTAGATGAACTTCCTTGAACAAATTGTCATTGACCTTTACTGAGCATCAATTTGAGTTAAAAATGAAGGCTGTGTCAGCAACGTGGTACATTGGTGGACTTGGGAGGGGGCATCCCAGATACATGACGCAGGGTTCAGAATAGGTGAGAATAATGAAGATTCTGCCATGGTGTCTTACAACACTAACATCATACATCGACTAGTGTGACAAAACCACTAGGTTTCCCCAACCGAGGCAGGCAAACCTTGCTTTGTAGAAATAGGTATTTTACTGCAAAGTTTTAGTCTGTTCACTAGGATGAAATCCAAAGTGGGCTGTATTTGTCTAACTCTCAAATTAAGTGTTCTCACTCATTATTCTTCAGCACTGGTTCCTGAAGGGTTACGTGGCCACAGTGGCAGCCCTGCTTACCTTCACTGATTTCTCGTAAGCATCCTATTTAGAGACCAAACTGGACTGCAATGAGTACACCTCAAACCTCCCGCTGCTCTCACCATCAAGCCTATAAGGATTGAGACTTCTGCTGGCCCCATGTAACTCAAAAGAGCTGATTTCTATGGCATGGGTAAAACTGGCACTTTTCTTGTGCATGATAACACTAGAAGGAGCATATGATGGTTATAAGTGGAATTAGTTTTTAATTGATCCGTTCTTTTGGTTGTCTTCAGAGTTAAGTGAAAATGAAGAGAAACTATGTAAGAAAGCAGCATAAAAAGCTTGTTGCTCACAAGCAACTTCAAGCCTTTTTAGTCATGCATGTTCCTTCTCGGCTTTTCTGTTTTGCTTGTCTCGTTCCTTCATTGTGAATTTTAAAAATCCAACCATGTTACCATATTCCTTTCAGTTGCACCAGTAGAAAAGGCGGTTAGCACCTGCATGAATATGGCTTCTGTGACTTGATTTGATCCTGACTGCAGTCTTCATTCTCGAAGCTGACATTAGATTAGGATATGGTGCTGCTTTCATTACTGGATCTATTATAGAAGCATTCCTGAGGGGCTGCTGGCTGGCAGGCATATCCTGGGAAGATGCTCAGGCACCTGGCAAGTCCAGGGGTTCTGGAAAGATGCTGGGGCAAGGGGCAGGCCACATGTGGAGGCTGGATCAGGAAGGAATTTAAGATTTCTGCTCATCTCTGGACTGTCCTCCACCAATTGGGGGGAGAAAGCTCGGCCTCTTCAAGGCCTAAAAATGAGTCTTTGATCATATTGTCCATTCATCTCCAGTCCTCTTTCTTCACCCCTCACAAGATTTCAGAGACGTGGCTTAAAGACAAAAGTGTCAGAGAGGTCAAAGGTGGTTTCCTTATGTGACTCAAGAGCCAGGGTCAGAAAGAGCTGCCTGTGAACAATATTCCACTTGGAAGTTTTCTATTAATGTAATTACTTTCATTTTGATGTAAGGAACCTTTTTTCTGCCCTTCAGTTTTTTTGACATTAAAGAGTCCTGCTTCATCCTACTTCACATGCCTATCAGCCAAGGTCATGAGCAGGTGCTGTGAGTTGCATTTGCTCTCCTGTCTGGAAACTGCCTCCTGGGGATGGGGGTCGTCCAGCTGCACAGTCACAGCACATAACGTAGAACTCGGCTGCGTATCAACACAACATTGTCCATTCATGAACGGTCCAAAATGTAAAAGGTGCTCTGCCGCTGGGTCTCTTGTCCAAGCACACCCAAGGCTGTGCTTGCTCAGGTATTACATTTTCTCCTGGGAGTTGGGGTGCAGAATCTCTGCTGGCCCAGAAAAACCACAAAGGACCGATGTAAAAACAAGAATGGGCCTCACTGAACAACTGATGTCAACTCCTTGCATGGTAACTTGTTCTCCAGGATGAAGTTTATGGCTATTTGTCTCCCTCTCTCCACCCAGGTATGATTCTGTTTTTTCTCCTTTTCATCACGTAAACCATAACAACAAAAAATCATTTTTTTAGTCTGGATAATACATGTTCTTGGACCTCTTCAAGAATAGTTTTGGTGAGTTGCAACATTATTGGAGAGAAAGATGCTGCAGGATTTTGCTGCAACAGGATCAAAACTAAGACCAATAATCAAAACAGCAGTGTGTAACGACAAAGACTTGAACTCTCCCAAGGCAACTGTCCTCAATGATCTTTTCTCTCTTCTGTGACAATGTGACATATATCAAGCTTTGGTTATAAAGCTGGAAATCTCAGCTTTTAAAAAAATTTTGGAAACATTTTGGTATTTCTTCTGCTCTTAGAGTGGACTTTGGGCTTCCACAAGAAACAGTCATCAAATATTTCTGCAATGTTCCCTTAAATAGTTTTCCATTGTTCCTGCGGCTTAATGAGGGACTTCTTAAAGAAGGCATGGGGCACTCTCTGCAGATGACCTCAGAAAGAGATGAGCAAAAACAAACATTTAGTGACACATCTTTCAAGAACGTCCTGCAACCCTGTGGTCACAAAGAGTATGCGTGCAAGGTCCTCCACCTCCAGTGCCATCATTTCCATGTGTCTTCATCTTAGTTAGTGGTCACACTGGCTTCCTTCTGACGCAGTCTTTCTTTCTGTTAAGGAAAAAAAAATGAATGTATCATTTTCTTTCATCTTTCTCAAGTTTTGATACATTTCTCAAATTTTGGTCTAGAATGCTGAGTTTCCGGAATTGTGCCAAATGGCCTAGAAATGAGAGTACCTCTACTGCTTTCCCTAAGCTCTTAGTTATCTGCCCCTCCCTATCACCCTTACTCCCCAGAAAAACAAACAAGAAATCAATAACCAGCCAATCTACCAACTACATCCATCTAAAACACGGGCCTTTACCATGCCAGGGTGGTCTTTTCTGTTCTCTTCTTTTGTGACAAAGACCCTAACTTTGTAGTGTTACTCAAGGACCCCTTCCGTCCCTACCTTTGGCTCATTGATGGAATTAGAGAATGCCCAAGAAGATATGAAAAAAAAAATTACTATTTCCAATGATCAACTTGGCAGAACTCAACAAAAGCCATGCAAAATGGGAGATGACCAGATTTAGTCTCTGCAGAATGGCAGAAGTTCCCGATTTGCCATGGATGTTATGCTCTTCATTCTCCGAGCTTCCTCCTCAGGGACTGCCTTCTAAAGGGAAGGACATGGACATCTGCTGGGAAGACGTAAGAATACACAGGAGCACACTACACAGAAACATGGACCCCCATGGTATCTGTGACACTAGGGAAGCACACATATCAGTATGGTAAGGATGGTGTGCCTGCTCTGGGAGGAGGGTAAATAGAAGGCTAAAATGGAAAAGGGAGAAGTATACTCTTTTGGAATGAGCAGATGCAGAGAGAAGCCTTTGAGAATGGATCCTTAGCTGCTTATGAGCTATGAGATATGATGTTGCAGTGAATTACTAAATTGGCCTAGATATAAACTTAAGTTGATGATTTTTCGACACCCATCCTAAATTTGGACCCCATCCCTAACTTGCGAAATTGAATCAGGAATCAGTTTACAAGCTCTTCCCTGATTTCCACCCACCCACCCACACAGACAATAAAATAAGCAGCCCCAACAAGCCCAGGATCACAACTGGGAGCTTGCTCACAGGGGAGGTCGTAAACCCACTGTTTCCCTTTTGTCTATATGGCTGACCCCATTCTCTCTGCCTTGGGGGAACAAACTTGGCTGTAAAAGTCTGGATAGAGGCCCAAATAAAAGGTCTGAGGAAGAGGGAGAGGCTCATGAAGGAAGAAGACAAAAATCAGGGTTCAGCCGACTGCCACTGAAAGTCATACAAATGAATGTCATAAATATACCATCAAACGGGTACAAAGGACATGTCCGGTTAGGTAGGGGCCATGTGCTCAACCATGGCTTTCCCCGACCAAAAAGTATAGCCCGGACTTCTCCATTTCTCATTCATCAACCTCATGCAACATTCATTTAGCTGCTCATGGGGTTGTTGGGAGAAACATTATGGTCAATCAACAGAAATAATCTCACTTTATAACTTAGAACCCATTTATATTTTCAAAGGATTTGAAGCATCCAGCAAAAAGGTACTAATAATCTAAAAGGATAAAGTAAGTAGTTGTTGGACATCAGGGCCCAGAGAGGACAGAGTTTGAAAAATCCGAGAGAGGAGGGTGATACTTCCACTTCCCACTCATTGCCATTCCCCATTGCAGGGTCAACCAAAGCAGCTGAAATTCACAGCAACAAGGAAAACAACTAATATTTATTGAGCTCTTATTATGTGTTAGGCATTTTACATGTCTTTTCTCAGTTTTCTCAAAATAACCCCAAAAAAAAAGTAGTATGTTCTTTTCATGGAAGAGAAAGAAACAAAGTAACTTCACTAAGGTTTTACAACTATTTAAGTGGCAGAGCTGTGATCTGAACCCAGGCCATTTCATTCTCGGCATCCTGGGATCCTAACCATGTAGCTATTCTGACTATTGTCCGTAACACCTAGGTGGAGATTCATTGTGATCTCTACTGAAAACTGGACTTTGGAGGACAACGCAATCTCACATCTAGGAAGGCTGGGGAGACTGCTGGTTTCCAGCACAGGGAGAGATGTCAGGAGACCCAGAATCTGGTCCTGGCTTTTGTTATCCACTTGCTAAGTGACCCTGGGTAGGCTGTATCTTTCTGCACTTCAAATTTTCCAACTATCAAAATAGGAGAATCCCTGCCTCTTTCTTTAATGGGGAAAAGGAACTGAAGAGAATGAATATATTTAAACATTTTGAGAAAAAGATACTTTGAGATAAGGGTGACTGTACTGCGGGTAGGGTGTGGAAGGATGTGAAATGGTAAGTGACTAAATTTGGTTTATCAGAAATGACCTATGTTGAGTTTACAGGAAAAACATATAAAGCTATGTTTTGTACCTCCACCCACACATACTTTTTTTTTTTTTTTTTTAACCATATGCTACTCTGGGATGGGAACTGAGAATCTGGATACTATGTTTCATCTCTGAGCTTTAGCCCTTCCTGGGCGCACCTCAATTTTCATGACAATCGTTAGATTATGTTGAAAAATATATCTCACCAGGCTAGCAGTGGGATTGATTTTCTTTGTCTCCACTTTCTTCTCTGAAGTCAACTTGCTGACTGATTCCTGAGCCATTTTCAATCTGAAATAGAAATAGGGAAAAGACAGGGGAGAGAGGGAAAAGAAAGGAAGAGGGAAAAGGAAAGAAGAAAAGAGTTAAGGCAGGTTAAACATAAACCCAAATGCTTTTGAATTAATCCATCAGCAATTTGAAAATACTGAAATGTTTTTTCAATGCTTGTTATTAAATTCAAATCCTAATTAGGTGTGAAGGCTTCTCTGCTTTATCAAAATTTAATTTTCTTCACCAGCTGAAGCCTGTTTTTGTGAACAATGTGGTAGTTTCTGATGGATGGAGTACTATGTGCACAGAGCATTATTTACTTCAGTGTTATCTGGCTTGTGATCCACTTAGCAGATAATGAGATGATTTTGAAGAATGAAGTTCTGAGGAAATGTGAAACTACAAATACTAAAATTCACGAATTCACATCAATTAAGATGTGATAACCTATAGAATGGGAAAAAAGATAACCTACGGAATGGGAAAATATAAATATATGTATTTTTCATTCTGTAGGTTTTTTTCCATTCAAAAAATATATTTATATATTATATTTATATATTACGTATAATATATTTATATATTATATTTATATATTACGTATAACATATAACACATTTATATATTACGTATAATATAACATTTATATATTACGTATAACATATAACACTTTATATATTACGTATAACATATAACACTTTATATATTACGTATAACATATAACACTTTATATATTACGTATAACATAACACATTTATATATTACGTATAACATAACACATTTATATATTACGTATAACATAACACATTTATATATTACGTATAACATATAACACATTTACTTATATATTACGTATAATATATAATACATTTACTTATATATTATGTATAATACATTTATATACTATGTATAATACATTTATATATTATGTATAATATAATACATTTATTTATATATTATGTATAATATATAATACATTTATTATATATTATGTATAATATATAATACATTTATTATATATTATGTATAATATATAATACATTTATTATATATTATGTATAATATATAATACATTTATTATGTATAATATATAATACATTTATTATGTATAATATATAATACATTTATTATATATTATGTATAATATATAATACATTTATTATATATTATGTATAATATATAATACATTTATTATATATTATATAATACATTTATTTATATATTATATAATACATTTATTTATATATTATATAATACATTTATTTATATATTATATAATACATATATGTATAATATAGAAATATATATTTTATATATATATATATTTTTTTGAGACAGAGTCTTGCTCTGTTGCTCAGGCTGGAGTGCAGTGATGCGATCTCAGCTCACTGCAACCTCCACCTCCAGAATGGGAAAAATATTTTTAAATCATATACCTGATAGAAACTTGTGTCTGGAACACAGAAAGAACTCTTACAATTCAAATAAGAAGACAAATTATACCCCCTCCTCTAAAAATGGACAAGGGATTTGAATAGACATTTCTCCAAAGCTGACATACACATGGTCAATAAGCACGTAAAAAGATGCTCAACATCATTAGTCATCAGAAAATGCAAATCAAAACCACAATGGGATACCACTTCACATCCACTAGGACGGCTAGAATCAGAAAGGAAGACAGTAACAAGTACTAGAGATGAAGATGTGAAGAAACTGGAACCCTTATACACTGTTGATGTGATTGTAGAATTACACAGTTGCTTTGGAAAACAGTTTGGCCGTTTTCCAAAACGTTAAGCACAGAATTACCATATGACCCAGCAATTCTACTGCTAGGTACATAAATATATCTATAACTAAGAAAATTGAAAAGATGTCTATATAAAAATTTGCATATGAATGTTTATAGAACCACTATTTATAGTAATCAAGAGTAGAAGCAACCAAATTTCCATCACCTGATGGAAAAATTAAATGTGGTATATCCATACAATGGAATACTACTGAGCCATACAAAGGAATGAATTTGCTGATACATGCTACAACATGGATGTACCTCAAAAACATTGTGCTAAGTGAAAGAAGCCAATCACAAAAACACATGACTCTATTTATATGAAATGTTCAGAACAGGCAAATCCATACAGAAAGTAGGTTAGCAAAACTATGGGTTTCCCCATGCTGGGGAAAATGGGGAGTTATTGCTAACCAGTCAAAGATTTCCTCTAAAATCAGATAGAGGTAATGGTTGTAGACCCTTGTGAACATACTAAAAACCACTGTGTAGTGAAGTGATACTAATGTGTATGGAATTGTACACTTTAAAAGGGTGAATTTTATGATATGTAAATTCTATCTCAATACAACTTATTAAAAATTCATTAATTCAGCATGATAGTATTTCTTACCCATCAGGTTGGCAAATGTAAACAATTAGACAATATTAACTGTTTGTGAGGATGCAGGGGAATGGGAAGTGCCACACAGTGCACTAAGGAGAAGAAATTGGTCTAGTTGGGTTTGGCAATATCAAGTAAAACTGAAAGCATGTACACTCTACGAGCCATCAAGTTTTCTTGTAGGGAGATACCAAAAAGAATTATAAACAGACACAGAGCTTTCACTGTGGCAATATATGCAATCAAGAAAAACTACAGACAACCTAATGAATAGGTTCAACAGGGTGATATATGAGAATAGCAAATAACAACTAACATTTATTGGGTACTTAATCTGTACCAGGTGCTGTTCTACCTACTGTATTTGAATTAAACTTAATTTTCACAACTCTGTGAGATAGGAACTTCTACTATTCCCATTTCATAGGTCTTAACCACCATGCAATGTGCAATGCTGCTTATGTACTGTATTCATTCAACAGAATAGGGTATAACAGTGAGAAGGAATGAACTAGATCTACAAATTCAAAAATCACAGGAATCAGAGGCATGATACTGAGAGTGAAGAATCCTGCAGTGATACAGTGAATAGTCCATCTGTGATGATGGTCAAGAGCTCAGGCTCCAAAGCCTGATTGCAGAATTAATTCTCAGCCCTATCACTTATTAACTGTGTGACCCTGCACAAGGGAACTCTCTGTGTGCCTTATTTCCTAAAAAACATGACAGTAATAGTGCATGCTACATAGGATCAATAAGAGGACTGAGACAGTATCAGAAGCATGTGAACCAGAGCAACTCCATCTTCAATAGAAGCTGGGTAAAATGAGGCTGGAACCTTTTGGGCTGCATTTCCAGATGACTAAGGCATTGTAAGACACAGGAAGAGACATGAGGTCAGCACAAGATACAGGTCATAAAGACCTTGCTGATAAAATAGGTTGCAGTAAAGAAGCTGACCCAAACTCTCCAAAACCAAGATGGCCACCTAGTGACCTCTGGTCGTCCTCACTGCTACACTCCCATTAGTGCCAAGACAGTTTACAAATGTCATGGCAATAGTCAGGAAGTTACCCTGTATGGTCTTAAAAAAGGGAGGCATGAATAATCTATCCCTTATTTAGCATGTCATCAAAAAATAACCATAAAAGTGGGCAGCCAGCAGCTCTCAAGGCTGTTCTGCCTATGGAGTAGCCATTCTTTTATTCCTTTACTTTCCTGATAAACTTGCTTTCCCTGTACTCCACAGACTCACCCTGTATCCTTTCTTGTGTGAGATCCAAGAACCCTCTTTTGGGGTCTGGATTGGGACCACTTTCCTGTAACATCTTTCTGGCAACCACAGAAGGGACTATAGTGAGGAAACCCCTGACCCAAAGGCTAGCTTTGGGTAACCGGTGGGGTCCTGTATCAGCAGTACAGCTCCAGGCAGGCGGTAATAGCAGAATAAATGTAAGCTGCTATTGTTACTTTGCATGCAGTATGCTACACTGTGCGTATAATTTTAAATTGAACCCATACATACAGACATCTATCTGTATTTATATATGGATACACACATATGAAAGTATTCAAAATAGACTAGAAAGATACTCAATAATTTCATGATAGAGGTTATTGCTAGAAAGATCTGGGAAGAGAATGACACTGGCAATAATATGCCAAGTAGAATTTCATTTTATCTGTAATACTTCATTTTTAAACTTAAAATCTTAAAGAATATATGATGCATGTTAATAGTTATAATTCTAGGTAGTGGGAATATGGGTGTGATATGCTATCTTTTATATTTTTATTTTTAAAATTTCTTCAAAAAATCTTCAAAATAGTAAATACTTAAAGATCTATCAACTCAGACATTTAAAAAATATGCTTTTTCTTCCATGCTTCAAATAAAAATATCTTACTTAATATTAATCACATACTTGTTGGCATCTGTAAGTGGCTGAGTAGCTTAGCTCTTTATTTAGCTAATGTTATACAATTTGCTTAAAACACACATTTAGTAATCCCATCTCCCTGCCCACATGCACACGTTAGTTACAATGAATTCAACATTCTTACTTGTGCACTGGACAATAAATTAATTCTACTGTTGCAGTGGGAAAGCAGCCATCTGAAAAATGCATCAACGACCGGGCTATGCTATGTTCTGATAGATTTTATTGACAAATACTGGTAGTGGGCCAGATCCGGCTCATAGGCTGTAGTCTGCCAATTCCTGGACTGTATCATAGGATTCAAAATCTTATGCTTTTGGACTGGCAATACAATCTCCCTGCTATAAACCCAGTTTACTTATCTTACCTTTTCAGACCCAGATCTGTTGTTGTATTCGTAGTATGCTGGTTTAATTAGCTGAGTATCCTTGGATAAGTCATGTAACCCCCAAACCTCAATTTCCTCATCTCTTTAAAGTGTGAATAATACCACACCTAATAACATTGTTGCTATAAAAATTAAAGAAAATACTATATGTGATTACTGATCAAGCATCTTTTCCTTCACCTCACTCCACGTGTTCCATGACCCACCCAAACGACTTACATTCTTTGTACATGGCTTTTTCTCACCTTTGCATCTTGCTTTTACTGTTCCCTCAATGACGGTCTGAGTCATTTCCATGCATGCAAATTCTTCCCATTCTTCTATTTACAGCTTAAGTGTCAAAGTCATGAAAGCTTCCTTCATCTCTCTTAGCCAGAAGTAATTGCTCTTTTCTTAAGTGACAAAGCACTTTGTGCCTCTCTTAAGGTACTTAAGGCATTTCATCTTAGAACTGAGTAGGTGTCTTATTTTTCTTAAACCATTGGAATGACTTAGGGACAACGAGCAGGATTTATCCATATTTGGGACCTCTCCTTGTTCCTTTACCCAGCACTGTACCATGCTCAAGTCAGTTCTTAGTATCTACGTGACAAATGACATGCATTGATAACTTTTGTTTTTCTGACTTAAACAATTTAAATGTTTAGTAAATAGTTATAAAATGATTGCTTTTTGCATTTATCCTTGGGAAAAAACTATAAAAACATTTAGAAGTGTAGTTCCAGTTACTGATTAGCTGATTAAGTCTTAAACAAGGAAAAAGAAAAGATACTCAAGGCCACCCAAATGTGCTAAATATTTACACGTGTCATCTTATGTATAGATTCCAAGATACTTAAAAGTATCCACATTACTTTGCCCACAAGGAGACTAAGACTCAGTGAGGTTATGTGACTTTGTCCCAAGTCTGGAATTTATTTCTCCCACTTAGGAGGTAAGGGCTTTTTGCATTTAATCAAAGAAAATTTGCTGGTTAGACAGTTTCTAGCTGCATACACGCTCAACCTCCTCATTGTTTGTGGACTTGTTTTTGTTTCTGGCCTAAATGTTGGCTCTAATGTCCATCAGTAGATGACTGGACAAAGAAAATGTGGATCACATACACCATGAAATACTATGCAGTCATAAAAAGAATGAAATCACGTCCATTGCAGCAACATAGATGGAGCTGCAGATCATTATCCTAAGTGAAATAACTCAGAAAGAGAAAATCAAATACTGCATGGTCTCACTTATAAGTGGGAGCTAAACAGTGGTTACACATGGACATATAGAGGGAAATAACAGACGCTGGGGGTGGGGAGAGTGGGAAGACAGTGAGGGTCAACAAATAATCTACTGGGTACAAGGTTCACTCTTCAGGTGATGGATACAGTAGAAGCCCAAACCCTGCCACTATGAAATACATCCGTGTAACAAACCTGCACAAATCCATGTACCTCCTGAATTGATAAAAACAAAAAAAAATAAAGGTTATATGGCAATCCTTAC